>NC_000009.12:43389635-43755044 GCF_000001405.40 Homo sapiens | reverse complement strand
ACGTGAATGCAAACATCACAAAGAAGTTGCCTGAGAATGCTTCTCTCTAGATTTTATATGTAATCCCGTTTCCAACGAAATCCTCAAAGCTATCCAAATATCCACTTTCAGATTCCACAAAAAGAGTGTTTCAAAACTGCTCTGTAAAAAGAAAGGTTCATCTCTGTTAGTTGAATACACACATCACAAACAAGTTTCTGAGAATGCTTCTGTCTAGTTTTTATGGGAAGATATTTCCTTTTTCATCATAGGCCTCAAAGCGCTGCAAATGTCCACTTCCAAATATTACAAAAAGAGTGTTTCAAACCTGCTGTATGAAGGGAAGTGTTCAACTCTATGAGTTGAATGCAAACATCACAGAGAAGTTTCTGAGAATGCTTCTGTCTTGATTTTATATGAGGATATTCCCGTTTCCAACGAAACCTTCAAAGCTATCCAAATATCCACTTGCAGATTCTACAAAAAGAGTGTTTCCAAAATGTTGTATCCAAACAAAGGTTCAACTCTGTTAGTTGAGAACACACATGGCAAATAAGTTTCTGAGAATGCTTCTGTCTAGTTTTTATTTGAAGATATTTCCTTTTTCACCACAGGCCTGAAAGCGCTTGAAACGTCAGCTTGCAGATACTACAGAAAGAGTGTTTCAAACCTGCACTATGAAAGGGAATGTTCAGTTCTGTGACTTGAATGCAAACATCACGAAGAAGTTCCTGAGAATGCTTCTCCCTAGATTTTATATGTAATCCCGTTTCCAACGAAATCCTCAAAGCTATCCAAATATCCACTTTCAGATTCCACAAAAAGAGTGTTTCAAAACTGCTCTGTAAAAAGAAAGGTTCATCTCTGTTAGTTGAATACACACATCACAAACAAGTTTCTGAGAATGCTTCTGTCTAGTTTTTATGGGAAGATATTTCCTTTTTCAACATAGGCCTCAAAGCGCTCCAAACGTCCACTTCCAGGTAGTGCAGAAAGAGTGTCTCAAACCTGGTGTATAACAGGGAACATTCTACTCTGTGACTTGAATGAAAACATCACAAAGCAGTTTCTGAGAATGCTTCCGTCTAGATTTTATATGAAGATATTCCCGTTTCCAACGAAACCTTCAAAGCTATCCGAATATCCACCTGCAGATTCTACAAAAAGAGTGTTTCCAAAATGCCATATCAAAACAAAGGTTCAACTCTGTTAGTTGAGAACACACATCGCAAATAAGTTTCTGAGAATGCTTCTGTCTAGTTTTTACTTGAAGATATTTCCTTTCTCACCATAGGCCTGAAAGCGCTTGAAACGTCAGCTTGCAGATACTACAGAAAGAGTGTTTCAAACCTGCTCTATGAAAGGGAATGTTCAGTTCTGTGACTTGAATGCAAACATCACAAAGAAGTTCCTGAGAATGCTTCTCTCTAGGTTTTATATGTAATCCCGTTTCCAACGAAATCCGCAAAGCTATCCAAATATCCACTTTCAGATTCCACAAAAAGAGTGTTTCAAAACTGCTCTGTAAAAAGAAAGGTTCATCTCTGTTAGTTGAATACACACATCACAAACAAGTTTCTGAGAATGCTTCTGTCTAGTTTTTACGGGAAGATATTACCTTTTTCATCATAGGCCTCAAAGCGCTGCAAATGTCCACTTCCAAATATTACAAAAAGAGTGTTTCAAACCTGCTGTATGAAGGGAAGTGTTCAACTCTATGAGTTGAATGCAAACATCACAGAGAAGTTTCTGAGAATGCTTCTGTCTTGATTTTATATGAAGATATTCCCGTTTCCAACGAAACCTTCAAAGCTATTCAAATATCCACTTGCAGATTCTACAAAAAGAGTGTTTCCAAAATGTTGTATCAAAAGAAAGGTTCAACTCTGTTAGTTGAGGACACACATCGCAAATAAGTTTCTGAGAATGCTTCTGTCTAGTTTTTATTTGAAGATATTTCCTTTCTCACCATAGGCCTGAAAGCGTTTGAAATGTCCGTTTGCAGATACTACACAAAGAGTGTTTCAAACATGCTCTATGAAAGGGAATGTTCAGTTCTGTGACGTGAATGCAAACATCACAAAGAAGTTCCTGAGAATGCTTCTCTCTAGATTTTATATGTAATCCCGTTTCCAATGAAATCCTCAAAGCTATCCAAATATCCACTTTCAGATTCCACAAAAAGAGTGTTTCAAAACTGCTCTGTAAAAAGAAAGGTTCATCTCTGTTAGTTGAATACACACATCACAAACAAGTTTCTGAGAATGCTTCTGTCTAGTTTTTATGGGAAGATATTTCCTTTTTCAACATAGGCCTCAAAGCGCTCCAAACGTCCACTTCCAGGTAGTGCAGAAAGAGTGTCTCAAACCTGGTATATAACAGGGAACATTCTACTCTGTGACTTGAATGAAAACATCACAAAGCAGTTTCTGAGAATGCTTCCGTCTAGACTTTATATGAAGATATTCCCGTTTCCAACGAAACCTTCAAAGCTATCCGTATATCCACCTGCAGATTCTACAAAAAGAGTGTTTCCAAAATGCCGTATCAAAACAAAGGTTCAACTCTGGTAGTTGAGAACACACATGGCAAATAAGTTTCTGAGAATGCTTCTGTCTAGTTTTTACTTGAAGATATTTCCTTTCTCACCATAGGCCTGAAAGCGCTTGAAACGTCAGCTTGCAGATACTACAGAAAGAGTGTTTCAAACCTGCTCTATGAAAGGGAATGTTCAGTCCTGTGACTTGAAGGCAAACATCACAAAGGAGTTCCTGAGAATGCTTCTCTCTAGGTTTTATATGTAATCCCGTTTCCAACGAAATCCTCAAAGCTATCCAAATATTCACTTTCAGATTCCACAAAAAGAGTGTTTCAAAACTGCTCTGTAAAAAGAAAGGTTCATCTCTGTTAGTTGAATACACACATCACAAACAAGTTTCTGACAATGCTTCTGTCTAGTTTTTATGGGAAGATATTTCCTTTTTCAACATAGGCCTCAAAGCGCTCCAAATGTCCACTTCCAGGTAGTGCAGAAAGAGTGTTTCAAACCTGCTCTATAAAAGGGAATATTCAACTCTGTGACTTGAATGCAAACATCACAAAGCACTTTCTGAGAATGCTTCCGTCTAGATTTTATATGAAGATATTCCCGTTTCCAAGGAAATCTTCCTAGCTATCTAAATATCAACTTGCAGATTCTACTAAAGGAATGTTTCCAAAATGCTGTATCCACACAAAGGTTCAACTCTGTTAATTCAGGACATACAGCACAAAGAAGTTTCTGAGAATGCTTCTGTCTAGTTTTTATTTGAAGATATTTCCTTTTTCACCACAGGCCTGAAAGCGCTTGAAACGTCCGCTTGCAGATACTACAGAAAGAGTGTTTCAAAGCTGCTCTATGAAAGGGAATGTTCAGTTCTGTGACTTGAATGCAAACATCACAAAGAAGATCCTGAGAATGCTTCTGTCTAGATTTTATATGAAGATATCCCGTGTCTAACGAAATCCTCAAAGATATCAAAATATCCACTTGCAGATTCTACAAAAAGAGTGCTTCAAAACTGCTCTGTCAAAATGAAGGTTCACCTCTGTTACTTGAGTACACACATCACAAGAAAGATTCTGAGAATGCTTCTGTCTGGTTTTTAGGAGAAGATATCTCCTTTTTCACCATAGGCTTCAAAGCGCTGCCAATGTCCACTTCCAAATATTACAAAAAGAGTATTTCAAACCAGCTCTATGAAAGGAAGTGTTCAACTCTATGAGTTGAATGCAAACATCACAGAGAAGTTTCTGAGAATGCTTCCGTCTAGATTTTATATGAAGATATTCCCGTTTCCAACGAAACCTTCAAAGCTATCCGAATATCCACCTGCAGATTCTACAAAAAGAGTGTTTCCAAAATGCCGTATCAAAACAAAGGTTCAACTCTGTTAGTTGAGAACACACATGGCAAATAAGTTTCTGAGAATGCTTCTGTCTAGTTTTTACTTGAAGATATTTCCTTTCTCACCATAGGCCTGAAAGCGCTTGAAACGTCAGCTTGCAGATACTACAGAAAGAGTGTTTCAAACCTGCTCTATGAAAGGGAATGTTCAGTCCTGTGACTTGAAGGCAAACATCACAAAGAAGTTCCTGAGAATGCTTCTCTCTAGGTTTTATATGTAATCCCGTTTCCAACGAAATCCTCAAAGCTATCCAAATATCCACTTTCAGATTCCACAAAAAGAGTGTTTCAAAACTGCTCTGTAAAAAGAAAGGTTCATCTCTGTTAGTTGAATACACACATCACAAACAAGTTTCTGAGAATGCTTCTGTCTAGTTTTTATGGGAAGATATTTCGTTTTTCAACATAGGCCTCAAAGCGCTCCAAATGTCCACTTCCAGGTAGTGCAGAAAGAGTGTTTCAAACCTGCTCTATAAAAGGGAATATTCAACTCTGTGACTTGAATGCAAACATCACAAAGCACTTTCTGAGAATGCTTCCGTCTAGATTTTATATGAAGATATTCCCGTTTCCAAGGTAATCTTCCTAGCTATCTAAATATCAACTTGCAGATTCTACTAAAGGAATGTTTCCAAAATGCTGTATCCACACAAAGGTTCAACTCTGTTAATTGAGGACATACAGCACAAAGAAGTTTCTGAGAATGCTTCTGTCTAGATTTTATATGAAGATATCCCGTGTCCAACAAAATCCTCAAAGGTATCAAAATATCCACTTGCAGATTCTACAAAAAGAGTGCTTCAAAACTGCTCTGTCAAAAGGAAGGTTCAACTCTGTTACTTGAGTACACACATCACAAGGAAGTTTCTGAGAATGCTTCTGTCTGGTTTTTAGGAGAAGATATTTCCTTTTTCAACATAGGCCTCAAAGCGCTGCAAATGTCCACTTCCAAATATTAGAAAAAGAGTGTTTCAAACCTGCTGTATGAAGGGAAGTGTTCAACTCTATGAGTTGAATGCAAACATCACAGAGAAGTTTCTGAGAATGCTTCTGTCTTGATTTCATATGAAGATATTCCCGTTTCCAACGAAACCTTCAAAGCTATCCAAATATCCACTTGCAGATTCTACAAAAAGAGTGTTTCCAAAATGTTGTATCAAAAGAAAGGTTCAACTCTGTTAGTTGAGGACACACATCGCAAATAAGTTTCTGAGAATGCTTCTGTCTAGTTTTTATTTGAAGATATTTCCTTTCTCACCACAGGCCTGAAAGCGCTTAAAACGTCCGCTTGCAGATACTACAGAAAGAGTGTTTCAAACCTGCTCTATGAAAGGGAATGTTCAGTTCTGTGACTTGAATGCAAACATCACAAAGAAGTTCCTGAGAATGCTTCTCCCTAGATTCTATATGTAATCCCGTTTCCAACGAAATCCTCAAAGCTATCCAAATATCCACTTTCAGATTCCACAAAAAGAGTGTTTCAAAACTGCTCTGTAAAAAGAAAGGTTCATCTCTGTTAGTTGAATACACACATCACAAACAAGTTTCTGAGAATGCTTCTGTCTAGTTTTTATGGGAAGATATTTCCTTTTTCAACATAGGCCTCAAAGCGCTCCAAATGTCCACTTCCAGGTAGTGCACAGAGTGTTTCAAACCGGCTCTGTGAAAGGAAGTCTTCAACTCTATGAGTTGAATGCAAACATCACAGAGAAGTTTCTGAGAATGCTTCTGTCTTGATTTTATATGAAGATATTCCCGTTTCCAACGAAACCTTAAAAGCTATCCAAATATCCACCTGCAGATCCTACAAAAAGAGTGTTTCCAAAATGCTGTATCAAAACAAAGGTTCAACTCTGTTAGTTGAGGACACACATCGCAAATAAGTTTCTGAGAATGCTTCCGTCTAGTTTTTATTTGAAGATATTTCCTTTTTCTCCACAGGCCTGAAAGCGCTTGAAACGTCCGCTTGCAGATACTACAGAAAGAGTGTTTCAAACCTGCTCTATGAAAGGGAATGTTCAGTTCTGTGACTTGAATGCAAACATCACAAAGAAGTTCCTGAGAATGCTTCTCCCTAGATTTTATATGTAATCCCGTTTCCAACGAAATCCGCAAAGCTATCCAAATATCCACTTTCAGATTCCACAAAAAGAGTGTTTCAAAACTGCTCTGTAAAAAGAAAGGTTCATCTCTGTTAGTTGAATACACACATCACAAACAAGTTTCTGAGAATGCTTCTGTCTAGTTTTTATGGGAAGATATTTCCTTTTTCATCATAGGCCTCAAAGCGCTGCAAATGTCCACTTCCAGGTAGTGCAGAAAGAGTGTCTGAAACCTGGTATATAACAGGGAAGATTCTACTGTGTGACTTGAATGAAAACATCACAAAGCAGTTTCTGAGAATGCTTCCGTCTAGATTTTATATGAAGATATTCCCGTTTCCAACGAAACCTTCAAAGCTATCCGAATATCCACCTGCAGATTCTACAAAAAGAGTGTTTCCAAAATGCCGTATCAAAACAAAGGTTCAACTCTGTTAGTTGAGAACACACATGGCAAATAAGTTTCTGAGAATGCTTCTGTCTAGTTTTTACTTGAAGATATTTCCTTTCTCACCATAGGCCTGAAAGCGCTTGAAACGTCAGCTTGCAGATACTACAGAAAGAGTGTTTCAAACCTGCTCTATGAAAGGGAATGTTCAGTTCTGTGACTTGAATGCAAACATCACAAAGAAGTTCCTGAGAATGCTTCTCTCTAGGTTTTATATGTAATCCCGTTTCCAACGAAATCCTCAAAGCTATCCAAATATCCACTTTCAGATTCCACAAAAAGAGTGTTTCAAAACTGCTCTGTAAAAAGAAAGGTTCATCTCTGTTAGTTGAATACACACATCACAAACAAGTTTCTGAGAATGCTTCTGTCTAGTTTTTATGGGAAGATATTTCCTTTTTCATCATAGGCCTCAAAGCGCTGCAAATGTCCACTTCCAGGTAGTGCAGAAAGAGTGTCTGAAACCTGGTATATAACAGGGAAGATTCTACTCTGTGACTTGAATGAAAACATCACAAAGCAGTTTCTGAGAATGCTTCCGTCAAGATTTTATATGAAGATATTCCCGTTTCCAACGAAACCTTCAAAGCTATCCGAATATCCACCTGCAGATTCTACAAAAAGAGTGTTTCCAAAATGCCGTATCAAAACAAAGGTTCAACTCTGTTAGTTGAGAACACACATGGCAAATAAGTTTCTGAGAATGCTTCTGTCTAGTTTTTACTTGAAGATATTTCCTTTCTCACCATAGGCCTGAAAGCGCTTGAAACGTCAGCTTGCAGATACTACAGAAAGAGTGTTTCAAACCTGCTCTATGAAAGGGAATGTTCAGTCCTGTGACTTGAAGGCAAACATCACAAAGAAGTTCCTGAGAATGCTTCTCTCTAGATTTTATATGTAATCCCGTTTCCAACGAAATCCTCAAAGCTATCCAAATATCCACTTTCAGATTCCACAAAAAGAGTGTTTCAAAACTGCTCTGTAAAAAGAAAGGTTCATCTCTTGTTAGTTGAATACACACATCACAAACAAGTTTCTGAGAATGCTTCTGTCTAGTTTTTATGGGAAGATATTTCCTTTTTCATCATAGGCCTCAAAACGCTCCAAATGTCCACTTCCAGGTAGTGCAGAAAGAGTGTCTCAAACCTGGTATATAACAGGGAACATTCTACTCTGTGACTTGAATGAAAACATCACAAAGCAGTTTCTGAGAATGCTTCCGTCTAGATTTTATATGAAGATATTCCCGTTTCCAACGAAACCTTCAAAGCTATCCGAATATCCACCTGCAGATTCTACAAAAAGAGTGTTTCCAAAATGCCATATCAAAACAAAGGTTCAACTCTGTTAGTTGAGAACACACATCGCAAATAAGTTTCTGAGAATGCTTCTGTCTAGTTTTTATTTGAAGATATTTCCTTTCTCACCACAGGCCTGAAAGCGCTTAAAACGTCCCCTTGCAGATACTACAGAAAGAGTGTTTCAAACCTGCTCTATGAAAGGGAATGTTCAGTTCTGTGACTTGAATGCAAACATCACAAAGAAGTTCCTGAGAATGCTTCTCCCTAGATTTTATATGTAATCCCGTTTCCAACGAAATCCGCAAAGCTATCCAAATATCCACTTTCAGATTCCACAAAAAGAGTGTTTCAAAACTGCTCTGTAAAAAGAAAGGTTCATCTCTGTTAGTTGAATACACACATCACAAACAAGTTTCTGAGAATGCTTCTGTCTGGTTTTTAGGAGAAGATATTTCCTTTTTCAACATAGGCCTCAAAGCGCTGCAAATGTCCACTTCCAAATATTACAAAAAGAGTGTTTCAAACCTGCTGTATGAAGGGAAGTGTTCAACTCTATGAGTTGAATGCAAACATCACAGAGAAGTTTCTGAGAATGCTTCTGTCTTGATTTTATATGAAGATATTCCCGTTTCCAACGAAACCTTCAAAGCTATCCGAATATCCACCTGCAGATTCTACAAAAAGAGTGTTTCCAAAATGCCATATCAAAACAAAGGTTCAACTCTGTTAGTTGAGAACACACATCGCAAATAAGTTTCTGAGAATGCTTCTGTCTAGTTTTTACTTGAAGATATTTCCTTTCTCACCATAGGCCTGAAAGCGCTTGAAACGTCAGCTTGCAGATACTACAGAAAGAGTGTTTCAAACCTGCTCTATGAAAGGGAATGTTCAGTTCTGTGACTTGAATGCAAACATCACAAAGAAGTTCCTGAGAATGCTTCTCTCTAGGTTTTATATGTAATCCCGTTTCCAACGAAATCCTCAAAGCTATCCAAATATCCACTTTCAGATTCCACAAAAAGAGTGTTTCAAAACTGCTCTGTAAAAAGAAAGGTTCATCTCTGTTAGTTGAATACACACATCACAAACAAGTTTCTGAGAATGCTTCTGTCTAGTTTTTATGGGAAGATATTTCCTTTTTCAACATAGGCCTCAAAGCGCTCCAAATGTCCACTTCCAGGTAGTGCAGAAAGAGTGTTTCAAACCTGCTCTATAAAAGGGAATATTCAACTCTGTGACTTGAATGCAAACATCACAAAGCACTTTCTGAGAATGCTTCCGTCTAGATTTTATATGAAGATATTCCCGTTTCCAAGGAAATCTTCCTAGCTATCTAAATATCAACTTGCAGATTCTACTAAAGGAATGTTTCCAAAATGCTGTATCCACACAGAGGTTCAACTCTGTTAATTGAGGACATACAGCACAAAGAAGTTTCTGAGAATGCTTCTGTCTAGATTTTATATGAAGATATCCCGTGTCCAAAGAAATCCTCAAAGGTATCAAAATATCCACTTGCAGATTCTACAAAAAGAGTGCTTCAAAACTGCTCTGTCAAAAGGAAGGTTCAACTCTGTTACTTGAGTACACACATCACAAGGAAGTTTCTGAGAATGCTTCTGTCTGGTTTTTAGGAGAAGATATTTCCTTTTTCAACATAGGCCTCAAAGCGCTGCAAATGTCCACTTCCAAATATTAGAAAAAGAGTGTTTCAAACCTGCTGTATGAAGGGAAGTGTTCAACTCTATGAGTTGAATGCAAACATCACAGAGAAGTTTCTGAGAATGCTTCTGTCTTGATTTCATATGAAGATATTCCCGTTTCCAACGAAACCTTCAAAGCTATCCAAATATCCACTTGCAGATTCTACAAAAAGAGTGTTTCCAAAATGTTGTATCAAAAGAAAGGTTCAACTCTGTTAGTTGAGGACACACATCGCAAATAAGTTTCTGAGAATGCTTCTGTCTAGTTTTTATTTGAAGATATTTCCTTTCTCACCACAGGCCTGAAAGCGCTTAAAACGTCCGCTTGCAGATACTACAGAAAGAGTGTTTCAAACATGCTCTATGAAAGGGAATGTTCAGTTCTGTGACTTGAATGCAAACATCACAAAGAAGTTCCTGAGAATGCTTCTGTCTAGATTTTATATGAAGATATCCCGTGTCTAACGAAATCCTCAAAGGTATCAAAATATCCACTTGCAGATTCTACAAAAAGAGTGCTTCAAAACTGCTCTGTCAAAATGAAGGTTCAACTCTGTTACTTGAGTACACACATCACAAGGAAGTTTCTGAGAATGCTTCTGTCTGGTTTTTAGGAGAAGATATTTCCTTTTTCAACATAGGCCTCAAAGCGCTGCAAATGTCCACTTCCAAATATTAGAAAAAGAGTGTTTCAAACCTGCTGTATGAAGGGAAGTGTTCAACTCTATGAGTTGAATGCAAACATCACAGAGAAGTTTCTGAGAATGCTTCTGTCTTGATTTCATATGAAGATATTCCCGTTTCCAACGAAACCTTCAAAGCTATCCAAATATCCACTTGCAGATTCTACAAAAAGAGTGTTTCCAAAATGTTGTATCAAAAGAAAGGTTCAACTCTGTTAGTTGAGGACACACATCGCAAATAAGTTTCTGAGAATGCTTCTGTCTAGTTTTTATTTGAAGATATTTCCTTTCTCACCACAGGCCTGAAAGCGTTTGAAATGTCCGTTTGTAGATACTACAGAAAGAGTGTTTCAAACATGCTCTATGAAAGGGAATGTTCAGTTCTGTGACGTGAATGCAAACATCACAAAGAAGTTCCTGAGAATGCTTCTCTCTAGATTTTATATGTAATCCCGTTTCCAACGAAATCCTCAAAGCTATCCAAATATCCACTTTCAGATTCCACAAAAAGAGTGTTTCAAAACTGCTCTGTAAAAAGAAAGGTTCATCTCTGTTAGTTGAATACACACATCACAAACAAGTTTCTGAGAATGCTTCTGTCTAGTTTTTATGGGAAGATAATTCCTTTTTCAACATAGGTCTCAAAGCGCTTAAAATGTCCACTTCCAGGTAGTGCACAGAGTGTTTCAAACCTGCTCTATGAAAGGAAGTGTTCAACTCTATGAGTTGAAGGCAAACATCACATAGAAGTTTCTGAGAATGCTTCCGTCTAGATTTTATATGAAGATATTCCCGTTTCCAACGAAACGTTCAAAGCTATCCGAATATCCACCTGCAGATTCTACAAAAAGAGTGTTTCCAAAATGCCATATCAAAACAAAGGTTCAACTCTGTTAGTTGAGAACACACATCGCAAATAAGTTTCTGAGAATGCTTCTGTCTAGTTTTTACTTGAAGATATTTCCTTTCTCACCATAGGCCTGAAAGCGCTTGAAACGTCAGCTTGCAGATACTACAGAAAGAGTGTTTCAAACCTGCTCTATGAAAGGGAATGTTCAGTTCTGTGACTTGAATGCAAACATCACAAAGAAGTTCCTGAGAATGCTTCTGTCTAGATTTTATATGAAGATATACCGTTTCCAAAGAAATCCTCAAAGGTATCCAAATATCTACTTCCAGATTCTACAAAAAGACTGTTTCAAAACGGCTCTGTCCAAAGTAAGGTTCAACTCTGTTACTTGAGTACACACATCACAAGGAAGTTTCTGAGAATGCTTCTGTCTGGTTTTTAGGAGAAGATATTTCCTTTTTCAACATAGGCCTCAAAGCGCTGCAAATGTCCACTTCCAAATATTACAAAAAGAGTGTTTCAAACCTGCTCTATGAAGGGAAGTGTTCAACTCTATGAGTTGAATGCAAACATCACAGAGAAGTTTCTGAGAATGCTTCTGTCTTGATTTTATATGAAGATATTCCCGTTTCCAACGAAACCTTCAAAGCTATCCAAATATCCACTTGCAGATTCTACAAAAAGAGTGTTTCCAAAATGTTGTATCAAAACAAAGGTTCACCTCTGTTAGTTGAGGACACCCATCGCAAATAAGTTTCTGAGAATGCTTCTGTCTAGTTTTTATTTGAAGATATTTCCTTTCTCACCATAGGCCTGAAAGCGTTTGAAATGTCCGTTTGCAGATACTACAGAAAGAGTGTTTCAAACATGCTCTATGAAAGGGAATGTTCAGTTCTGTGACGTGAATGCAAACATCACAAAGAAGTTCCTGAGAATGCTTCTCTCTAGATTTTATATGTAATCCCGTTTCCAACGAAATCCTCAAAGCTATCCAAATATCCACTTTCAGATTCCACAAAAAGAGTGTTTCAAAACTGCTCTGTAAAAAGAAAGGTTCATCTCTGTTAGTTGAAAACACACATCACAAACAAGTTTCTGAGAATGCTTCTGTCTAGTTTTTATGGGAAGATATTTCCTTTTTCATCATAGGCCTCAAAGCGCTGCAAATGTCCACTTCCAGATAGTGCAGAAAGAGTGTCTCAAACCTGGTATATAACAGGGAACATTCTACTCTGTGACTTGAATGAAAACATCACAAAGCAGTTTCTGAGAATGCTTCCGTCTAGATTTTATATGAAGATATTCCCGTTTCCAACGAAACCTTCAAAGCTATCCGAATATCCACCTGCAGATTCTACAAAAAGTGTGTTTCCAAAATGCCATATCAAAACAAAGGTTCAACTCTGTTAGTTGAGAACACACATCGCAAATAAGTTTCTGAGAATGCTTCTGTCTAGTTTTTACTTGAAGATATTTCCTTTCTCACCATAGGCCTGAAAGCGCTTGAAACGTCAGCTTGCAGATACTACAGAAAGAGTGTTTCAAACCTGCTCTATGAAAGGGAATGTTCAGTTCTGTGACTTGAATGCAAACATCACAAAGAAGTTCCTGAGAATGCTTCTCTCTAGGTTTTATATGTAATCCCGTTTCCAACGAAATCCTCAAAGCTATCCAAATATCCACTTTCAGATTCCACAAAAAGAGTGTTTCAAAACTGCTCTGTAAAAAGAAAGGTTCATCTCTGTTAGTTGAATACACACATCACAAACAAGTTTCTGAGAATGCTTCTGTCTAGTTTTTATGGGAAGATATTTCCTTTTTCAACATAGGCCTCAAAGTGCTCCAAATGTCCACTTCCAGGTAGTGCAGAAAGAGTGTTTCAAACCTGCTCTATAAAAGGGAACATTCTACTCTGTGACTTGAATGAAGACATCACAAAGCACTTTCTGAGAATGCTTCCGTCTAGATTTTATATGAAGATATTCCCGTTTCCAAGGAAATCTTCCTAGCTATCTAAATATCAACTTGCAGATTCTACTAAAGGAATGTTTCCAAAATGCTGTATCCACACAATGGTTCAACTCTGTTAATTGAGGACATACAGCACAAAGAAGTTTCTGAGAATGCTTCTGTCTAGATTTTATATGAAGATATCCCGTGTCCAACGAAATCCTCAAAGGTATCAAAATATCCACTTGCAGATTCTACAAAAAGAGTGCTTCAAAACTGCTCTGTCAAAAGGAAGGTTCAACTCTGTTACTTGAGTACACACATCACAAGGAAGTTTCTGAGAATGCTTCCTGTCTAGTTTTTATGGGAAGATATTTCCTTTTTCATCATAGGCCTCAAAGCGCTGCAAATGTCCACTTCCAAATATTACAAAAAGAGTGTTTCAAACCTGCTGTATGAAGGGAAGTGTTCAACTCTATGAGTTGAATGCAAACATCACAGAGAAGTTTCTGAGAATGCTTCTGTCTTGATTTTATATGAAGATATTCCCGTTTCCAACGAAACCTTCAAAGCTATCCAAATATCCACCTGCAGATCCTACAAAAAGAGTGTTTCCAAAATGCTGTATCAAAACAAAAGTTCAACTCTGTTAGTTGAGAACACACATCGCAAATAAGTTTCTGAGAATGCTTCTGTCTAGTTTTTATTTGAAGATATTTCTTTTCTCACCACAGGCCTGAAAGCGCTTAAAACGTCCGCTTGCAGATACTACAGAAAGAGTGTTTCAAACCTGCTCTATGAAAGGGAATGTTCAGTTCTGTGACTTGAATGCAAACATCACAAAGGAAGTTCCTGAGAATGCTTCTCTCTAGATTTTATATGTAATCCCGTTTCCAACGAAATCCTCAAAGCTATCCAAATATCCACTTTCAGATTCCACAAAAAGAGTGTTTCAAAACTGCTCTGTAAAAAGAAAGGTTCATCTCTGTTAGTTGAATACACACATCACAAACAAGTTTCTGAGAATGCTTCTGTCTAGTTTTTATGGGAAGATATTACCTTTTTCATCATAGGCCTCAAAGCGCTGCAAATGTCCACTTCCAAATATTACAAAAAGAGTGTTTCAAACCTGCTGTATGAAGGGAAGTGTTCAACTCTATGAGTTGAATGCAAACATCACAGAGAAGTTTCTGAGAATGCTTCTGTCTTGATTTTATATGAAGATATTCCCGTTTCCAAAGAAACCTTCAAAGCTATCCAAATATCCACTTGCAGATTCTACAAAAAGAGTGTTTCCAAAATGTTGTATCAAAAGAAAGGTTCAACTCTGTTAGTTGAGGAAACACATCGCAAACAAGTTTCTGAGAATGCTTCTGTCTAGTTTTTATTTGAAGATATTTCCTTTCTCACCATAGGCCTGAAAGCGTTTGAAATGTCCGTTTGCAGATACTACAGAAAGAGTGTTTCAAACATGCTCTATGAAAGGGAATGTTCAGTTCTGTGACTTGAATGCAAACATCACAAAGAAGTTCCTGAGAATGCTTCTCTCTAGGTTTTATATGTAATCCCGTTTCCAACGAAATCCTCAAAGCTATCCAAATATCCACTTTCAGATTCCACAAAAAGAGTGTTTCAAAACTGCTCTGTAATAAGAAAGGTTCATCCCTGTTAGTTGAATACACATATCACAAACAAGTTTCTGAGAATGCTTCTGTCTAGTTTTTATGGGAAGATATTTCCTTTTTCAACATAGGCCTCAAAGCGCTCCAAACGTCCACTTCCAGGTAGTGCAGAAAGAGTGTCTCAAACCTGGTATATAACAGGGAACATTCTACTCTGTGACTTGAATGAAAACATCACAAAGCAGTTTCTGAGAATGCTTCCGTCTAGATTTTATATGAAGATATTCCCGTTTCCAACGAAACGTTCAAAGCTATCCGAATATCCACCTGCAGATTCTACAAAAAGAGTGTTTCCAAAATGCCGTATCAAAACAAAGGTTCAACTCTGTTAGTTGAGAACACACATGGCAAATAAGTTTCTGAGAATGCTTCTGTCTAGTTTTTACTTGAAGATATTTCCTTTCTCACCATAGGCCTGAAAGCGCTTGAAACGTCAGCTTGCAGATACTACAGAAAGAGTGTTTCAAACCTGCTCTATGAAAGGGAATTTTCAGTTCTGTGACTTGAATGCAAACATCACAAAGTAGTTCCTGAGAATGCTTCTCTCTAGGTTTTATATGTAATCCCGTTTCCAACGAAATCCTCAAAGCTATCCAAATATCCACTTTCAGATTCCACAAAAAGAGTGTTTCAAAACTGCTCGGTAAAAAGAAAGGTTCATCTCTGTTAGTTGAATACACACATCACAAACAAGTTTCTGAGAATGCTTCTGTCTAGTTTTTATGGGAAGATATTTCCTTTTTCATCATAGGCCTCAAAGCGCTGCAAATGTCCACTTCCAAATACTACAAAAAGAGTGTTTCAAACCTGCTGTATGAAGGGAAGTGTTCAACTCTATGAGTTGAATGCAAACATCACAGAGAAGTTTCTGAGAATGCTTCTGTCTTGATTTTATATCAAGATATTCCCGTTTCCAACGAAACCTTCAAAGCTATCCAAATATCCACTTGCAGATTCTACAAAAAGAGTGTTTCCAAAATGTTGTATCCAAACAAAGGTTCAACTCTGTTAGTTGAGAACACACATCGCAAATAAGTTTCTGAGAATGCTTCTGTCTAGTTTTTATTTGAAGATATTTCCTTTTTCACCACAGGCCTGAAAGCGCTTGAAACGTCAGCTTGCAGATACTACAGAAAGAGTGTTTCAAACCTGCACTATGAAAGGGAATGTTCAGTTCTGTGACTTGAATGCAAACATCACAAAGAAGTTCCTGAGAATGCTTCTCCCTAGATTTTATATGTAATCCCGTTTCCAACGAAATCCTCAAAGCTATCCAAATATCCACTTTCAGATTCCACAAAAAGAGTGTTTCAAAACTACTCTGTAAAAAGAAAGGTTCATCTCTGTTAGTTGAATACACACATCACAAACAAGTTTCTGAGAATGCTTCTGTCTGGTTTTTAGGAGAAGATATTTCCTTTTTCAACATAGGCCTCAAAGCGCTGCAAATGTCCACTTCCAAATATTACAAAAAGAGTGTTTCAAACCTGCTGTATGAAGGGAAGTGTTCAACTCTATGAGTTGAATGCAAACATCACAGAGAAGTTTCTGAGAATGCTTCTGTCTTGATTTCATATGAAGATATTCCCGTTTCCAACGAAACCTTCAAAGCTATCCAAATATCCACTTGCAGATTCTACAAAAAGAGTGTTTCCAAAATGTTGTATCAAAAGAAAGGTTCAACTCTGTTAGTTGAGGACACACATCGCAAATAAGTTTCTGAGAATGCTTCTGTCTAGTTTTTATTTGAAGATATTTCCTTTCTCACCATAGGCCTGAAAGCGTTTGAAATGTCCGTTTGCAGATACTACAGAAAGAGTGTTTCAAACATGCTCTATGAAAGGGAATGTTCAGTTCTGTGACTTGAATGCAAACATCACAAAGAAGTTCCTGAGAATGCTTCTCTCTAGATTTTATATGTAATCCCGTTTCCAACGAAATCCTCAAAGCTATCCAAATATCCACTTTCAGATTCCACAAAAAGAGTGTTTCAAAACTGCTCTGTAAAAAGAAAGGTTCATCTCTGTTAGTTGAATACACACATCACAAACAAGTTTCTGAAAATGCTTCTGTCTAGTTTTTATGGGAAGATATTTCCTTTTTCAACATAGGCCTCAAAGCGCTCCAAACGTCCACTTCCAGGTAGTGCAGAAAGAGTGTCTCAAACCTGGTATATAACAGGGAACATTCTACTCTGTGACTTGAATGAAAACATCACAAAGCAGTTTCTGAGAATGCTTCCGTCTAGATTTTATATGAAGATATTCCCGTTTCCAACGAAACCTTCAAAGCTATCCGAATATCCACCTGCAGATTCTACAAAAAGAGTGTTTCCAAAATGCCGTATCAAAACAAAGGTTCAACTCTGTTAGTTGAGAACACACATGGCAAATAAGTTTCTGAGAATGCTTCTGTCTAGTTTTTACTTGAAGATATTTCCTTTCTCACCATAGGCCTGAAAGCGCTTGAAACGTCAGCTTGCAGATACTACAGAAAGAGTGTTTCAAACCTGCTCTATGAAAGGGAATGTTCAGTCCTGTGACTTGAAGGCAAACATCACAAAGAAGTTCCTGAGAATGCTTCTCTCTAGGTTTTATATGTAATCCCGTTTCCAACGAAATCCTCAAAGCTATCCAAATATCCACTTTCAGATTCCACAAAAAGAGTGTTTCAAAACTGCTCTGTAAAAAGAAAGGTTCATCTCTGTTAGTTGAATACACACATCACAAACAAGTTTCTGAGAATGCTTCTGTCTAGTTTTTATGGGAAGATATTTCCTTTTTCAACATAGGCCTCAAAGCGCTCCAAATGTCCACTTCCAGGTAGTGCAGAAAGAGTGTTTCAAACCTACTCTATAAAAGGGAATATTCAACTCTGTGACTTGAATGCAAACATCACAAAGCACTTTCTGAGAATGCTTCCGTCTAAATTTTATATGAAGATATTCCCGTTTCCAAGGAAATCTTCCTAGCTATCTAAATATCAACTTGCAGATTCTTCTAAAGGAATGTTTCCAAAATGCTGTATCCACACAAAGGTTCAACTCTGTTAATTGAGGACATACAGCACAAAGAAGTTTCTGAGAATGCTTCTGTCTAGATTTTATATGAAGATATCCCGTGTCCAACGAAATCCTCAAAGGTATCAAAATATCCACTTGCAGATTCTACAAAAAGAGTGCTTCAAAACTGCTCTGTCAAAAGGAAGGTTCAACTCTGTTACTTGAGTACACACATCACAAGGAAGTTTCTGAGAATGCTTCTGTCTGGTTTTTAGGAGAAGATATTTCCTTTTTCAACATAGGCCTCAAAGCGCTGCAAATGTCCACTTCCAAATATTAGAAAAAGAGTGTTTCAAACCTGCTGTATGAAGGGAAGTGTTCAACTCTATGAGTTGAATGCAAACATCACAGAGAAGTTTCTGAGAATGCTTCTGTCTTGATTTCATATGAAGATATTCCCGTTTCCAACGAAACCTTCAAAGCTATCCAAATATCCACTTGCAGATTCTACAAAAAGAGTGTTTCCAAAATGTTGTATCAAAAGAAAGGTTCAACTCTGTTAGTTGAGGACACACATCGCAAATAAGTTTCTGAGAATGCTTCTGTCTAGTTTTTATTTGAAGATATTTCCTTTCTCACCACAGGCCTGAAAGCGCTTAAAACGTCCGCTTGCAGATACTACAGAAAGAGTGTTTCAAACCTGCTCTATGAAAGGGAATGTTCAGTTCTGTGACTTGAATGCAAACATCACAAAGAAGTTCCTGAGAATGCTTCTCCCTAGATTTTATATGTAATCCAGTTTCCAACGAAATCCGCAAAGCTATCCAAATATCCACTTTCAGATTCCACAAAAAGAGTGTTTCAAAACTGCTCTGTAAAAAGAAAGGTTCATCTCTGTTAGTTGAATACACACATCACAAACAAGTTTCTGAGAATGCTTCTGTCTAGTTTTTATGGGAAGATATTACCTTTTTCATCATAGGCCTCAAAGCGCTGCAAATGTCCACTTCCAAATATTATAAAAAGAGTGTTTCAAACCTGCTGTATGAAGGGAAGTGTTCAACTCTATGAGTTGAATGCAAACATCACAGAGAAGTTTCTGAGAATGCTTCTGTCTTGATTTTATATGAAGATATTCCCGTTTCCAACGAAACCTTCAAAGCTATTCAAATATCCACTTGCTGATTCTACAAAAAGAGTGTTTCCAAAATGTTGTATCAAAAGAAAGGTTCAACTCTGTTAGTTGAGGACACACATCGCAAATAAGTTTCTGAGAATGCTTCTGTCTAGTTTTTACTTGAAGATATTTCCTTTCTCACCATAGGCCTGAAAGCGTTTGAAATGTCCGTTTGCAGATACTACAGAAAGAGTGTTTCAAACATGCTCTATGAAAGGGAATGTTCAGTTCTGTGACGTGAATGCAAACATCACAAAGAAGTTCCTGAGAATGCTTCTCTCTAGATTTTATATGTAATCCCGTTTCCAACGAAATCCTCAAAGCTATCCAAATATCCACTTTCAGATTCCACAAAAAGAGTGTTTCAAAACTGCTCTGTAAAAAGAAAGGTTCATCTCTGTTAGTTGAATACACACATCACAAACAAGTTTCTGAGAATGCTTCTGTCTAGTTTTTATGGGAAGATATTTCCTTTTTCAACATAGGCCTCAAAGCGCTCCAAACGTCCACTTCCGGGTAGTGCAGAAAGAGTGTCTCAAACCTGGTATATAACAGGGAACATTCTACTCTGTGACTTGAATGAAAACATCACAAAGCAGTTTCTGAGAATGCTTCCGTCTAGATTTTATATGAAGATATTCCCGTTTCCAACGAAACCTTCAAAGCTATCCGAATATCCACCTGCAGATTCTACAAAAAGAGTGTTTCCAAAATGCCGTATCAAAACAAAGGTTCAACTCTGTTAGTTGAGAACACACATGGCAAATAAGTTTCTGAGAATGCTTCTGTCTAGTTTTTACTTGAAGATATTTCCTTTCTCACCATAGGCCTGAAAGCGCTTGAAACGTCAGCTTGCAGATACTACAGAAAGAGTGTTTCAAACCTGCTCTATGAAAGGGAATGTTCAGTCCTGTGACTTGAAGGCAAACATCACAAAGAAGTTCCTGAGAATGCTTCTCTCTAGGTTTTATATGTAATCCCGTTTCCAACGAAATCCTCAAAGCTATCCAAATATCCACTTTCAGATTCCACAAAAAGAGTGTTTCAAAACTGCTCTGTAAAAAGAAAGGTTCATCTCTGTTAGTTGAATACACACATCACAAACAAGTTTCTGAGAATGCTTCTGTCTAGTTTTTATGGGAAGATATTTCGTTTTTCAACATAGGCCTCAAAGCGCTCCAAATGTCCACTTCCAGGTAGTGCAGAAAGAGTGTTTCAAACCTGCTCTATAAAAGGGAATATTCAACTCTGTGACTTGAATGCAAACATCACAAAGCACTTTCTGAGAATGCTTCCGTCTAGATTTTATATGAAGATATTCCCGTTTCCAAGGAAATCTTCCTAGCTATCTAAATATCAACTTGCAGATTCTACTAAAGGAATGTTTCCAAAATGCTGTATCCACACAAAGGTTCAACTCTGTTAATTGAGGACATACAGCACAAAGAAGTTTCTGAGAATGCTTCTGTCTAGATTTTATATGAAGATATCCCGTGTCTAACGAAATCCTCAAAGGTATCAAAATATCCACTTGCAGATTCTACAAAAAGAGTGCTTCAAAACTGCTCTGTCAAAATGAAGGTTCACCTCTGTTACTTGAGTACACACATCACAAGAAAGATTCTGAGAATCCTTCTGTCTGGTTTTTAGGAGAAGATATCTCCTTTTTCACCATAGGCTTCAAAGCGCTGCCAATGTCCACTTCCAAATATTACAAAAAGAGTATTTCAAACCAGCTCTATGAAAGGAAGTGTTCAACTCTATGAGTTGAATGCAAACATCACAGAGAAGTTTCTGAGAATGCTTCTGTCTTGATTTTATATGAAGATATTCCCGTTTCCAAAGAAACCTTCAAAGCTATCCAAATATCCACCTGCAGATCCTACAAAAAGAGTGTTTCCAAAATGCTGTATCAAAACAAAGGTTCAACTCTGTTAGCTGAGAACACACATCGCAAATAAGTTTCTGAGAATGCTTCTGTCTAGTTTTTATTTGAAGATATTTCCTTTTTCACCACAGGCCTGAAAGCGCTTCAAACGTTCACTTGCAGATACTACAGAAAGAGTGTTTCAAACCTGCTCTATGAAAGGGAATGTTCAGTTCTGTGACTTGAATGCAAACATCACAAAGAAGTTCCTGAGAATGCTTCTCCCTAGATTTTATATGTAATCCCGTTTCCAACGAAATCCTCAAAGCTATCCAAATATCCACTTTCAGATTCCACAAAAAGAGTGTTTCAAAACTGCTCTGTAAAAAGAAAGGTTCATCTCTGTTAGTTGAATACACACATCACAAACAAGTTTCTGAGAATGCTTCTGTCTAGTTTTTATGGGAAGATATTTCCTTTTTCAACATAGGCCTCAAAGCGCTCCAAACGTCCACTTCCAGGTAGTGCAGAAAGAGTGTCTCAAACCTGGTATATAACAGGGAACATTCTACTCTGTGACTTGAATGAAAACATCACAAAGCAGTTTCTGAGAATGCTTCCGTCCAGATTTTATATGAAGATATTCCCGATTCCAACGAAACCTTCAAAGCTATCCGAATATCCACCTGCAGATTCTACAAAAAGAGTGTTTCCAAAATGCCGCATCAAAACAAAGGTTCAACTCTGTTAGTTGAGAACACACATGGCAAATAAGTTTCTGAGAATGCTTCTGTCTAGTTTTTACTTGAAGATATTTCCTTTCTCACCATAGGCCTGAAAGCGCATGAAACGTCAGCTTGCAGATACTACAGAAAGAGTGTTTCAAACCTGCTCTATGAAAGGGAATGTTCAGTCCTGTGACTTGAAGGCAAACATCACAAAGAAGTTCCTGAGAATGCTTCTGTCTAGATTTTATATGAAGATATCCCGCGTCCAACGAAATCCTCAAAGGTATCAAAATATCCACTTGCAGATTCTACAAAAAGAGTGCTTCAAAACTGCTCTGTCAAAAGGAAGGTTCAACTCTGTTACTTGAGTACACACATCACAAGGAAGTTTCTGAGAATGCTTCTGTCTGGTTTTTAGGAGAAGATATTTCCTTTTTCAACATAGGCCTCAAAGCGCTGCAAATGTCCACTTCCAAATATTACAAAAAGAGTGTTTCAAACCTGCTGTATGAAGGGAAGTGTTCAACTCTATGAGTTGAATGCAAACATCACAGAGAAGTTTCTGAGAATGCTTCTGTCTTGATTTCATATGAAGATATTCCCGTTTCCAACGAAACCTTCAAAGCTATCCAAATATCCACTTGCAGATTCTACAAAAAGAGTGTTTCCAAAATGTTGTATCAAAAGAAAGGTTCAACTCTGTTAGTTGAGGACACACATCGCAAATAAGTTTCTGAGAATGCTTCTGTCTAGTTTTTATTTGAAGATATTTCCTTTCTCACCACAGGCCTGAAAGCGCTTAAAACGTCCGCTTGCAGATACTACAGAAAGAGTGTTTCAAAGCTGCTCTATGAAAGGGAATGTTCAGTTCTGTGACTTGAATGCAAACATCACAAAGAAGTTCCTGAGAATGCTTCTCCCTAGATTTTATATGTAATCCCGTTTCCAACGAAATCCGCAAAGCTATCCAAATATCCACTTTCAGATTCCACAAAAAGAGTGTTTCAAAACTGCTCTGTAAAAAGAAAGGTTCATCTCTGTTAGTTGAATACACACATCACAAACAAGTTTCTGAGAATGCTTCTGTCTAGTTTTTATGGGAAGATATTACCTTTTTCATCATAGGCCTCAAAGCGCTGCAAATGTCCACTTCCAAATATTACAAAAAGAGTGTTTCAAACCTGCTGTATGAAGGGAAGTGTTCAACTCTATGAGTTGAATGCAAACATCACAGAGAAGTTTCTGAGAATGCTTCTGTCTTGATTTTATATGAAGATATTCCCGTTTCCAACGAAACCTTCAAAGCTATCCAAATATCCACTTGCAGATTCTACAAAAAGAGTGTTTCCAAAATGTTGTATCAAAAGAAAGGTTCAACTCTGTTAGTTGAGGACACACATCTCAAATAAGTTTCTGAGAATGCTTCTGTCTAGTTTTTATTTGAAGATATTTCCTTTCTCACCATAGGCCTGAAAGCGTTTGAAATGTCCGTTTGCAGATACTACAGAAAGAGTGTTTCAAACATGCTCTATGAAAGGGAATGTTCAGTTCTGTGACGTGAATGCAAACATCACAAAGAAGTTCCTGAGAATGCTTCTCTCTAGATTTTATATGTAATCCCGTTTCCAAGGAAATCCTCAAAGCTATCCAAATATCCACTTTCAGATTCCACAAAAAGAGTGTTTCAAAACTGCTCTGTAAAAAGAAAGGTTCATCTCTGTTAGTTGAATACACACATCAAAAACAAGTTTCTGAGAATGCTTCTGTCTAGTTTTTATGGGAAGATATTTCCTTTTTCATCATAGGCCTCAAAGCGCTGCAAATGTCCACTTCCAGGTAGTGCAGAAAGAGTGTCTCAAACCTCGTATATAACAGGGAACATTCTACTCTGTGACTTGAATGAAAACATCACAAAGCAGTTTCTGAGAATGCTTCCGTCTAGATTTTATATGAAGATATTCCCGTTTCCAACGAAACCTTCAAAGCTATCCGAATATCCACCTGCAGATTCTACAAAAAGAGTGTTTCCAAAATGCCATATCAAAACAAAGGTTCAACTCTGTTAGTTGAGAACACACATCGCAAATAAGTTTCTGAGAATGCTTCTGTCTAGTTTTTACTTGAAGATATTTCCTTTCTCACCATAGGCCTGAAAGCGCTTGAAACGTCAGCTTGCAGATACTACAGAAAGAGTGTTTCAAACCTGCTCTATGAAAGGGAATGTTGAGTTCTGTGACTTGAATGCAAACATCACAAAGAAGTTCCTGAGAATGCTTCTGTCTAGATTTTATATGAAGATATCCCGTGTCCAACGAAATCCTCAAAGGTATCAAAATATCCACTTGCAGATTCTACAAAAAGAGTGCTTCAAAACTGCTCTGTCAAAAGGAAGATTCAACTCTGTTACTTGAGTACACACATCACAAGGAAGTTTCTGAGAATGCTTCTGTCTGGTTTTTAGGAGAAGATATTTCCTTTTTCAACATAGGCCTCAAAGCGCTGCAAATGTCCACTTCCAAATATTAGAAAAAGAGTGTTTCAAACCTGCTGTATGAAGGGAAGTGTTCAACTCTATGAGTTGAATGCAAACATCGCAGAGAAGTTTCTGAGAATGCTTCTGTCTTGATTTCATATGAAGATATTCCCGTTTCCAACGAAACCTTCAAAGCTATCCAAATATCCACTTGCAGATTCTACAAAAAGAGTGTTTCCAAAATGTTGTATCAAAAGAAAGGTTCAACTCTGTTAGTTGAGGACACACATCGCAAATAAGTTTCTGAGAATGCTTCTGTCTAGTTTTTATTTGAAGATATTTCCTTTCTCACCACAGGCCTGAAAGCGCTTAAAACGTCCGCTTGCAGATACTACAGAAAGAGTGTTTCAAACCTGCTCTATGAAAGGGAATGTTCAGTTCTGTGACTTGAATGCAAACATCACAAAGAAGTTCCTGAGAATGCTTCTCTCTAGATTTTATATGTAATCCCGTTTCCAACGAAATCCTCAAAGCTATCCAAATATCCACTTTCAGATTCCACAAAAAGAGTGTTTCAAAACTGCTCTGTAAAAGGAAACGTTCATCTCTGTTACTTGAATACACACATCACAAACAAGTTTCTGAGAATGCTTCTGTCTAGTTTTTATGGGAAGATATTTCCTTTTTCAACATAGGCCTCAAAGCGCTCCAAATGTCCACTTCCAGGTAGTGCAGAAAGAGTGTTTCAAACCTGCTCTATAAAAGGGAATATTCAACTCTGTGACTTGAATGCAAACATCACAAAGCACTTTCTGAGAATGCTTCCGTCTAGATTTTATATGAAGATATTCCCGTTTCCAAGGTAATCTTCCTAGCTATCTAAATATCAACTTGCAGATTCTACTAAAGGAATGTTTCCAAAATGCTGTATCCACACAAAGGTTCAACTCTGTTAATTGAGGACATACAGCACAAAGAAGTTTCTGAGAATGCTTCTGTCTAGATTTTATATGAAGATATCCCGTGTCCAACAAAATCCTCAAAGGTATCAAAATATCCACTTGCAGATTCTACAAAAAGAGTGCTTCAAAACTGCTCTGTCAAAAGGAAGGTTCAACTCTGTTACTTGAGTACACACATCACAAGGAAGTTTCTGAGAATGCTTCTGTCTGGTTTTTAGGAGAAGATATTTCCTTTTTCAACATAGGCCTCAAAGCGCTGCAAATGTCCACTTCCAAATATTAGAAAAAGAGTGTTTCAAACCTGCTGTATGAAGGGAAGTGTTCAACTCTATGAGTTGAATGCAAACATCACAGAGAAGTTTCTGAGAATGCTTCTGTCTTGATTTCATATGAAGATATTCCCGTTTCCAACGAAACCTTCAAAGCTATCCAAATATCCACTTGCAGATTCTACAAAAAGAGTGTTTCCAAAATGTTGTATCAAAAGAAAGGTTCAACTCTGTTAGTTGAGGACACACATCGCAAATAAGTTTCTGAGAATGCTTCTGTCTAGTTTTTATTTGAAGATATTTCCTTTCTCACCACAGGCCTGAAAGCGCTTAAAACGTCCGCTTGCAGATACTACAGAAAGAGTGTTTCAAACCTGCTCTATGAAAGGGAATGTTCAGTTCTGTGACTTGAATGCAAACATCACAAAGAAGTTCCTGAGAGTGCTTCTCCCTAGATTTTATATGTAATCCCGTTTCCAACGAAATCCGCAAAGCTATCCAAATATCCACTTTCAGATTCCACAAAAAGAGTGTTTCAAAACTGCTCTGTAAAAAGAAAGGTTCATCTCTGTTAGTTGAATACACACATCACAAACAAGTTTCTGAGAATGCTTCTGTCTAGTTTTTATGGGAAGATATTACCTTTTTCATCATAGGCCTCAAAGCGCTGCAAATGTCCACTTCCAAATATTACAAAAAGAGTGTTTCAAACCTGCTGTATGAAGGGAAGTGTTCAACTCTATGAGTTGAATGCAAACATCACAGAGAAGTTTCTGAGAATGCTTCTGTCTTGATTTTATATGAAGATATTCCCGTTTCCAACGAAACCTTCAAAGCTATTCAAATATCCACTTGCAGATTCTACAAAAAGAGTGTTTCCAAAATGTTGTATCAAAAGAAAGGTTCAACTCTGTTAGTTGAGGACACACATCGCAAATAAGTTTCTGAGAATGCTTCTGTCTAGTTTTTACTTGAAGATATTTCCTTTCTCACCATGGGCCTGAAAGCGTTTGAAATGTCCGTTTGCAGATACTACAGAAAGAGTGTTTCAAACATGCTCTATGAAAGGGAATGTTCAGTTCTGTGACGTGAATGCAAACATCACAAAGAAGTTCCTGAGAATGCTTCTCTCTAGATTTTATATGTAATCCCGTTTCCAACGAAATCCGCAAAGCTATCCAAATATCCACTTTCAGATTCCACAAAAAGAGTGTTTCAAAACTACTCTGTAAAAAGAAAGGTTCATCTCTGTTAGTTGAATACACACATCAGAAACAAGTTTCTGAGAATGCTTCTGTCTAGTTTTTATGGGAAGATATTTCCTTTTTCAACATAGGCCTCAAAGCGCTCCAAACGTCCACTTCCAGGTAGTGCAGAAACAGTGTCTCAAACCTGGTATATAACAGGGAACATTCTACACTGTGACTTGAATGAAAACATCACAAAGCAGTTTCTGAGAATGCTTCCGTCTAGATTTTATATGAAGATATTCCCGTTTCCAACGAAACCTTCAAAGCTATCCGAATATCCACCTGCAGATTCTACAAAAAGAGTGTTTCCAAAATGCCGTATCAAAACAAAGGTTCAACTCTGTTAGTTGAGAACACACATGGCAAATAAGTTTCTGACAATGCTTCTGTCTAGTTTTTACTTGAAGATATTTCCTTTCTCACCATAGGCCTGAAAGCGCATGAAACGTCAGCTTGCAGATACTACAGAAAGAGTGTTTCAAACCTGCTCTATGAAAGGGAATGTTCAGTCCTGTGACTTGAAGGCAAACATCACAAAGAAGTTCCTGAGAATGCTTCTCTCTAGGTTTTATATGTAATCCCGTTTCCAACGAAATCCTCAAAGCTATCCAAATATCCACTTTCAGATTCCACAAAAAGAGTGTTTCAAAACTGCTCTGTAAAAAGAAAGGTTCATCTCTGTTAGTTGAATACACACATCACAAACAAGTTTCTGAGAATGCTTCTGTCTAGTTTTTATGGGAAGATATTTCCTTTTTCAACATAGGCCTCAAAGCGCTCCAAATGTCCACTTCCAGGTAGTGCAGAAAGAGTGTTTCAAACCTACTCTATAAAAGGGAATATTCAACTCTGTGACTTGAATGCAAACATCACAAAGCACTTTCTGAGAATGCTTCCGTCTAGATTTTATATGAAGATATTCCCGTTTCCAAGGAAATCTTCCTAGCTATCTAAATATCAACTTGCAGATTCTACTAAAGGAATGTTTCCAAAATGCTGTATCCACACAAAGGTTCAACTCTGTTAATTGAGGACATACAGCACAAAGAAGTTTCTGAGAATGCTTCTGTCTAGATTTTATATGAAGATATCCCGTGTCCAACGAAATCCTCAAATGTATCAAAATATCCACTTGCAGATTCTACAAAAAGAGTGCTTCAAAACTGCTCTGTCAAAAGGAAGGTTCAACTCTGTTACTTGAGTACACACATCACAAGGAAGTTTCTGAGAATGCTTCTGTCTGGTTTTTAGGAGAAGATATTTCCTTTTTCAACATAGGCCTCAAAGTGCTGCAAATGTCCACTTCCAAATATTAGAAAAAGAGTGTTTCAAACCTGCTGTATGAAGGGAAGTGTTCAACTCTATGAGTTGAATGCAAACATCACAGAGAAGTTTCTGAGAATGCTTCTGTCTTGATTTCATATGAAGATATTCCCGTTTCCAACGAAACCTTCAAAGCTATCCAAATATCCACTTGCAGATTCTACAAAAAGAGTGTTTCCAAAATGTTGTATCAAAAGAAAGGTTCAACTCTGTTAGTTGAGGACACACATCGCAAATAAGTTTCTGAGAATGCTTCTGTCTAGTTTTTATTTGAAGATATTTCCTTTCTCACCACAGGCCTGAAAGCGCTTAAAACGTCCGCTTGCAGATACTACAGAAAGAGTGTTTCAAACCTGATCTATGAAAGGGAATGTTCAGTTCTGTGACTTGAATGCAAACATCACAAAGAATTTCCTGAGAATGCTTCTCCCTAGATTTTATATGTAATCCCGTTTCCAACGAAATCCGCAAAGCTATCCAAATATCCACTTTCAGATTCCACAAAAAGAGTGCTTCAAAACTGCTCTGTAAAAAGAAAGGTTCATCTCTCTTAGTTGAATACACACATCACAAACAAGTTTCTGAGAATGCTTCTGTCTGGTTTTTAGAAGATATTTCCTTTTTCAACATAGGCCTCAAAGCGCTGCAAATGTCCACTTCCAAATATTAGAAAAAGAGTGTTTCAAACCTGCTGTATGAAGGGAAGTGTTCAACTCTATGAGTTGAATGCAAACATCACAGAGAAGTTTCTGAGAATGCTTCTGTCTTGATTTCATATGAAGATATTCCCGTTTCCAACGAAACCTTCAAAGCTATCCAAATATCCACTTGCAGATTCTACAAAAAGAGTGTTTCCAAAATGTTGTATCAAAAGAAAGGTTCAACTCTGTTAGTTGAGGACACACATCGCAAATAAGTTTCTGAGAATGCTTCTGTCTAGTTTTTATTTGAAGATATTTCCTTTCTCACCACAGGCCTGAAAGCGCTTAAAACGTCCGCTTGCAGATACTACAGAAAGAGTGTTTCAAACCTGCTCTATGAAAGGGAATGTTCAGTTCTGTGACTTGAATGCAAACATCACAAAGAAGTTCCTGAGAATGCTTCTCCCTAGATTTTATATGTAATCCCGTTTCCAACGAAATCCGCAAAGCTATCCAAATATCCACTTTCAGATTCCACAAAAAGAGCGTTTCAAAACTGCTCTGTAAAAAGAAAGGTTCATCTCTGTTAGTTGAATACACACATCACAAACAAGTTTCTGAGAATGCTTCTGTCTAGTTTTTATGGGAAGATATTACCTTTTTCATCATAGGCCTCAAAGCGCTGCAAATGTCCACTTCCAAATATTACAAAAAGAGTGTTTCAAACCTGCTGTATGAAGGGAAGTGTTCAACTCTATGAGTTGAATGCAAACATCACAGAGAAGTTTCTGAGAATGCTTCTGTCTTGATTTTATATGAAGATATTCCCGTTTCCAACGAAACCTTCAAAGCTATCCAAATATCCACTTGCAGATTCTTCAAAAAGAGTGTTTCCAAAATGTTGTATCAAAAGAAAGGTTCAACTCTGTTAGTTGAGGACACACATCGCAAATAAGTTTCTGAGAATGCTTCTGTCTAGTTTTTATTTGAAGATATTTCCTTTCTCACCATAGGCCTGAAAGCGTTTGAAATGTCCGTTTGCAGATACTACAGAAAGAGTGTTTCAAACATGCTCTATGAAAGGGAATGTTCAGTTCTGTGACGTGAATGCAAACATCACAAAGAAGTTCCTGAGAATGCTTCTGTCTAGATTTTATATGAAGATCATCCCGTTTCCAAAGAAATCCTCAAAGGTGTCCAAATATCTACTTCCAGATTCTACAAAAAGACTGTTTCAAAACGGCTCTGTCAAAAGTAAGGTTCAACTCTGTTACTTGAGTACACACATCACAAGGAAGTTTCTGAGAATGCTTCTGTCTGGTTTTTAGGAGAAGATATTTCCTTTTTCAACATAGGCCTCAAAGCGCTGCAAATGTCCACTTCCAAATATTACAAAAAGTGTGTTTCAAACCTGCTCTATGAAGGGAAGTGTTCACCTCTATGAGTTGAATGCAAACATCACAGAGAAGTTTCTGAGAATGCTTCTGTCTTGATTTTATATGAAGATATTCCCGTTTCCAACGAAACCTTCAAAGCTATCCAAATATCCACTTGCAGATTCTACAAAAAGAGTGTTTCCAAAATGTTGTATCAAAACAAAGGTTCAACTCTGTTAGTTGAGGACACACATCGCAAATAAGTTTCTGAGAATGCTTCTGTCTAGTTTTTATTTGAAGATATTTCCTTTCTTACCATAGGCCTGAAAGCGCTTGAAATGTCCGTTTGCAGATACTACAGAAAGAGTGTTTCAAACATGCTCTATGAAAGGGAATGTTCAGTTCTGTGACGTGAATGCAAACATCACAAAGAAGTTCCTGAGAATGCTTCTCTCTAGATTTTATATGTAATCCCGTTTCCAACGAAATCCTCAAAGCTATCCAAATATCCACTTTCAGATTCCACAAAAAGAGTGTTTCAAAACTGCTCTGTAAAAAGAAAGGTTCATCTCTGTTAGTTGAATACACACATCACAAACAAGTTTCTGAGAATGCTTCTGTCTAGTTTTTATGGGAAGATATTTCCTTTTTCATCATAGGCCTCAAAGCGCTCCAAATGTCCACTTCCAGATAGTGCAGAAAGAGTGTCTCAAACCTGGTATATAAAAGGGAACATTCTACTCTGTGACTTGAATGAAAACATCACAAAGCAGTTTCTGAGAATGCTTCCGTCTAGATTTTATATGAAGATATTCCCGTTTCCAACGAAACCTTCAAAGCTATCCGAATATCCACCTGCAGATTCTACAAAAAGAGTGTTTCCAAAATGCTGTATCAAAACAAAGGTTCAACTCTGTTAGTTGAGAACACACATGGCAAATAAGTTTCTGAGAATGCTTCTGTCTAGTTTTTACTTGAAGATATTTCCTTTCTCACCATAGGCCTGAAAGCGCTTGAAACGTCCGCTTGCAGATACTACAGAAAGAGTGTTTCAAACATGCTCTATGAAAGGGAATGTTCAGTTCTGTGACTTGAATGCAAACATCACAAAGAAGTTCCTGAGAATGCTTCTCTCTAGATTTTATATGTAATCCCGTTTCCAACGAAATCCTCAAAGCTATCCAAATATCCACTTTCAGATTCCACAAAAAGAGTGTTTCCAAACTGCTCTGTAAAAAGAAAGGTTCATCTCTGTTAGTTGAAAACACGCATCACAAACAAGTTTCTGAGAATGCTTCTGTCTAGTTTTTATGGGAAGATATTTCCTTTTTCAACATAGGCCTCAAAGCGCTCCAAATGTCCACTTCCAGGTAGTGCAGAAAGAGTGTTTCAAACCTGCTCTATAAAAGGGAATATTCAACTCTGTGACTTGAATGCAAACATCACAAAGCACTTTCTGAGAATGCTTCCGTCTAGATTTTATGTGAAGATATCCCCGTTTCCAAGGAAATCTTCCTAGCTATCTAAATATCAACTTGCAGATTCTACTAAAGGAACGTTTCCAAAATGCTGTTTCCAAACAAAGGTTCAACTCTGTTAATTGAAGACATACAGCACAAAGAGGTTTCTGAGAATGCTTCTGTCTAGATTTTATATGAAGATATCCCGTGTCCAACGAAATCCTCAAAGGTATCAAAATATCCACTTGCAGATTCTACAAAAAGAGTGGTTCAAAACTGCTCTGTCAAAAGGAAGGTTCAACTCTGTTACTTGAGTACACACATCACAAGGAAGTTTCTGAGAATGCTTCTGTCTGGTTTTTAGGAGAAGATATTTCCTTTTTCAACATAGGCCTCAAAGCGCTGCAAATGTCCACTTCCAAATATTAGAAAAAGAGTGTTTCAAACCTGCTGTATGAAGGGAAGTGTTCAACTCTATGAGTTGAATGCAAACATCACAGAGAAGTTTCTGAGAATGCTTCTGTCTTGATTTCATATGAAGATATTCCCGTTTCCAACGAAACCTTCAAAGTTATCCAAATATCCACTTGCAGGTTCTACAAAAAGAGTGTTTCCAAAATGTTGTATCAAAAGAAAGGTTCAACTCTGTTAGTTGAGGACACACATCGCAAATAAGTCTCTGAGAATGCTTCTGTCTAGTTTTTATTTGAAGATATTTCCTTTCTCACCACAGGCCTGAAAGCGCTTAAAACGTCCGCTTGCAGATACTACAGAAAGAGTGTTTCAAACCTGCTCTATGAAAGGGAATGTTCAGTTCTGTGACTTGAATGCAAACATCACAAAGAAGTTCCTGAGAATGCTTCTCCCTAGATTTTATATGTAATCCCGTTTCCAACGAAATCCGCAAAGCTATCCAAATATCCACTTTCAGATTCCACAAAAAGAGTGTTTCAAAACTGCTCTGTAAAAAGAAAGGTTCATCTCTGTTAGTTGAATACACACATCACAAACAAGTTTCTGAGAATGCTTCTGTCTAGTTTTTATGGGAAGATATTACCTTTTTCATCATAGGCGTCAAAGCGCTGCAAATGACCACTTCCAAATATTACAAAAAGAGTGTTTCAAACCTGCTGTATGAAGGGAAGTGTTCAACTCTATGAGTTGAATGCAAACATCACAGAGAAGTTTCTGAGAATGCTTCTGTCTTGATTTTATATGAAGATATTCCCGTTTCCAACGAAACCTTCAAAGCTATTCAAATATCCACTTGCTGATTCTACAAAAAGAGTGTTTCCAAAATGTTGTATCAAAAGAAAGGTTCAACTCTGTTAGTTGAGGACACACATCGCAAATAAGTTTCTGAGAATGCTTCTGTCTAATTTTTACTTGAAGATATTTCCTTTCTCACCATAGGCCTGAAAGCGTTTGAAATGTCCGTTTGCAGATACTACAGAAAGAGTGTTTCAAACATGCTCTATGAAAGGGAATGTTCAGTTCTGTGACGTGAATGCAAACATCACAAAGAAGTTCCTGAGAATGCTTCTCTCTAGATTTTATATGTAATCCCGTTTCCAACGAAATCCTCAAAGCTATCCAAATATCCACTTTCAGATTCCACAAAAAGAGTGTTTCAAAACTGCTCTGTAAAAAGAAAGGTTCATCTCTGTTAGTTGAATACACACATCACAAACAAGTTTCTGAGAATGCTTCTGTCTAGTTTTTATGGGAAGATATTTCCTTTTTCAACATAGGCCTCAAAGCGCTCCAAACGTCCACTTCCGGGTAGTGCAGAAAGAGTGTCTCAAACCTGGTATATAACAGGGAACATTCTACTCTGTGACTTGAATGAAAACATCACAAAGCAGTTTCTGAGAATGCTTCCGTCTAGATTTTATATGAAGATATTCCCGTTTCCAACGAAACCTTCAAAGCTATCCGAATATCCACCTGCAGATTCTACAAAAAGAGTGTTTCCAAAATGCCGTATCAAAACAAAGGTTCAACTCTGTTAGTTGAGAACACACATGGCAAAGAAGTTTCTCAGAATGCTTCTGTCTAGTTTTTACTTGAAGATATTTCCTTTCTCACCATAGGCCTGAAAGCGCTTGAAACGTCAGCTTGCAGATACTACAGAAAGAGTGTTTCAAACCTGTTCTATGAAAGGGAATGTTCAGTTCTGTGACTTGAATGCAAACATCACAAAGAAGTTCCTGAGAATGCTTCTCTCTAGGTTTTATATGTAATCCCGTTTCCAACGAAATCCTCAAAGCTATCCAAATATCCACTTTCAGATTCCACAAAAAGAGTGTTTCAAAACTGCTCTGTAAAAAGAAAGGTTCATCTCTGTTAGTTGAATACACACATCACAAACAAGTTTCTGAGAATGCTTCTGTCTAGTTTTTATGGGAAGATATTTCCTTTTTCAACATAGGCCTCAAAGCGCTCCAAACGTCCACTTCCAGGTAGTGCAGAAAGAGTGTCTCAAACCTGGTATATAACAGGGAACATTCTACTCTGTGACTTGAATGAAAACATCACAAAGCAGTTTCTGAGAATGCTTCCGTCTAGATTTTATATGAAGATATTCCCGTTTCCAACGAAACCTTCAAAGCTATCCGAATATCCACCTGCAGATTCTACAAAAAGAGTGTTTCCAAAATGCCATATCAAAACAAAGGTTCAACTCTGTTAGTTGAGAACACACATCGCAAATAAGTTTCTGAGAATGCTTCTGTCTAGTTTTTACTTGAAGATATTTCCTTTCTCACCATAGGCCTGAAAGCGCTTGAAACGTCAGCTTGCAGATACTACAGAAAGAGTGTTTCAAACCTGCTCTATGAAAGGGAATGTTCAGTCCTGTGACTTGAAGGCAAACATCACAAAGAAGTTCCTGAGAATGCTTCTCTCTAGGTTTTATATGTAATCCCGTTTCCAACGAAATCCTCAAAGCTATCCAAATATCCACTTTCAGATTCCACAAAAAGAGTGTTTCAAAACTGCTCTGTAAAAAGAAAGGTTCATCTCTGTTAGTTGAATACACACATCACAAACAAGTTTCTGAGAATGCTTCTGTCTAGTTTTTATGGGAAGATATTTCGTTTTTCAACATAGGCCTCAAAGCGCTCCAAATGTCCACTTCCAGGTAGTGCAGAAAGAGTGTTTCAAACCTGCTCTATAAAAGGGAATATTCAACTCTGTGACTTGAATGCAAACATCACAAAGCACTTTCTGAGAATGCTTCCGTCTAGATTTTATATGAAGATATTCCCGTTTCCAAGGAAATCTTCCTAGCTATCTAAATATCAACTTGCAGATTCTACTAAAGGAATGTTTCCAAAATGCTGTATCCACACAAAGGTTCAACTCTGTTAATTGAGGACATACAGCACAAAGAAGTTTCTGAGAATGCTTCTGTCTAGATTTCATATGAAGATATCCCGTGTCTAACGAAATCCTCAAAGGTATCAAAATATCCACTTGCAGATTCTACAAAAAGAGTGCTTCAAAACTGCTCTGTCAAAATGAAGGTTCAACTCTGTTACTTGAGTACACACATCACAAGAAAGATTCTGAGAATGCTTCTGTCTGGTTTTTAGGAGAAGATATTTCCTTTTTCAACATAGGCCTCAAAGCGCTGCAAATGTCCACTTCCAAATATTAGAAAAAGAGTGTTTCAAACCTGCTGTATGAAGGGAAGTGTTCAACTCTATGAGTTGAATGCAAACATCACAGAGAAGTTTCTGAGAATGCTTCTGTCTTGATTTCATATGAAGATATTCCCGTTTCCAACGAAACCTTCAAAGCTATCCAAATATCCACTTGCAGATTCTACAAAAAGAGTGTTTCCAAAATGTTGTATCAAAAGAAAGGTTCAACTCTGTTAGTTGAGGACACACATCGCAAATAAGTTTCTGAGAATGCTTCTGTCTAGTTTTTATTTGAAGATATTTCCTTTCTCACCACAGGCCTGAAAGCGCTTAAAACGTCCGCTTGCAGATACTACAGAAAGAGTGTTTCAAACCTGCTCTATGAAAGGGAATGTTCAGTTCTGTGACTTGAATGCAAACATCACAAAGAAGTTCCTGAGAATGCTTCTCCCTAGATTTTATATGTAATCCCGTTTCCAACGAAATCCGCAAAGCTATCCAAATATCCACTTTCAGATTCCACAAAAAGAGTGTTTCAAAACTGCTCTGTAAAAAGAAAGGTTCATCTCTGTTAGTTGAATACACACATCACAAACAAGTTTCTGAGAATGCTTCTGTCTAGTTTTTATGGGAAGATATTTCCTTCTTCATCATAGGCCTCAAAGCGCTCCAAATGTCCACTTCCAGGTAGTGCAGAAAGAGTGTCTCAAACCTGGTATATAACAGGGAACATTCTACTCTGTGACTTGAATGAAAACATCACAAAGCAGTTTCTGAGAATGCTTCCGTCTAGATTTTATATGAAGATATTCCCGTTTCCAACGAAACGTTCAAAGCTATCCGAATATCCACCTGCAGATTCTACAAAAAGAGTGTTTCCAAAATGCCATATCAAAACAAAGGTTCAACTCTGTTAGTTGAGAACACACATCGCAAATAAGTTTCTGAGAATGCTTCTGTCTAGTTTTTACTTGAAGATATTTCCTTTCTCACCATAGGCCTGAAAGCGCTTGAAACGTCAGCTTGCAGATACTACAGAAAGAGTGTTTCAAACCTGCTCTATGAAAGGGAATGTTCAGTTCTGTGACTTGAATGCAAACATCACAAAGAAGTTCCTGAGAATGCTTCTCTCTAGGTTTTATATGTAATCCCGTTTCCAACGAAATCCTCAAAGCTATCCAAATATCCACTTTCAGATTCCACAAAAAGAGTGTTTCAAAACTGCTCTGTAAAAAGAAAGGTTCATCTCTGTTAGTTGAATACACACATCACAAACAAGTTTCTGAGAATGCTTCTGTCTAGTTTTTATGGGAAGATATTTCCTTTTTCATCATAGGCTTCAAAGCGCTCCAAATGTGCACTTCCAGGTAGTGCAGAAAGTGTGTCTCAAACCTGGTATATAACAGGGAACATTCTACTCTGTGACTTGAATGAAAACATCACAAAGCAGTTTCTGAGAATGCTTCTGTCTTGATTTTATATGAAGATATTCCCGTTTCCAACGAAATCTTCAAAGCTATCCAAATATCCACTTGCAGATTCCACAAAAAGAGTGTTTCCAAAATGTTGTATCAAAAGAAAGGTACAACTCTGTTAGTTGAGGACACACATCGCTAATAAGTTTCTGAGAATGCTTCTGTCTAGTTTTTAGTTGAAGATATTTCCTTTCTCACCATAGGCCTGAAAGCGTTTGAAATGTCCGTTTGCAGATACTACAGAAAGAGTGTTTCAAACATGCTCTATGAAAGGGAATGTTCAGTTCTGTGACGTGAATGCAAACATCACAAAGAAGTTCCTGAGAATGCTTCTCTCTAGATTTTATATGTAATCCCGTTTCCAACGAAATCCTCAAAGCTATCCAAATATCCACTTTCAGATTCCACAAAAAGAGTGTTTCAAAACTGCTCTGTAAAAAGAAAGGTTCATCTCTGTTAGTTGAATACACACATCACAAACAAGTTTCTGAGAATGCTTCTGTCTGGTTTTTAGGAGAAGATATTTCCTTTTTCAACATAGGCCTCAAAGCGCTGCAAATGTCCACTTCAAAATATTACAAAAAGAGTGTTTCAAACCTGCTCTATGAAGGGAAGTGTTCAACTCTATGAGTTGAATGCAAACATCACAGAGAAGTTTCTGAGAATGCTTCCGTCTAGATTTTATGTGAAGATATTCCCGTTTCCAAGGAAATCTTCCTAGCTATCTAAATATCAACTTGCAGATTCTACTAAAGGAGTGTTTCCAAAATGCTGTATCCACACAAAGGTTCAACTCTGTTAACTGAGGACATACAGCACAAAGAAGTTTCTGAGAATGCTTCTGTCTAGATTTTATATGAAGATATCCCGTTTCCAAAGAAATCCTCAAAGGTATCCAAATATCTACTTCCAGATTCTACAAAAAGACTGTTTCAAAACGGCTCTGTCAAAAGTAAGGTTCAACTCTGTTACTTGAGTACACACATCACAAGGAAGTTTCTGAGAATTCTTCTGTCTGGTTTTTAGGAGAAGATATTTCCTTTTTCAACATAGGCCTCAAAGCGCTGCAAATGTCCACTTCCAAATATTACAAAAAGAGTGTTTCAAACCTGCTGTATGAAGGGAAGTGTTCAACTCTATGAGTTGAATGCAAACATCACAGAGAAGTTTCAGAGAATGCTTCTGTCTTGATTTTATATGAAGATATTCCCGTTTCCAACGAAACCTTCAAAGCTATCCGAATATCCACCTGCAGATTCTACAAAAAGAGTGTTTCCAAAATGCTGTATCAAAACAAAGGTTCAACCTCTGTTAGTTGAGAACACACATGGCAAATATGTTTCTGAGAATGCTTCTGTCTAGTTTTTACTTGAAGATATTTCCTTTCTCACCATAGGCCTGAAAGCTCTTGAAACGTCAGCTTGCAGATACTACAGAAAGAGTGTTTCAAACCTGCTCTATGAAAGGGAATGTTCAGTTCTGTGACTTGAATGCAAACATCACAAAGAAGTTCCTGAGAATGCTTCTCTCTAGGTTTTATATGTAATCCCGTTTCCAACGAAATCCTCAAAGCTATCCAAATATCCACTTTCAGATTCCACAAAAAGAGTGTTTCAAAACTGCTCTGTAAAAAGAAAGGTTCATCTCTGTTAGTTGAATACACACATCACAAACAAGTTTCTGAGAATGCTTCTGTCTAGTTTTTATGGGAAGATATTTCCTTTTTCAAAATAGGCCTCAAAGCGCTCCAAATGTCCACTTCCAGGTAGTGCAGAAAGAGTGTTTCAAACCTGCTCTATAAAAGGGAATATTCAACTCTGTGACTTGAATGCAAACATCACAAAGCACTTTCTGAGAATGCTTCCGTCTAGATTTTATATGAAGATATTCCCGTTTCCAAGGAAATCTTCCTAGCTATCTAAATATCAACTTGCAGATTCTACTAAAGGAATGTTTCCAAAATGCTGTATCCACACAAAGGTTCAACTCTGTTAATTGAGGACATACAGCACAAAGAAGTTTCTGAGAATGCTTCTGTCTAGATTTTATATGAAGATATCCCGTGTCCAACGAAATCCACAAAGGTATCAAAATATCCACTTGCAGATTCTACAAAAAGACTGCTTCAAAACTGCTCTGTCAAAAGGAAGGTTCAACTCTGTTACTTGAGTACACACATCACAAGGAAGTTTCTGAGAATGCTTCTGTCTGGTTTTTAGGAGAAGATATTTCCTTTTTCAACATAGGCCTCAAAGCGCTGCAAATGTCCACTTCCAAATATTAGAAAAAGAGTGTTTCAAACCTGCTGTATGAAGGGAAGTGTTCAACTCTATGAGTTGAATGCAAACATCACAGAGAAGTTTCTGAGAATGCTTCTGTCTTGATTTCATATGAAGATATTCCCGTTTCCAACGAAACCTTCAAAGCTATCCAAATATCCACTTGCAGATTCTACAAAAAGAGTGTTTCCAAAATGTTGTATCAAAAGAAAGGTTCAACTCTGTTAGTTGAGGACACACATCGCAAATAAGTTTCTGAGAATGCTTCTGTCTAGTTTTTATTTGAAGATATTTCCTTTCTCACCACAGGCCTGAAAGCGCTTAAAACGTCCGCTTGCAGATACTACAGAAAGAGTGTTTCAAACCTGCTCTATGAAAGGGAATGTTCAGTTCTGTGACTTGAATGCAAACATCACAAAGAAGTTCCTGAGAATGCTTCTCCCTAGATTTTATATGTAATCCCGTTTCCAACGAAATCCGCAAAGCTATCCAAATATCCACTTTCAGATTCCACAAAAAGAGTGTTTCAAAACTGCTCTGTAAAAAGAAAGGTTCATCTCTGTTAGTTGAATACACACATCACAAACAAGTTTCTGAGAATGCTTCTGTCTAGTTTTTATGGGAAGATATTTCCTTTTTCATCATAGGCCTCAAAGCGCTGCAAATGTCCACTTCCAAATATTACAAAAAGAGTGTTTCAAACCTGCTGTATGAAGGGAAGTGTTCAACTCTATGAGTTGAATGCAAACATCACAGAGAAGTTTCTGAGAATGCATCTGTCTTGTTTTTATATGAAGATATTCCCGTTTCCAACGAAACCTTCAAAGCTATCCAAATATCCACTTGCAGATTCTACAAAAAGAGTGGTTCCAAAATGTTGTATCAAAGGAAAGGTTCAACTCTGTTAGTTGAGGACACACATCGCAAATAAGTTTCTGAGAATTCTTCTGTCTAGTTTTTATTTGAAGATATTTCCTTTCTCACCATAGGCCTGAAAGCGTTTGAAATGTCCGTTTGCAGATACTACAGAAAGAGTGTTTCAAACATGCTCTATGAAAGGGAATGTTCAGTTCTGTGACTTGAATGCATACATCACAAAGAAGTTCCTGAGAATGCTTCTCTCTAGGTTTTATATGTAATCCCGTTTCCAACGAAGTCCTCAAAGCTATCCAAATATCCACTTTCAGATTCCACAAAAAGAGTGTTTCAAAACTGCACTGTAATAAGAAAGGTTCATCCCTGTTAGTTGAATACACACATCACAAACAAGTTTCTGAGAATGCTTCTGTCTAGTTTTTATGGGAAGATATTTCCTTTTTCAACATAGGCCTCAAAGCGCTCCAAACGTCCACTTCCAGGTAGTGCAGAAAGAGTGTCTCAAACCTGGTATATAACAGGGAACATTCTACTCTGTGACTTGAATGAAAACATCACAAAGCAGTTTCTGAGAATGCTTCCGTGTAGATTTTATATGAAGATATTCCCGTTTCCAACGAAACCTTCAAAGCTATCCGAATATCCACCTGCAGATTCTACAAAAAGAGTGTTTCCAAAATGCCGTATCAAAACAAAGGTTCAACTCTGTTAGTTGAGAACACACATGGCAAATAAGTTTCTGAGAATGCTTCTGTCTAGTTTTTACTTGAAGATATTTCCTTTCTCACCATAGGCCTGAAAGCGCTTGAAACATCAGCTTGCAGATACTACAGAAAGAGTGTTTCAAACCTGCTCTATGAAAGGGAATGTTCAGTCCTGTGACTTGAATGCAAACATCACAAAGAAGTTCCTGAGAATGCTTCTCTCTAGGTTTTACATGTAATCCCGTTTCCAACGAAATCCTCAAAGCTATCCAAATATCCACTTTCAGATTCCACAAAAAGAGTGTTTCAAAACTGCTCTGTAAAAAGAAAGGTTCATCTCTGTTAGTTGAATACACACATCACAAACAAGTTTCTGAGAATGCTTCTGTCTAGTTTTTATGGGAAGATATTTCCTTTTTCAACATAGGCCTCAAAGCGCTCCAAATGTCCACTTCCAGGTAGTGCAGAAAGAGTGTTTCAAACCTGCTCTATAAAAGGGAATATTCAACTCTGTGACTTGAATGCAAACTTCACAAAGCACTTTCTGAGAATGCTTCCGTCTAGATTTTATATGAAGATATTCCCGTTTCCAAGGAAATCTTCCTAGCTATCTAAATATCAACTTGCAGATTCTACTAAAGGAATGTTTCCAAAATGCTGTATCCACACAAAGGTTCAACTCTGTTAATTGAGGACATACAGCACAAAGAAGTTTCTGAGAATGCTTCTGTCTAGATTTTATATGAAGATATCCCGTGTCCAACGAAATCCTCAAAGGTATCAAAATATCCACTTGCAGATTCTACAAAAAGAGTGCTTCAAAACTGCTCTGTCAAAAGGAAGGTTCAACTCTGTTACTTGAGTACACACATCACAAGGAAGTTTCTGAGAATGCTTCCTGTCTAGTTTTTATGGGAAGATATTTCCTTTTTCATCATAGGCCTCAAAGCGCTGCAAATGTCCACTTCCAAATATTACAAAAAGAGTGTTTCAAACCTGCTGTATGAAGGGAAGTGTTCAACTCTATGAGTTGAATGCAAACATCACAGAGAAGTTTCTGAGAATGCTTCTGTGTTGATTTTATATGAAGATATTCCCGTTTCCAAAGAAACCTTCAAAGCTATCCAAATATCCACCTGCAGATCCTACAAAAAGAGTGTTTCCAAAATGCTGTATCAAAACAAAGGTTCAACTCTGTTAGCTGAGAACACACATCGCAAATAAGTTTCTGAGAATGCTTCTGTCTAGTTTTAATTTGAAGATATTTCCTTTTTCACCACAGGCCTGAAAGCGCTTGAAACGTCCGCTTGCAGATACTACAGAAAGAGTGTTTCAAACCTGCTCTATGAAAGGGAATGTTCAGTTCTGTGACTTGAATGCAAACATCACAAAGAAGTTCCTGAGAATGCTTCTCCCTAGATTTTATATGTAATCCCGTTTCCAACGAAATCCGCAAAGCTATCTAAATATCCACTTTCAGATTCCACAAAAAGAGTGTTTCAAAACTGCTCTGTAAAAAGAAAGGTTCATCTCTGTTAGTTGAATACACACATCACAAACAAGTTTCTGAGAATGCTTCTGTCTAGTTTTTATGGGAAGATATTTCCTTTTTCATCATAGGCCTCAAAGCGCTCCAAATGTCCACTTCCAGGTAGTGCAGAAAGAGTGTCTCAAACCTGGTATATAACAGGGAACATTCTACTCTGTGACTTGAATGAAAACATCACAAAGCAGTTTCTGAGAATGCTTCCGTCTAGATTTTATATGAAGATATTCCCGTTTCCAACGAAACCTTCAAAGCTATCCGAATATCCACCTGCAGATTCTACAAAAAGAGTGTTTCCAAAATGCCGTATCAAAACAAAGGTTCAACTCTGTTAGTTGAGAACACACATGGCAAATAAGTTTCTGAGAATGCTTCTGTCTAGTTTTTACTTGAAGATATTTCCTTTCTCACCATAGGCCTGAAAGCGCATGAAACGTCAGCTTGCAGATACTACAGAAAGAGTGTTTCAAACCTGCTCTATGAAAGGGAATGTTCAGTCCTGTGACTTGAAGGCAAACATCACAAAGAAGTTCCTGAGAATGCTTCTCTCTAGGTTTTATATGTAATCCCGTTTCCAACGAAATCCTCAAAGCTATCCAAATATCCACTTTCAGATTCCACAAAAAGAGTGTTTCAAAACTGCTCTGTAAAAAGAAAGGTTCATCTCTGTTAGTTGAATACACACATCACAAACAAGTTTCTGAGAATGCTTCTGTCTAGTTTTTATGGGAAGATATTTCCTTTTTCAACATAGGCCTCAAAGCGCTCCAAACGTCCACTTCCAGGTAGTGCAGAAAGAGTGTCTCAAACCTGGTATATAACAGGGAACATTCTACACTGTGACTTGAATGAAAACATCACAAAGCAGTTTCTGAGAATGCTTCCGTCTAGATTTTATATGAAGATATTCCCGTTTCCAACGAAACCTTCAAAGCTATCCGAATATCCACCTGCAGATTCTACAAAAAGAGTGTTTCCAAAATGCCGTATCAAAACAAAGGTTCAACTCTGTTAGTTGAGAACACACATTTCAAATAAGTTTCTGACAATGCTTCTGTCTAGTTTTTACTTGAAGATATTTCCTTTCTCACCATAGGCCTGAAAGCGCATGAAACGTCAGCTTGCAGATACTACAGAAAGAGTGTTTCAAACCTGCTCTATGAAAGGGAATGTTCAGTCCTGTGACTTGAAGGCAAACATCACAAAGAAGTTCCTGAGAATGCTTCTCTCTAGGTTTTATATGTAATCCCGTTTCCAACGAAATCCTCAAAGCTATCCAAATATCCACTTTCAGATTCCACAAAAAGAGTGTTTCAAAACTGCTCTGTAAAAAGAAAGGTTCATCTCTGTTAGTTGAATACACACATCACAAACAAGTTTCTGAGAATGCTTCTGTCTAGTTTTTATGGGAAGATATTTCCTTTTTCAACATAGGCCTCAAAGCGCTCCAAATGTCCACTTCCAGGTAGTGCAGAAAGAGTGTTTCAAACCTGCTCTATAAAGGGGAATATTCAACTCTGTGACTTGAATGCAAACATCACAAAGCACTTTCTGAGAATGCTTCCGTCTAGATTTTATATGAAGATATTCCCGTTTCCAAGGAAATCTTCCTAGCTATCTAAATATCAACTTGCAGATTCTTCTAAAGGAATGTTTCCAAAATGCTGTATCCACACAAAGGTTCAACTCTGTTAATTGAGGACATACAGCACAAAGAAGTTTCTGAGAATGCTTCTGTCTAGATTTTATATGAAGATATCCCGTGTCCAACGAAATCCTCAAAGGTATCAAAATATCCACTTGCAGATTCTACAAAAAGAGTGCTTCAAAACTGCTCTGTCAAAAGGAAGGTTCAACTCTGTTACTTGAGTACACACATCACAAGGAAGTTTCTGAGAATGCTTCTGTCTGGTTTTTAGGAGAAGATATTTCCTTTTTCAACATAGGCCTCAAAGCGCTGCAAATGTCCACTTCCAAATATTACAAAAAGAGTGTTTCAAACCTGCTGTATGAAGGGAAGTGTTCAACTCTATGAGTTGAATGCAAACATCACAGAGAAGTTTCTGAGAATGCTTCTGTCTTGATTTCATATGAAGATATTCCCGTTTCCAACGAAACCTTCAAAGCTATCCAAATATCCACTTGCAGATTCTACAAAAAGAGTGTTTCCAAAATGTTGTATCAAAAGAAAGGTTCAACTCTGTTAGTTGAGGACACACATCGCAAATAAGTTTCTGAGAATGCTTCTGTCTAGTTTTTATTTGAAGATATTTCCTTTCTCACCACAGGCCTGAAAGCGCTTAAAACGTCCGCTTGCAGATACTACAGAAAGAGTGTTTCAAACCTGCTCTATGAAAGGGAATGTTCAGTTCTGTGACTTGAATGCAAACATCACAAAGAAGTTCCTGAGAATGCTTCTCCCTAGATTTATATGTAATCCCGTTTCCAACGAAATCCGCAAAGCTATCCAAATATCCACTTTCAGATTCCACAAAAAGAGTGTTTCAAAACTGCTCTGTAAAAAGAAAGGTTCATCTCTGTTAGTTGAATACACACATCACAAACAAGTTTCTGAGAATGCTTCTGTCTAGTTTTTATGGGAAGATATTACCTTTTTCATCATAGGCCTCAAAGCGCTGCAAATGTCCACTTCCAAATATTACAAAAAGAGTGTTTCAAACCTGCTGTATGAAGGGAAGTGTTCAACTCTATGAGTTGAATGCAAACATCACAGAGAAGTTTCTGAGAATGCTTCTGTCTTGATTTTATTTGAAGATATTCCCGTTTCCAACGAAACCTTCAAAGCTATTCAAATATCCACTTGCAGATTCTACAAAAAGAGTGTTTCCAAAATGTTGTATCAAAAGAAAGGTTCAACTCTGTTAGTTGAGGACACACATCGCAAATAAAGTTTCTGAGAATGCTTCTGTCTAGTTTTTACTTGAAGATATTTCCTTTCTCACCATAGGCCTGAAAGCGTTTGAAATGTCCGTTTGCAGATACTACAGAAAGAGTGTTTCAAACATGCTCTATGAAAGGGAATGTTCAGTTCTGTGACGTGAATGCAAACATCACAAAGAAGTTCCTGAGAATGCTTCTCTCTAGATTTTATATGTAATCCCGTTTCCAACGAAATCCTCAAAGCTATCCAAATATCCACTTTCAGATTCCACAAAAAGAGTGTTTCAAAACTGCTCTGTAAAAAGAAAGGTTCATCTCTGTTAGTTGAATACACACATCACAAACAAGTTTCTGAGAATGCTTCTGTCTAGTTTTTATGGGAAGATATTTCCTTTTTCAACATAGGCCTCAAAGCGCTCCAAACGTCCACTTCCGGGTAGTGCAGAAAGAGTGTCTCAAACCTGGTATATAACAGGGAACATTCTACTCTGTGACTTGAATGAAAACATCACAAAGCAGTTTCTGAGAATGCTTCCGTCTAGATTTTATATGAAGATATTCCCGTTTCCAACGAAACCTTCAAAGCTATCCGAATATCCACCTGCAGATTCTACAAAAAGAGTGTTTCCAAAATGCCGTATCAAAACAAAGGTTCAACTCTGTTAGTTGAGAACACACATGGCAAATAAGTTTCTGAGAATGCTTCTGTCTAGTTTTTACTTGAAGATATTTCCTTTCTCACCATAGGCCTGAAAGCGCTTGAAACGTCAGCTTGCAGATACTACAGAAAGACTGTTTCAAACCTGCTCTATGAAAGGGAATGTTCAGTTCTGTGACTTGAATGCAAACATCACAAAGAAGTTCCTGAGAATGCTTCTCCCTAGGTTTTTATATGTAATCCCGTTTCCAACGAAATCCTCAAAGCTATCCAAATATCCACTTTCAGATTCCACAAAAAGAGTGTTTCAAAACTGCTCTGTAAAAAGAAAGGTTCATCTCTGTTAGTTGAATACACACATCACAAACAAGTTTCTGAGAATGCTTCTGTCTAGTTTTTATGGGAAGATATTTCCTTTTTCATCATAGGCCTCAAAGCGCTGCAAATGTCCACTTCCAGGTAGTGCAGAAAGAGTGTCTGAAACCTGGTATATAACAGGGAAGATTCTACTCTGTGACTTGAATGAAAACATCACAAAGCAGTTTCTGAGAATGCTTCCGTCAAGATTTTATATGAAGATATTCCCGTTTCCAACGAAACCTTCAAAGCTATCCGAATATCCACCTGCAGATTCTACAAAAAGAGTGTTTCCAAAATGCCGTATCAAAACAAAGGTTCAACTCTGTTAGTTGAGAACACACATGGCAAATAAGTTTCTGAGAATGCTTCTGTCTAGTGTTTACTTGAAGATATTTCCTTTCTCACCATAGGCCTGAAAGCGCTTGAAACGTCAGCTTGCAGATACTACAGAAAGAGTGTATCAAACATGCTCTATGAAAGGGAATGTTCAGTTCTGTGACTTGAATGCAAACATCACAAAGAAGTTCCTGAGAATGCTTCTCTCTAGGTTTTATATGTAATCCCGTTTCCAACGAAATCCTCAAAGCTATCCAAATATCCACTTTCAGATTCCACAAAAAGAGTGTTTCAAAACTGCTCTGTAAAAAGAAAGGTTCATCTCTGTTAGTTGAATACACACATCACAAACAAGTTTCTGAGAATGCTTCTGTCTAGTTTTTATGGGAAGATATTACCTTTTTCATCATAGGCCTCAAAGCGCTGCAAATGTCCACTTCCAAATATTACAAAAAGAGTGTTTCAAACCTGCTGTATGAAGGGAAGTGTTCAACTCTATGAGTTGAATGCAAACATCACAGAGAAGTTTCTGAGAATGCTTCTGTCTTGATTTTATATGAAGATATTCCCGTTTCCAACGAAACCTTCAAAGCTATTCAAATATCCACTTGCAGATTCTACAAAAAGAGTGTTTCAAAATGTTGTATCAAAAGAAAGGTTCAACTCTGTTAGTTGAGGACACACATCGCAAATAAGTTTCTGAGAATGCTTCTGTCTAGTTTTTATTTGAAGATATTTCCTTTCTCACCATAGGCCTGAAAGCGTTTGAAATGTCCGTTTGCAGATACTACAGAAAGAGTGTTTCAAACATGCTCTATGAAAGGGAATGTTCAGTTCTGTGACGTGAATGCAAATATCACAAAGAAGTTCCTGAGAATGCTTCTCTCTAGATTTTATATGTAATCCCGTTTCCAACGAATTCCTCAAAGCTATCCAAATATCCACTTTCAGATTCCACAAAAAGAGTGTTTCAAAACTGCTCTGTAAAAAGAAAGGTTCATCTCTGTTAGTTGAATACACACATCAAAAACAAGTTTCTGAGAATGCTTCTGTCTAGTTTTTATGGGAAGATATTTCCTTTTTCATCATAGGCCTCAAAGCGCTGCAAATGTCCACTTCCAGGTAGTGCAGAAAGAGTGTCTCAAACCTGGTATATAACAGGGAACATTCTACTCTGTGACTTGAATGAAAACATCACAAAGCAGTTTCTGAGAATGCTTCCGTCTAGATTTTATATGAAGATATTCCCGTTTCCAACGAAACCTTCAAAGCTATCCGAATATCCACCTGCAGATTCTACAAAAAGAGTGTTTCCAAAATGCCATATCAAAACAAAGGTTCAACTCTGTTAGTTGAGAACACACATGGCAAATAAGTTTCTGAGAATGCTTCTGTCTAGTTTTTACTTGAAGATATTTCCTTTCTCACCATAGGCCTGAAAGCGCTTGAAACGTCAGCTTGCAGATACTACAGAAAGAGTGTTTCAAACCTGCTCTATGAAAGGGAATGTTCAGTCCTGTGACTTGAAGGCAAACATCACAAAGAAGTTCCTGAGAATGCTTCTGTCTAGATTTTATATGAAGATATCCGGTTTCCAAAGAAATCCTCAAAGGTGTCCAAATATCTACTTCCAGATTCTACAAAAAGACTGTTTCAAAACGGCTCTGTCAAAAGTAAGGTTCAACTCTGTTACTTGAGTACACACATCACAAGGAAGTTTCTGAGAATGCTTCTGTCTGGTTTTTAGGAGAAGATATTTCCTTTTTCAACATAGGCCTCAAAGCGCTGCAAATGTCCACTTCCAAATATTACAAAAAGAGTGTTTCAAACCTGCTCTATGAAGGGAAGTGTTCAACTCTATGAGTTGAATGCAAACATCACAGAGAAGTTTCTGAGAATGCTTCTGTCTTGATTTTATATGAAGATATTCCCGTTTCCAACGAAACCTTCAAAGCTATCCAAATATCCACTTGCAGATTCTACAAAAAGAGTGTTTCCAAAATGTTGTATCAAAACAAAGGTTCAACTCTGTTAGTTGAGGACACACATCGCAAATAAGTTTCTGAGAATGCTTCTGTCTAGTTTTTATTTGAAGATATTTCCTTTCTCACCTAGGCCTGAAAGCGTTTGAAATGTCCGTTTGCAGATACTACAGAAAGAGTGTTTCAAACATGCTCTATGAAAGGGAATGTTCAGTTCTGTGACGTGAATGCAAACATCACAAAGAAGTTCCTGAGAATGCTTCTGTCTAGATTTTATATGAAGATATCCCGTTTCCAAAGAAATCCTCAAAGGTATCCAAATATCTACTTCCAGATTCTACAAAAAGACTGTTTCAAAACGGCTCTGTCAAAAGGAAGGTTCAACTCTGTTACTTGACTACACACATCACAAGGAAGTTTCTGAGAATGCTTCTGTCTGGTTTTTAGGAGAAGATATTTCCTTTTTCAACATAGGCCTCAAAGCGCTGCAAATGTCCACTTCCAAATATTACAAAAAGAGTGTTTCAAACCTGCTCTATGAAGGGAAGTGTTCAACTCTATGAGTTGAATGCAAACATCACAGAGAAGTTTCTGAGAATGCTTCTGTCTTGGTTTTATATGAAGATATTCCCGTTTCCAACGAAACCTTCAAAGCTATCCAAATATCCACTTGCAGATACTACAAAAAGAGTGTTTCCAAAATGCTGTATCAAAACAAAGGTTCAACTCTGTTAGTTGAGGACACACATCGCAAATAAGTTTCTGAGAATGCTTCTGTCTAGTTTTTATTTGAAGATATTTCCTTTCTTACCATAGGCCTGAAAGCGCTTGAAATGTCCGTTTGCAGATACTACAGAAAGAGTGTTTCAAACATGCTCTATGAAAGGGAATGTTCAGTTCTGTGACGTGAATGCAAACATCACAAAGAAGTTACCTGAGAATGCTTCTCTCTAGATTTTATATGTAATCCCGTTTCCAACGAAATCCTCAAAGCTATCCAAATATCCACTTTCAGATTCCACAAAAAGAGTGTTTCAAAACTGCTCTGTAAAAAGAAAGGTTCATCTCTGTTAGTTGAATACACACATCACAAACAAGTTTCTGAGAATGCTTCTGTCTAGTTTTTATGGGAAGATATTTCCTTTTTCAACATAGGCCTCAAAGCGCTCCAAACGTCCACTTCCAGGTAGTGCAGACAGAGTGTCTCAAACCTGGTATATAACAGGGAACATTCTACTCTGTGACTTGAATGAAAACATCACAAAGCAGGTTCTGAGAATGCTTCCGTCTAGATTTTATGTGAAGATATTCCCGTTTCCAAGGAAATCTTCCTAGCTATCTAAATATCAACTTGCAGATTCTACTAAAGGAGTGTTTCCAAAATGCTGTATCCACACAAAGGTTCAACTCTGTTAATTGAGGACATACAGCACAAAGAAGTTTCTGAGAATGCTTCTGTCTAGATTTTATATGAAGATATCCCGTTTCCAAAGAAATCCTCAAAGGTATCCAAATATCTACTTCCAGATTCTACAAAAAGACTGTTTCAAAACGGCTCTGTCAAAAGTAAGGTTCAACTCTGTTACTTGAGTACACACATCACAAGAAAGTTTCTGAGAATGCTTCTGTCTGGTTTTTAGGAGAAGATATTTCCTTTTTCAACATAGGCCTCAAAGCGCTGCAAATGTCCACTTCCAAATATTACAAAAAGAGTGTTTCAAACCTGCTGTATGAAGGGAAGTGTTCAACTCTATGAGTTGAATGCAAACATCACAGAGAAGTTTCTGAGAATGCTTCTGTCTTGATTTCATATGAAGATATTCCCGTTTCCAACGAAACTTTCAAAGCTATCCAAATATCCACTTGCAGATTCTACAAAAAGAGTGTTTCCAAAATGTTGTATCAAAAGAAAGGTTCAACTCTGTTAGTTGAGGACACACATCGCAAATAAGTTTCTGAGAATGCTTCTGTCTAGTTTTTATTTGAAGATATTTCCTTTCTCACCACAGGCCTGAAAGCGCTTAAAACGTCCGCTTGCAGATACTACAGAAAGAGTGTTTCAAACCTGCTCTATGAAAGGGAATGTTCAGTTCTGTGACTTGAATGCAAACATCACAAAGAAGTTCCTGAGAATGCTTCTCTCTAGATTTTATATGTAATCCCGTTTCCAACGAAATCCTCAAAGCTATCCAAATATGCACTTTCAGATTCCACAAAAAGAGTGTTTCAAAACTGCTCTGTAAAAAGAAAGGTTCATCTCTGCTAGTTGAATACACACATCACAAACAAGTTTCTGAGAATGCTTCTGTCTAGTTTTTATGCGAAGATATTTCCTTTTTCATCATAGGCCTCAAAGCGCTCCAAATGTCCACTTCCAGATAGTGCAGAAAGAGTGTCTCAAACCTGGTATATAAAAGGGAACATTCTACTCTGTGACTTGAATGAAAACATCACAAAGCAGTTTCTGAGAATGCTTCCGTCTAGATTTTCTATGAAGATATTCCCGTTTCCAACGAAACCTTCAAAGCTATCCGAATATCCACCTGCAGATTCTACAAAAAGAGTGTTTCCAAAATGCCGTATCAAAACAAAGGTTCAACTCTGTTAGTTGAGAACACACATGGGAAATAAGTATCTGAGAATGCTTCTGTCTAGTTATTATTTGAAGATATTTCCTTTCTTACCATAGGCTTGAAAGTGCTTGAAACGTCCGCTTGCAGATACTACAGAAAGAGTGTTTCAAACCTGCTCTATGAAAGGGAATGTTCAGTTCTGCGACTTGAATTCAAACATCACAAAGAAGTTCCTGAGAATTCTTCTCTCTAGATTTTATATGTAATACCGTTTCCAACGATATCCTCAAAGCTATCCAAATATCCACTTTCAGATTCCACAAAAAGAGTGTTTTAAAACTGCTCTGTAAAAAGAAAGGTTCATCTCTGTTAGTTGAATACACATATCACAAACAAGTTTCTGAGAATGCTTCTGTCTAGTTTTTATGGGAAGATATTTCCTTTTTCATCATAGGCCTCAAAGCGCTGCAAATGTCCACTTCCAAATATTACAAAAAGAGTGTTTCAAACCTGCTGTATGAAGGGAAGTGTTCAACTCTATGAGTTGAATGCAAACATCACAGAGAAGTTTCTGAGAATGCTTCTGTCTTGATTTTATATGAAGATATTCCCGTTTCCAACGAAACCTTCAAAGCTATTCAAATATCCACTTGCAGATTCTACAAAAAGAGTGGTTCCAAAATGTTGTATCAAAAGAAAGGTTCAACTCTGATAGTTGAGGACACACATCGCAAATAAGTTTCTGAGAATGCTTCTATCTAGTTTTTATTTGAAGATATTTCCTTTCTCACCATAGGCCTGAAAGCGTTTGAAATGTCCGTTTGCAGATACTACAGAAAGAGTGTTTCAAACATGCTCTATGAAAGGGAATGTTCAGTTCTGTGACGTGAATGCAAACATCACAAAGAAGTTCCTGAGAATGCTTCTCTCTAGATTTTATATGTAATCCCGTTTCCAACGAAATCCTCAAAGCTATCCAAATATCCACTTTCAGATTCCACAAAAAGAGTGTTTCAAAACTGCTCTGTAAAAAGAAAGGTTCATCTCTGTTAGTTGAATACACACATCACAAACAAGTTTCTGAGAATGCTTCTGTCTAGTTTTTATGGGAAGATATTTCCTTTTTCATCATAGGCCTCAAAGCGCTGCAAATGTCCACTTCCAGGTAGTGCAGAAAGAGTGTCTCAAACCTGGTATATAACAGGGAACATTCTACTCTGTGACTTGAATGAAAACATCACAAAGCAGTTTCTGAGAATGCTTCCGTCTAGATTTTATATGAAGATATTCCCGTTTCCAACGAAACCTTCAAAGCTATCCGAATATCCACCTGCAGATTCTACAAAAAGAGTGTTTCCAAAATGCCATATCAAAACAAAGGTTCAACTCTGTTAGTTGAGAACACACATCGCAAATAAGTTTCTGAGAATGCTTCTGTCTAGTTTTTACTTGAAGATATTTCCTTTCTCACCATAGGCCTGAAAGCGCTTGAAACGTCAGCTTGCAGATACTACAGAAAGAGTGTTTCAAACCTGCTCTATGAAAGGGAATGTTCAGTTCTGTGACTTGAATGCAAACATCACAAAGAAGTTCCTGAGAATGCTTCTCCCTAGATTTTATATGTAATCCCGTTTCCAACGAAATCCGCAAAGCTATCCAAATATCCACTTTCAGATCCCACAAAAAGAGTGTTTCAAAACTGCTCTGTAAAAAGAAAGGTTCATCTCTGTTAGTTGAATACACACATCACAAACAAGTTTCTGAGAATGCTTCTGTCTAGTTTTTATGGGAAGATATTACCTTTTTCATCATAGGCCTCAAAGCGCTGCAAATGTCCACTTCCAAATATTACAAAAAGAGTGTTTCAAACCTGCTGTATGAAGGGAAGTGTTCAACTCTATGAGTTGAATGCAAACATCACAGAGAAGTTTCTGAGAATGCTTCTGTCTTGATTTTATATGAAGATATTCCCGTTTCCAACGAAACCTTCAAAGCTATTCAAATATCCACTTGCAGATTCTACAAAAAGAGTGTTTCCAAAATGTTGTATCAAAAGAAAGGTTCAACTCTGTTAGTTGAGGACACACATCGCAAATAAGTTTCTGAGAATGCTTCTGTCTAGTTTTTATTTGAAGATATTTCCTTTCTCACCATAGGCCTGAAAGCGTTTGAAATGTCCGTTTGCAGATACTACAGAAAGAGTGTTTCAAACATGCTCTATGAAAGGGAATGTTCAGTTCTGTGACGTGAATGCAAACATCACAAAGAAGTTCCTGAGAATGCTTCTCTCTAGGTTTTATATGTAATCCCGTTTCCAACGAAATCCTCAAAGCTATCCAAATATCCACTTTCAGATTCCACAAAAAGAGTGTTTCAAAACTGCTCTGTAAAAAGAAAGGTTCATCTCTGTTAGTTGAATACACACATCACAAACAAGTTTCTGAGAATGCTTCTGTCTAGTTTTTATGGGAAGATATTACCTTTTTCATCATAGGCCTGAAAGCGCTGCAAATGTCCACTTCCAAATATTACAAAAAGAGTGTTTCAAACCTGCTGTATGAAGGGAAGTGTTCAACTCTATGAGTTGAATGCAAACATCACAGAGAAGTTTCTGAGAATGCTTCTGTCTTGATTTTATATGAAGATATTCCCGTTTCCAACGAAACCTTCAAAGCTATTCAAATATCCACTTGCAGATTCTACAAAAAGAGTGTTTCCAAAATGTTGTATCAAAAGAAAGGTTCAACTCTGTTAGTTGAGGACACACATCGCAAATAAGTTTCTGAGAATGCTTCTGTCTAGTTTTTATTTGAAGATATTTCCTTTCTCACCATAGGCCTGAAAGCGTTTGAAATGTCCGTTTGCAGATACTACAGAAAGAGTGTTTCAAACATGCTCTATGAAAGGGAATGTTCAGTTCTGTGACGTGAATGCAAACATCACAAAGAAGTTCCTGAGAATGCTTCTCTCTAGATTTTATATGTAATCCCGTTTCCAACGAAATCCTCAAAGCTATCCAAATATCCACTTTCAGATTCCACAAAAAGAGTGTTTCAAAACTGCTCTGTAAAAAGAAAGGTTCATCTCTGTTAGTTGAATACACACGTCACAAACAAGTTTCTGAGAATGCTTCTGTCTAGTTTTTATGGGAAGATATTTCCTTTTTCATCATAGGCCTCAAAGCGCTGCAAATGTCCACTTCCAGGTAGTGCAGAAAGAGTGTCTCAAACCTGGTATATAACAGGGAACATTCTACTCTGTGACTTGAATGAAAACATCACAAAGCAGTTTCTGAGAATGCTTCCGTCTAGATTTTATATGAAGATATTCCCGTTTCCAACGAAACCTTCAAAGCTATCCGAATATCCACCTGCAGATTCTACAAAAAGAGTGTTTCCAAAATGCCATATCAAAACAAAGGTTCAACTCTGTTAGTTGAGAACACACATCGCAAATAAGTTTCTGAGAATGCTTCTGTCTAGTTTTTACTTGAAGATATTTCCTTTCTCACCATAGGCCTGAAAGCGCTTGAAACGTCAGCTTGCAGATACTACAGAAAGAGTGTTTCAAACCTGCTCTATGAAAGGGAATGTTCAGTCCTGTGACTTGAAGGCAAACATCAAAAAGAAGTTCCTGAGAATGCTTCTCTCTAGGTTTTATATGTAATCCCGTTTCCAACGAAATCCTCAAAGCTATCCAAATATCCACTTTCAGATTCCACAAAAAGAGTGTTTCAAAACTGCTCTGTAAAAAGAAAGGTTCACCTCTGTTAGTTGAATACACACATCACAAACAAGTTTCTGAGAATGCTTCTGTCTAGTTTTTATGGGAAGATATTTCCTTTTTCAACATAGGCCTCAAAGCGCTCCAAATGTCCACTTCCAGGTAGTGCAGAAAGAGTGTTTCAAACCTGCTCTATAAAAGGGAATATTCAACTCTGTGACTTGAATGCAAACATCACAAAGCACTTTCTGAGAATGCTTCCGTCTAGATTTTATATGAAGATATTCCCGTTTCCAACGAAACCTTCAAAGCTATCCGAATATCCACCTGCAGATTCTACAAAAAGAGTGTTTCCAAAATGCCATATCAAAACAAAGGTTCAACTCTGTTAGTTGAGAACACACATCGCAAATAAGTTTCTGAGAATGCTTCTGTCTAGTTTTTACTTGAAGATATTTCCTTTCTCACCATAGGCCTGAAAGCGCTTGAAACGTCAGCTTGCAGATACTACAGAAAGAGTGTTTCAAACCTGCTCTATGAAAGGGAATGTTCAGTTCTGTGACTTGAATGCAAACATCACAAAGAAGTTCCTGAGAATGCTTCTCTCTAGGTTTTATATGTAATCCCGTTTCCAACGAAATCCTCAAAGCTATCCAAATATCCACTTTCAGATTCCACAAAAAGAGTGTTTCAAAACTGCTCTGTAAAAAGAAAGGTTCATCTCTGTTAGTTGAATACACACATCACAAACAAGTTTCTGAGAATGCTTCTGTCTAGTTTTTATGGGAAGATATTTCCTTTTTCAACATAGGCCTCAAAGCGCTCCAAACGTCCACTTCCAGGTAGTGCAGAAAGAGTGTCTCAAACCTGGTATATAACAGGGAACATTCTACTCTGTGACTTGAATGCAAACATCACAAAGCAGTTTCTGAGAATGCTTCTGTCTTGATTTTATATGAAGATATTCCCGTTTCCAACGAAACCTTCAAAGCTATTCAAATATCCACTTGCAGATTCTACAAAAAGAGTGGTTCCAAAATGTTGTATCAAAAGAAAGGTTCAACTCTGATAGTTGAGGACACACATCGCAAATAAGTTTTCTGAGAATGTTTCTGTCTAGTTTTTACTTGAAGATATTTCCTTTCTCACCATAGGCCTGAAAGCCCTTGAAACGTCAGCTTGCAGATACTACAGAAAGAGTGTTTCAAACCTGCTCTATGAAAGGGAATGTTCAGTCCTGTGACTTGAAGGCAAACATCACAAAGAAGTTCCTGAGAATGCTTCTCCCTAGATTTTATATGTAATCCCGTTTCCAACGAAATCCTCAAAGCTATCCAAATATCCACTTTCAGATTCCACAAAAAGAGTGTTTCAAAACTGCTCGGTAAAAAGAAAGGTTCATCTCTGTAAGTTGAATACACACATCACAAACAAGTTTCTGAGAATGCTTCTGTCTAGTTTTTATGGGAAGATATTTCCTTTTTCATCATAGGCCTCAAAGCGCTGCAAATGTCCACTTCCAAATATTACAAAAAGAGTGTTTCAAACCTGCTGTATGAAGGGAAGTGTTCAACTCTATGAGTTGAATGCAAACATCACAGAGAAGTTTCTGAGAATGCTTCTGTCTTGATTTTATATCAAGATATTCCCGTTTCCAACGAAACCTTCAAAGCTATCCAAATATCCACTTGCAGATTCTACAAAAAGAGTGTTTCCAAAATGTTGTATCCAAACAAAGGTTCAACTCTGTTAGTTGAGAACTCACATCGCAAATAAGTTTCTGAGAATGCTTCTGTCTAGTTTTTATTTGAAGATATTTCCTTTTTCACCACAGGCCTGAAAGCGCTTGAAACGTCAGCTTGCAGATACTACAGAAAGAGTGTTTCAAACCTGCACTATGAAAGGGAATGTTCAGTTCTGTGACTTGAATGCAAACATCACGAAGAAGTTCCTGAGAATGCTTCTCCCTAGATTTTATATGTAATCCCGTTTCCAACGAAATCCTCAAAGCTATCCAAATATCCACTTTCAGATTCCACAAAAAGAGTGTTTCAAAACTGCTCTGTAAAAAGAAAGGTTCATCTCTGTTAGTTGAATACACACATCACAAACAAGTTTCTGAGAATGCTTCTGTCTAGTTTCTATGGGAAGATATTTCCTTTTTCAACATAGGCGTCAAAGCGCTCCAAATGTCCACTTCCAGGTAGTGCACTGAGTGTTTCAAACCTGCTCTATGAAAGGGAACATTCTAGTCTGTGACTTGAATGAAGACATCACAAAGCAGTTTCTGAGAATGCTTCCGTCTAGATTTTATGTGAAGATATTCCCGTTTCCAAGGAAATCTTCCTAGCTATCTAAATATCAACTTGCAGATTCTACTAAAGGAATGTTTCCAAAATGCTGTATCCACACAAAGGTTCAACTCTGTTAATTGAGGACATACAGCACAAAGAAGTTTCTGAGAATGCTTCTGTCTAGATTTTATATGAAGATATCCCGTGTCCAACGAAATCCTCAAAGGTATCAAAATATCCACTTGCAGATTCTACAAAAAGAGTGCTTCAAAACTGCTCTGTCAAAATGAAGGTTCAACTCTGTTACTTGAGTACACACATCAAAAGAAAGATTCTGAGAATGCTTCTGTCTGGTTTTTAGGGGAAGATATCTCCTTTTTCGCCATAGGCTTCAAAGCGCTGCCAATGTCCACTTCCAAATATTACAAAAAGAGTATTTCAAACCACCTCTATGAAAGGAAGTGTTCAACTCTATGAGTTGAATGCAAACATCACAGAGAAGTTTCTGAGAATGCTTCTGTCTTGATTTCATATGAAGATATTCCCGTTTCCAACGAAACCTTCAAAGCTATCCAAATATCCACTTGCAGATTCTACAAAAAGAGTGTTTCCAAAATGTTGTATCAAAAGAAAGGTTCAACTCTGTTACTTGAGGACACACATCGCAAATAAGTTTCTGAGAATGCTTCTGTCTAGTTTTTATTTGAAGATATTTCCTTTCTCACCACAGGCCTGAAAGGGCTTAAAACGTCCGCTTGCAGATACTACAGAAAGAGTGTTTCAAACCTGCTCTATGAAAGGGAATGTTCAGTTCTGTGACTTGAATGCAAACATCACAAAGAAGTTCCTGAGAATGCTTCTCCCTAGATTTTATATGTAATCCCGTTTCCAACGAAATCCGCAAAGCTATCCAAATATCCACTTTCAGATTCCACAAAAAGAGTGTTTCAAAACTGCTCTGTAAAAAGAAAGGTTCATCTCTGTTAGTTGAATACACACATCACAAACAAGTTTCTGAGAATGCTTCTGTCTAGTTTTTATGGGAAGATATTACCTTTTTCATCATAGGCCTCAAAGCGCTGCAAATGTCCACTTCCAAATATTACAAAAAGAGTGTTTCAAACCTGCTGTATGAAGGGAAGTGTTCAACTCTATGAGTTGAATGCAAACATCACAGAGAAGTTTCTGAGAATGCTTCTGTCTTGATTTTATATGAAGATATTCCCGTTTCCAAAGAAACCTTCAAAGCTATCCAAATATCCACTTGCAGATTCTACAAAAAGAGTGTTTCCAAAATGTTGTATCAAAAGAAAGGTTCAACTCTGTTAGTTGAGGAAACACATCGCAAACAAGTTTCTGAGAATGCTTCTGTCTAGTTTTTATTTGAAGATATTTCCTTTCTCACCATAGGCCTGAAAGCGTTTGAAATGTCCGTTTGCAGATACTACAGAAAGAGTGTTTCAAACATGCTCTATGAAAGGGAATGTTCACTTCTGTGACTTGAATGCAAACATCACAAAGAAGTTCCTGAGAATGCTTCTCTCTAGGTTTTATATGTAATCCCGTTTCCAACGAAATCCTCAAAGCTATCCAAATATCCACTTTCAGATTCCACAAAAAGAGTGTTTCAAAACTGCTCTGTAATAAGAAAGGTTCATCCCTGTTAGTTGAATACACACATCACAAACAAGTTTCTGAGAATGCTTCTGTCTAGTTTTTATGGGAAGATATTTCCTTTTTCAACATAGGCCTCAAAGCGCTCCAAACGTCCACTTCCAGGTAGTGCAGAAAGAGTGTCTCAAACCTGGTATATAACAGGGAACATTCTACTCTGTGACTTGAATGAAAACATCACAAAGCAGTTTCTGAGAATGCTTCCGTCTAGATTTTATATGAAGATATTCCCGTTTCCAACGAAACCTTCAAAGCTATCCGAATATCCACCTGCAGATTCTACAAAAAGAGTGTTTCCAAAATGCCATATCAAAACAAAGGTTCAACTCTGTTAGTTGAGAACACACATCGCAAATAAGTTTCTGAGAATGCTTCTGTCTAGTTTTTACTTGAAGATATTTCCTTTCTCACCATAGGCCTGAAAGCGCTTGAAACGTCAGCTTGCAGATACTACAGAAAGAGTGTTTCAAACCTGCTCTATGAAAGGGAATGTTCAGTCCTGTGACTTGAAGGCAAACATCACAAAGAAGTTCCTGAGAATGCTTCTCTCTAGGTTTTATATGTAATCCCGTTTCCAACGAAATCCTCAAAGCTATCCAAATATCCACTTTCAGATTCCACAAAAAGAGTGTTTCAAAACTGCTCTGTAAAAAGAAAGGTTCATCTCTGTTAGTTGAATACACACATCACAAACAAGTTTCTGAGAATGCTTCTGTCTAGTTTTTATGGGAAGATATTTCGTTTTTCAACATAGGCCTCAAAGCGCTCCAAATGTCCACTTCCAGGTAGTGCAGAAAGAGTGTTTCAAACCTGCTCTATAAAAGGGAACATTCAACTCTGTGACTTGAATGCAAACATCACAAAGCACTTTCTGAGAATGCTTCCGTCTAGATTTTATATGAAGATATTCCCGTTTCCAAGGAAATCTTCCTAGCTATCTAAATATCAACTTGCAGATTCTACTAAAGGAATGTTTCCAAAATGCTGTATCCACACAAAGGTTCAACTCTGTTAATTGAGGACATACAGCACAAAGAAGTTTCTGAGAATGCTTCTGTCTAGATTTTATATGAAGATATCCCGTGTCCAACGAAATCCTCAAAGGTATCAAAATATCCACTTGCAGATTCTACAAAAAGAGTGCTTCAAAACTGCTCTGTCAAAAGGAAGGTTCAACTCTGTTACTTGTGTACACACATCACAAGGAAGTTTCTGAGAATGCTTCTGTCTGGTTTTTAGGAGAAGATATTTCCTTTTTCAACATAGGCCTCAAAGCGCTGCAAATGTCCACTTCCAAATATTAGAAAAAGAGTGTTTCAAACCTGCTGTATGAAGGGAAGTGTTCAACTCTATGAGTTGAATGCAAACATCACAGAGAAGTTTCTGAGAATGCTGCTGTCTTGATTTTATATGAAGATATTCCCGTTTCCAACGAAACCTTCAAAGCTATCCAAATATCCACTTGCAGATTCTACAAAAAGAGTGTTTCCAAAATGTTGTATCAAAACAAAGGTTCAACTCTGTTAGTTGAGGGCACACATCGCAAATAAGTTTCTGAGAATGCTTCTGTCTAGTTTTTATTTGAAGATATTTCCTTTCTTACCATAGGCCTGAAAGCGCTTGAAATGTCCGTTTGCAGATACTACAGAAAGAGTGTTTCAAACATGCTCTATGAAAGGGAATGTTCAGTTTTGTGACGTGAATGCAAACATCACAAAGAAGTTCCTGAGAATGCTTCTCTCTAGATTTTATACGTAATCCCGTTTCAACGAAATCCTCAAAGCTATCCAAATATCCACTTTCAGATTCCACAAAAAGAGTGTTTCAAAACTGCTCTGTAAAAAGAAAGGTTCATCTCTGTTAGTTGAATACACACATCACAAACAAGTTTCTGAGAATGCTTCTGTCTAGTTTTTATGGGAAGATATTTCCTTTTTCAACATAGGCCTCAAAGCGCTCCAAACGTCCACTTCCGGGTAGTGCAGAAAGAGTGTCTCAAACCTGGTATATAACAGGGAACATTCTACTCTGTGACTTGAATGAAAACATCACAAAGCAGTTTCTGAGAATGCTTCCGTCTAGATTTTATATGAAGATATTCCCGTTTCCAACGAAACCTTCAAAGCTATCCGAATATCCACCTGCAGATTCTACAAAAAGAGTGTTTCCAAAATGCCGTATCAAAACAAAGGTTCTACTCTGTTAGTTGAGAACACACATGGCAAATAAGTTTCTGAGAATGCTTCTGTCTAGTTTTTACTTGAAGATATTTCCTTTCTCACCATAGGCCTGAAAGCGCTTGAAACGTCAGCTTGCAGATACTACAGAAAGAGTGTTTCAAACCTGCTCTATGAAAGGGAATGTTCAGTCCTGTGACTTGAAGGCAAACATCACAAAGAAGTTCCTGAGAATGCTTCTCTCTAGGTTTTATATGTAATCCCGTTTCCAACGAAATCCTCAAAGCTATCCAAATATCCACTTTCAGATTCCACAAAAAGAGTGTTTCAAAACTGCTCTGTAAAAAGAAAGGTTCATCTCTGTTAGTTGAATACACACATCACAAACAAGTTTCTGAGAATGCTTCTGTCTAGTTTTTATGGGAAGATATTTCCTTTTTCATCATAGGCCTCAAAGCGCTGCAAATGTCCACTTCCAAATATTACAAAAAGAGTGTTTCAAACCTGCTGTATGAAGGGAAGTGTTCAACTCTATGAGTTGAATGCAAACATCACAGAGAAGTTTCTGAGAATGCTTCTGTCTTGATTTTATATGAAGATATTCCCGTTTCCAACGAAACCTTCAAAGCTATTCAAATATCCACTTGCAGATTCTACAAAAAGAGTGGTTCCAAAATGTTGAATCAAAAGAAAGGTTCAACTCTGATAGTTGAGGACACACATCGCAAATAAGTTTCTGAGAATGCTTCTGTCTAGTTTTTATTTGAAGATATTTCCTTTCTCACCATAGGCCTGAAAGCGTTTGAAATGTCCGTTTGCAGATACTACAGAAAGAGTGTTTCAAACATGCTCTATGAAAGGGAATGTTCAGTTCTGTGACGTGAATGCAAACATCACAAAGAAGTTCCTGAGAATGCTTCTCTCTAGGTTTTATATGTAATCCCGTTTCCAACGAAATCCTCAAAGCTATCCAAATATCCACTTTCAGATTCCACAAAAAGAGTGTTTCAAAACTGCTCTGTAAAAAGAAAGGTTCATCTCTGTTAGTTGAATACACACATCACAAACAAGTTTCTGAGAATGCTTCTGTCTAGTTTTTATGGGAAGATATTTCCTTTTTCAACATAGGCCTCAAAGCCCTCCAAATGTCCACTTCCAGGTAGTGCAGAAAGAGTGTTTCAAACCTGCTCTATAAAAGGGAATATTCAACTCTGTGACTTGAATGCAAACATCACAAAGCACTTTCTGAGAATGCTTCCGTCTAGATTTTATATGAAGATATTCCCGTTTCCAAGGAAATCTTCCTAGCTATCTAAATATCAACTTGCAGATTCTACTAAAGGAATGTTTCCAAAATGCTGTATCCACACAAAGGTTCAACTCTGTTAATTGAGAACATACAGCACAAAGAAGTTTCTGAGAATGCTTCTGTCTAGATTTTATATGAAGATATCCCGTGTCCAACGAAATCCTCAAAGGTATCAAAATATCCACTTGCAGATTCTACAAAAAGAGTGCTTCAAAACTGCTCTGTCAAAAGGAAGGTTCAACTCTGTTACTTGAGTACACACATCACAAGGAAGTTTCTGAGAATGCTTCCTGTCTAGTTTTTATGGGAAGATATTTCCTTTTTCATCATAGGCCTCAAAGCGCTGCAAATGTCCACTTCCAAATATTACAAAAAGAGTGTTTCAAACCTGCTGTATGAAGGGAAGTGTTCAACTCTATGAGTTGAATGCAAACATCACAGAGAAGTTTCTGAGAATGCTTCTGTGTTGATTTTATATGAAGATATTCCCGTTACCAACGAAACCTTCAAACCTATCCAAGTATTCACCTGCAGATTCTCCCAAAAGAGTGTTTGCAAAATGTTGTATCAAAACAAAGGTTCAACTCTGTTAGTTGAGGACACACATCGCAAATAAGTTTCTGAGAATGCTTCTGTCTAGTTTTTATTTGAAGATATTTCCTTTCTCACCATAGGCCTGAAAGCGTTTGAAATGTCCGTTTGCAGATACTACAGAAAGAGTGTTTCAAACATGCTCTATGAAAGGGAATGTTCAGTTCTGTGACGGTGAATGCAAACATCACAAAGAAGTTCCTGAGAATGCTTCTCTCTAGATTTTATATGTAATCCCGTTTCCAACGAAATCCTCAAAGCTATCCAAATATCCACTTTCAGATTCCACAAAAAGAGTGTTTCAAAACTGCTCTGTAAAAAGAAAGGTTCATCTCTGTTAGTTGAATACACGCATCACAAACAAGTTTCTGAGAATGCTTCTGTCTAGTTTTTATGGGAAGATATTTCCTTTTTCATCATAGGCCTCAAAGCGCTGCAAATGTCCACTTCCAGGTAGTGCAGAAAGAGTGTCTCAAACCTGGTATATAACAGGGAACATTCTACTCTGTGACTTGAATGAAAACATCACAAAGCAGTTTCTGAGAATGCTTCCGTCTAGATTTTATATGAAGATATTCCCGTTTCCAACGAAACCTTCAAAGCTATCCGAATATCCACCTGCAGATTCTACAAAAAGAGTGTTTCCAAAATGCCATATCAAAACAAAGGTTCAACTCTGTTAGTTGAGAACACACATCGCAAATAAGTTTCTGAGAATGCTTCTGTCTAGTTTTTACTTGAAGATATTTCCTTTCTCACCATAGGCCTGAAAGCGCTTGAAACGTCAGCTTGCAGATACTACAGAAAGAGTGTTTCAAACCTGCTCTATGAAAGGGAATGTTCAGTTCTGTGACTTGAATGCAAACATCACAAAGAAGTTCCTGAGAATGCTTCTCTCTAGGTTTTATATGTAATCCCGTTTCCAACGAAATCCTCAAAGCTATCCAAATATCCACTTTCAGATTCCACAAAAAGAGTGTTTCAAAACTGCTCTGTAAAAAGAAAGGTTCATCTCTGTTAGTTGAATACACACATCACAAACAAGTTTCTGAGAATGCTTCTGTCTAGTTTTTATGGGAAGATATTTCCTTTTTCATCATAGGCCTCAAAGCGCTCCAAATGTCCACTTCCAGATAGTGCAGAAAGAGTGTCTCAAACCTGGTATATAAAAGGGAACATTCTACTCTGTGACTGGAATGAAAACATCACAAAGCAGTTTCTGAGAATGCTTCCGTCTAGATTTTATATGAAGATATTCCCGTTTCCAACGAAACCTTCAAAGCTATCCGAATATCCACCTGCAGATTCTACAAAAAGAGTGTTTCCAAAATGCCATATCAAAACAAAGGTTCAACTCTGTTAGTTGAGAACACACATCGCAAATAAGTTTCTGAGAATGCTTCTGTCTAGTTTTTACTTGAAGATATTTCCTTTCTCACCATAGGCCTGAAAGCGCTTGAAACGTCAGCTTGCAGATACTACAGAAAGAGTGTTTCAAACCTGCTCTATGAAAGGGAATGTTCAGTCCTGTGACTTGAAGGCAAACATCACAAAGAAGTTCCTGAGAATGCTTCTCTCTAGGTTTTATATGTAATCCCGTTTCCAACGAAATCCTCAAAGCTATCCAAATATCCACTTTCAGATTCCACAAAAAGAGTGTTTCAAAACTGCTCTGTAAAAAGAAAGGTTCATCTCTGTTAGTTGAATACACACATCACAAACAAGTTTCTGAGAATGCTTCTGTCTAGTTTTTATGGGAAGATATTTCGTTTTTCAACATAGGCCTCAAAGCGCTCCAAATGTCCACTTCCAGGTAGTGCAGAAAGAGTGTTTCAAACCTGCTCTATAAAAGGGAATATTGAACTCTGTGACTTGAATGCAAACATCACAAAGCACTTTCTGAGAATGCTTCCGTCTAGATTTTATATGAAGATATTCCCGTTTCCAAGGAAATCTTCCTAGCTATCTAAATATCAACTTGCAGATTCTACTAAAGGAATGTTTCCAAAATGCTGTATCCACACAAAGGTTCAACTCTGTTAATTGAGGACATACAGCACAAAGAAGTTTCTGAGAATGCTTCTGTCTAGATTTTATATGAAGATATCCCGTTTCCAAAGAAATCCTCAAAGGTATCCAAATATCTACTTCCAGATTCTACAAAAAGACTGTTTCAAAACGGCTCTGTCAAAAGGAAGGTTCAACTCTGTTACTTGAGTACACACATCACAAGGAAGTTTCTGAGAATGCTTCTGTCTGGTTTTTAGGAGAAGATATTTCCTTTTTCAACATAGGCCTCAAAGCGCTGCAAATGTCCACTTCCAAATATTACAAAAAGAGTGTTTCAAACCTGCTCTATGAAGGGAAGTGTTCACCTCTATGAGTTGAATGCAAACATCACAGAGAAGTTTCTGAGAATGCTTCTGTCTTGATTTTATATGAAGATATTCCCGTTTCCAACGAAACCTTCAAAGCTATCCAAATATCCACTTGCAGATTCTACAAAAAGAGTGTTTCCAAAATGTTGTATCAAAACAAAGGTTCAACTCTGTTAGTTGAGGACACACATCGCAAATAAGTTTCTGAGAATGCTTCTGTCTAGTTTTTATTTGAAGATATTTCCTTTCTTACCATAGGCCTGAAAGCGCTTGAAATGTCCGTTTGCAGATACTACAGAAAGAGTGTTTCAAACCTGCTCTATGAAAGGGAATGTTCAGTTCTGTGACTTGAATGCAAACATCACAAAGAAGTTCCTGAGAATGCTTCTCTCTAGATTTTATATGTAATCCCGTTTTCAACGAAATCCTCAAAGCTATCCAAATATCCACTTTCAGATTCCACAAAAAGAGTGTTTCAAAACTGCTCTGTAAAAAGAAAGGTTCATCTCTGTTAGTTGAATACACACATCACAAACAAGTTTCTGAGAATGCTTCTGTCTAGTTTTTATGGGAAGATATTTCCTTTTTCATCATAGGTCTCAAAGCGCTCCAAATGTCCACTTCCAGATAGCGCAGAAAGAGTGTCTCAAACGTGGTATATAAAAGGGAACATTCTACTCTCTGACTTCAATGGAAACATCACAAAGCAGTTTCTGAGAATGCTTCCGTCTAGATTTTATATGAAGATATTCCCGTTTCCAACGAAACCTTCAAAGCTGTCCGAATATCCACCTGCAGATTCTACAAAAAGAGTGTTTCCAAAATGCCGTATCAAAACAAAGGTTCAACTCTGTTAGTTGAGAACACACATGGCAAATAAGTTTCTGAGAATGCTTCTGTCTAGTTTTTACTTGAAGATATTTCCTTTCTCACCATAGGCCTGAAAGCGCTTGAAACGTCCGCTTGCAGATACTACAGAAAGAGTGTTTCAAACATGCTCTATGAAAGGGAATGTTCAGTTCTGTGACTTGAATGCAAACATCACAAAGAAGTTCCTGAGAATGCTTCTCTCTAGATTTTATATGTAATCCCGTTTCCAACGAAATCCTCGAAGCTATCCAAATATCCACTTTCAGATTCCACAAAAAGAGTGTTTCAAAACTGCTCTGTAAAAAGAAAGGTTCATACTCTGTTAGTTGAATACACACATCACAAACAAGTTTCTGAGAATGCATCTGTCTAGTTTTTATGGGAAGATATTTCCTTTTTCAACATAGGCCTCAAAGCGCTCCAAATGTCCACTTCCAGGTAGTGCAGAAAGAGTGTTTCAAACCTGCTCTATAAAAGGGAATATTCAACTCTGTGACTTGAATGCAAACATCACAAAGCACTTTCTGAGAATGCTTCCGTCTAGATTTTATATGAAGATATTCCCGTTTCCAAGGAAATCTTCCTAGCTATCTAAATATCAACTTGCATATCCTACTAAAGGAGTGTTTCCAAAATGCTGTATCCACACAAAGTTTCAACTCTGTTAATTGAGGACATACAGCAAAAAGAAGTTTCTGAGAATGCTTCTGTCTAGATTTTATATGAAGATATCCCGTTTCCAAAGAAATCCTCAAAGGTGTCCAAATATCTACTTCCAGATTCTACAAAAAGACTGTTTCAAAACGGCTCTGTCAAAAGTAAGGTTCAACTCTGTTACTTGAGTACACACATCACAAGGAAGTTTCTGAGAATGCTTCTGTCTGGTTTTTAGGAGAAGATATTTCCTTTTTCAACATAGGCCTCAAAGCGCTGCAAATGTCCACTTCCAAATATTACAAAAAGAGTGTTTCAAACCTGCTCTATGAAGGGAAGTGTTCAACTCTATGAGTTGAATGCAAACATCACAGAGAAGTTTCTGAGAATGCTTCTGTCTTGATTTTATATGAAGATATTCCCGTTTCCAACGAAACCTTCAAAGCTATCCAAATATCCACTTGCAGATTCTACAAAAAGAGTGTTTCCAAAATGTTGTATCAAAACAAAGGTTCAACTCTGTTAGTTGAGGACACACATCGCAAATAAGTTTCTGAGAATGCTTCTGTCTAGTTTTGATTTGAAGATATTTCCTTTCTTACCATAGGCCTGAAAGCGCTTGAAATGTCCGTTTGCAGATACTACAGAAAGAGTGTTTCAAACATGCTCTATGAAAGGGAATGTTCAGTTCTGTGACGTGAATGCAAACATCACAAAGAAGTTCCTGAGAATGCTTCTCTCTAGATTTTATATGTAATCCCGTTTCCAACGAAATCCTCAAAGCTATCCAAATATCCACTCTCAGATTCCACAAAAAGAGTGTTTCAAAACTGCTCTGTAAAAAGAAAGGTTCATCTCTGTTAGTTGAATACACACATCACAAACAAGTTTCTGAGAATGCTTCTGTCTAGTTTTTATGGGAAGATATTTCCTTTTTCATCATAGGCCTCAAAGCGCTCCAAATGTCCACTTCCAGATAGTGCAGAAAGAGTGTCTCAAACCTGGTATATAAAAGGGAACATTCTACTCTGTGACTTCAATGAAAACATCACAAAGCAGTTTCTGAGAATGCTTCCGTCTAGATTTTATATGAAGATATTCCCGTTTCCAACGAAACCTTCAAAGCTATCCGAATATCCACCTGCAGATTCTACAAAAAGAGTGTTTCCAAAATGCCGTATCAAAACAAAGGTTCAACTCTGTTAGTTGAGAACACACATGGCAAATAAGTTTCTGAGAATGCTTCTGTCTAGTTTTTACTTGAAGATATTTCCTTTCTCACCATAGGCCTGAAAGCGCTTGAAACGTCCGCTTGCAGATACTACAGAAAGAGTGTTTCAAACATGCTCTATGAAAGGGAATGTTCAGTTCTGTGACTTGAATGCAAACATCACAAAGAAGTTCCTGAGAATGCTTCTCTCTAGGTTTTATATGTAATCCCGTTTCCAACGAAATCCTCAAAGCTATCCAAATATCCACTTTCAGATTCCACAAAAAGAGTGTTTCAAAACTGCTCTGTAAAAAGAAAGGTTCATCTCTGTTAGTTGAATACACACATCACAAACAAGTTTCTGAGAATTCTTCTGTCTAGTTTTTATGGGAAGATATTTCCTTTTTCAACATAGGCCTCAAAGCGCTCCAAATGTCCACTTCCAGGTAGTGCAGAAAGAGTGTTTCAAACCTGCTCTATAAAAGGGAATATTCAACTCTGTGACTTGAATGCAAACATCACAAAGCACTTTCTGAGAATGCTTCCGTCTAGATTTTATATGAAGATATTCCCGTTTCCAAGGAAATCTTCCTAGCTATCTAAATATCAACTTGCAGATTCTTCTAAAGGAATGTTTCCAAAATGCTGTATCCACACAAAGGTTCAACTCTGTTAATTGAGGACATACAGCACAAAGAAGTTTCTGAGAATGCTTCTGTCTAGATTTTATATGAAGATATCCCGTGTCCAACGAAATCCTCAAAGGTATCAAAATATCCACTTGCAGATTCTACAAAAAGAGTGCTTCAAAACTGCTCTGTCAAAAGGAAGGTTCAACTCTGTTACTTGAGTACACACATCACAAGGAAGTTTCTGAGAATGCTTCTGTCTGGTTTTTAGGAGAAGATATTTCCTTTTTCAACATAGGCCTCAAAGCGCTGCAAATGTCCACTTCCAAATATTAGAAAAAGAGTGTTTCAAACCTGCTGTATGAAGGGAAGTGTTCAACTCTATGAGTTGAATGCAAACATCACAGAGAAGTTTCTGAGAATGCTTCTGTCTTGATTTCATATGAAGATATTCCCGTTTCCAACGAAACCTTCAAAGCTATCCAAATATCCACTTGCAGATTCTACAAAAAGAGTGTTTCCAAAATGTTGTATCAAAAGAAAGGTTCAACTCTGTTAGTTGAGGACACACATCGCAAATAAGTTTCTGAGAATGCTTCTGTCTAGTTTTTATTTGAAGATATTTCCTTTCTCACCACAGGCCTGAAAGCGCTTAAAACGTCCGCTTGCAGATACTACAGAAAGAGTGTTTCAAACCTGCTCTATGAAAGGGAATGTTCAGTTCTGTGACTTGAATGCAAACATCACAAAGAAGTTCCTGAGAATGCTTCTCCCTAGATTTTATATGTAATCCCGTTTCCAACGAAATCCGCAAAGCTATCCAAATATCCACTTTCAGATTCCACAAAAAGAGTGTTTCAAAACTGCTCTGTAAAAAGAAAGGTTCATCTCTGTTAGTTGAATACACACATCACAAACAAGTTTCTGAGAATGCTTCTGTCTAGTTTTTATGGGAAGATATTACCTTTTTCATCATAGGCCTCAAAGCGCTGCAAATGTCCACTTCCAAATATTACAAAAAGAGTGTTTCAAACCTGCTGTATGAAGGGAAGTGTTCAACTCTATGAGTTGAATGCAAACATCACAGAGAAGTTTCTGAGAATGCTTCTGTCTTGATTTTATATGAAGATATTCCCGTTTCCAACGAAACCTTCAAAGCTATCCAAATATCCACTTGCAGATTCTACAAAAAGAGTGTTTCCAAAATGTTGTATCAAAAGAAAGGTTCAACTCTGTTAGTTGAGGACACACATCGCAAATAAGTTTCTGAGAATGCTTCTGTCTAGTTTTTATTTGAAGATATTTCCTTTCTCACCATAGGCCTGAAAGCGTTTGAAATGTCCGTTTGCAGATACTACAGAAAGAGTGTTTCAAACATGCTCTATGAAAGGGAATGTTCAGTTCTGTGACTTGAATGCAAACATCACAAAGAAGTTCCTGAGAATTCTTCTCTCTAGATTTTATATGTAATCCCGTTTCCAACGAAATCCTCAAAGCTATCCAAATATCCACTTTCAGATTCCACAAAAAGAGTGTTTCAAAACTGCTCTGTAAAAAGAAAGGTTCATCTCTGTTAGTTGAATACACACATCACAAACAAGTTTCTGAGAATGCTTCTGTCTAGTTTTTATGGGAAGATATTTCCTTTTTCAACATAGGCCTCAAAGCGCTCCAAACGTCCACTTCCAGGTAGTGCAGAAAGAGTGTCTCAAACCTGGTATATAACAGGGAACATTCTACTCTGTGACTTGAATGAAAACATCACAAAGCAGTTTCTGAGAATGCTTCCGTCTAGATTTTATATGAAGATATTCCCGTTTCCAACGAAACCTTCAAAGCTATCCGAATATCCACCTGCAGATTCTACAAAAAGAGTGTTTCCAAAATGCCATATCAAAACAAAGGTTCAACTCTGTTAGTTGAGAACACACATCGCAAATAAGTTTCTGAGAATGCTTCTGTCTAGTTTTTACTTGAAGATATTTCCTTTGTCACCATAGGCCTGAAAGCGCTTGAAACGTCAGCTTGCAGATACTACAGAAAGAGTGTTTCAAACCTGCTCTATGAAAGGGAATGTTCAGTCCTGTGACTTGAAGGCAAACATCACAAAGAAGTTCCTGAGAATGCTTCTCTCTAGGTTTTATATGTAATCCCGTTCCAACGAAATCCTCAAAGCTATCCAAATATCCACTTTCAGATTCCACAAAAAGAGTGTTTCAAAACTGCTCTGTAAAAAGAAAGGTTCATCTCTGTTAGTTGAATACACACATCACAAACAAGTTTCTGAGAATGCTTCTGTCTAGTTTTTATGGGAAGATATTTCGTTTTTCAACATAGGCCTCAAAGCGCTCCAAATGTCCACTTCCAGGTAGTGCAGAAAGAGTGTTTCAAACCTGCTCTATAAAAGGGAACATTCTACTCTGTGACTTGAATGAAGACATCACAAAGCACTTTCTGAGAATGCTTCCGTCTAAATTTTATATGAAGATATTCCCGTTTCCAAGGAAATCTTCCTAGCTATCTAAATATCAACTTGCAGATTCTTCTAAAGGAATGTTTCCAAAATGCTGTATCCACACAAAGGTTCAACTCTGTTAATTGAGGACATACAGCACAAAGAAGTTTCTGAGAATGCTTCTGTCTAGATTTTATATGAAGATATCCCGTGTCCAACGAAATCCTCAAAGGTATCAAAATATCCACTTGCAGATTCTACAAAAAGAGTGCTTCAAAACTGCTCTGTCAAAAGGAAGGTTCAACTCTGTTACTTGAGTACACACATCACAAGGAAGTTTCTGAGAATGCTTCTGTCTGGTTTTTAGGAGAAGATATTTCCTTTTTCAACATAGGCCTCAAAGCGCTGCAAATGTCCACTTCCAAATATTAGAAAAAGAGTGTTTCAAACCTGCTGTATGAAGGGAAGTGTTCAACTCTATGAGTTGAATGCAAACATCACAGAGAAGTTTCTGAGAATGCTTCTGTCTTGATTTCATATGAAGATATTCCCGTTTCCAACGAAACCTTCAAAGCTATCCAAATATCCACTTGCAGATTCTACAAAAAGAGTGTTTCCAAAATGTTGTATCAAAAGAAAGGTTCAACTCTGTTAGTTGAGGACACACATCGCAAATAAGTTTCTGAGAATACTTCTGTCTAGTTTTTATTTGAAGATATTTCCTTTCTCACCACAAGCCTGAAAGCGCTTAAAACGTCCGCTTGCAGATACTACAGAAAGAGTGTTTCAAACCTGCTCTATGAAAGGGAATGTTCAGTTCTGTGACTTAAATGCAAACATCACAAAGAAGTTCCTGAGAATGCTTCTCTCTAGCATTTTATATGTAATCCCGTTTCCAACGAAATCCTCAAAGCTATCCAAATATCCACTTTCAGATTCCACAAAAAGAGTGTTTCAAAACTGCTCTGTAAAAAGAAAGGTTCATCTCTGTTAGTTGAATACACACATCACAAACAAGTTTCTGAGAATGCTTCTGTCTAGTTTTTATGGGAAGATATTTCCTTTTTCATCATAGGCCTCAAAGCGCTGCAAATGTCCACTTCCAGGTAGTGCAGAAAGAGTGTCTGAAACCTGGTATATAACAGGGAAGATTCTACTCTGTGACTTGAATGAAAACATCACAAAGCAGTTTCTGAGAATGCTTCCGTCTAGATTTTATATGAAGATATTCCCGTTTCCAACGAAACCTTCAAAGCTATCCGAATATCCACCTGCAGATTCTACAAAAAGAGTGTTTCCAAAATGCCGTATCAAAACAAAGGTTCAACTCTGTTAGTTGAGAACACACATGGCAAATAAGTTTCTGAGAATGCTTCTGTCTAGTTTTTACTTGAAGATATTTCCTTTCTCACCATAGGCCTGAAAGCGCTTGAAACATCAGCTTGCAGATACTACAGAAAGAGTGTTTCAAACCTGCTCTATGAAAGGGAATGTTCAGTCCTGTGACTTGAAGGCAAACATCAAAGAGAAGTTCCTGAGAATGCTTCTCTCTAGGTTTTATATGTAATCCCGTTTCCAACGAAATCCTCAAAGCTATCCAAATATCCACTTTCAGATTCCACAAAAAGAGTGTTTCAAAACTGCTCTGTAAAAAGAAAGGTTCATCTCTGTTAGTTGAATACACACATCACAAACAAGTTTCTGAGTATGCTTCTGTCTGGTTTTTAGGAGAAGATATTTCCTTTTTCAACATAGGCCTCAAAGCGCTGCAAATGTCCACTTCCAAATATTACAAAAAGAGTGTTTCAAACCTGCTGTATGAAGGGAAATGTTCAACTCTATGAGTTGAATGCAAACATCACAGAGAAGTTTCTGAGAATGCTTCTGTCTTGATTTCATATGAAGATATTCCCGTTTCCAACGAAACCTTCAAAGCTATCCAAATATCCACTTGCAGATTCTACAAAAAGAGTGTTTCCAAAATGTTGTATCAAAAGAAAGGTTCAACTCTGTTAGTTGAGGACACACATCGCAAATAAGTTTCTGAGAATGCTTCTGTCTAGTTTTTATTTGAAGATATTTCCTTTCTCACCATAGGCCTGAAAGCGTTTGAAATGTTCGTTTACAGAAACTACAGAAAGAGTGTTTCAAACATGCTCTATGAAAGGGAATGTTCAGTTCTGTGACGTGAATGCAAACATCACAAAGAAGTTCCTGAGAATGCTTCTCCCTAGATTTTATATGTAATCCCGTTTCCAACGAAATCCGCAAAGCTATCCAAATATCCACTTTCAGATTCCACAAAAAGAGTGTTTCAAAACTGCTCTGTAAAAAGAAAGGTTCATCTCTGTTAGTTGAATACACACATCACAAACAAGTTTCTGAGAATGCTTCTGTCTAGTTTTTATGGGAAGATATTACCTTTTTCATCATAGGCCTCAAAGCGCTGCAAATGTCCACTTCCAAATATTACAAAAAGAGTGTTTCAAACCTGCTGTATGAAGGGCAGTGTTCAACTCTATGAGTTGAATGCAAACATCACAGAGAAGTTTCTGAGAATGCTTCTGTCTTGATTTTATATGAAGATATTCCCGTTTCCAACGAAACCTTCAAAGCTATCCAAATATCCACTTGCAGATTCTACAAAAAGAGTGGTTCCAAAATGTTGTATCAAAAGAAAGGTTCAACTCTGTTAGTTGAGGACACACATCGCAAATAAGTTTCTGAGAATGCTTCTGTCTAGTTTTTATTTGAAGATATTTCCTTTCTCACCATAGGCCTGAAAGCGTTTGAAATGTCCGTTTGCAGATACTACAGAAAGAGTGTTTCAAACATGCTCTATGAAAGGGAATGTTCAGTTTTGTGACGTTAATGCAAACATCACAAAGAAGTTCCTGAGAATGCTTCTCTCTAGGTTTTATATGTAATCCCGTTTCCAACGAAATCCTCAAAGCTATCCAAATATCCACTTTCAGATTCCACAAAAAGAGTGTTTCAAAACTGCTCTGTAAAAAGAAAGGTTCATCTCTGTTAGTTGAATACACACATCACAAACAAGTTTCTGAGAATGCTTCTGTCTAGTTTTTATGGGAAGATATTTCCTTTTTCATCTTAGGCCTCAAAGCGCTCCAAATGTCCACTTCCAGGTAGTGCAGAAATAGTGTCTCAAACCTGGTATATAACAGGGAACATTCTACTCTGTGACTTGAATGAAAACATCACAAAGCAGTTTCTGAGAATGCTTCCGTCTAGATTTTATATGAAGATATTCCCGTTTCCAACGAAACCTTCAAAGCTATCCGAATATCCACCTGCAGATTCTACAAAAAGAGTGTTTCAAAAATGCCGTATCAAAACAAAGGTTCAACTCTGTTAGTTGAGAACACACATCGCAAATAAGTTTCTGAGAATGCTTCTGTCTAGTTTTTACTTGAAGATATTTCCTTTCTCACCATAGGCCTGAAAGCGCTTGAAACGTCAGCTTGCAGATACTACAGAAAGAGTGTTTCAAACCTGCTCTATGAAAGGGAATGTTCAGTTCTGTGACTTGAATGCAAACATCACAAAGAAGTTCCTGAGAATGCTTCTCTCTAGGTTTTATATGTAATCCCGTTTCCAACGAAATCCTCAAAGCTATCCAAATATCCACTTTCAGATTCCACAAAAAGAGTGTTTCAAAACTGCTCTGTAAAAAGAAAGGTTCATCTCTGTTAGTTGAATACACACATCACAAACAAGTTTCTGAGAATGCTTCTGTCTAGTTTTTATGGGAAGATATTTCCTTTTTCAACATAGGCCTCAAAGCGCTCCAAATGTCCACTTCCAGGTAGTGCAGAAAGAGTGTTTCAAACCTGCTCTATAAAAGGGAACATTCAACTCTGTGACTTGAATGCAAACATCACAAAGCACTTTCTGAGAATGCTTCCGTCTAGATTTTATATGAAGATATTCCCGTTTCCAAGGAACTCTTCCTAGCTATCTAAATATCAACTTGCAGATTCTACTAAAGGAATGTTTCCAAAATGCTGTATCCACACAAAGGTTCAACTCTGTTAATTGAGGACATACAGCACAAAGAAGTTTCTGAGAATGCTTCTGTCTAGATTTTATATGAAGATATCCCGTGTCCAACGAAATCCTCAATGGTATCAAAATATCCACTTGCAGATTCTACAAAAAGAGTGCTTCAAAACTGCTCTGTCAAAAGGAAGGTTCAACTCTGTTACTTGAGTACACACATCACAAGGAAGTTTCTGAGAATGCTTCTGTCTGGTTTTTAGGAGAAGATATTTCCTTTTTCAACATAGGCCTCAAAGCGCTGCAAATGTCCACTTCCAAATATTAGAAAAAGAGTGTTTCAAACCTGCTGTATGAAGGGAAGTGTTCAACTCTATGAGTTGAATGCAAACATCACAGAGAAGTTTCTGAGAATGCTTCTGTCTTGATTTCATATGAAGATATTCCCGTTTCCAACGAAACCTTCAAAGCTATCCAAATATCCACTTGCAGATTCTACAAAAAGAGTGTTTCCAAAATGTTGTATCAAAAGAAAGGTTCAACTCTGTTAGTTGAGGACACACATCGCAAATAAGTTTCTGAGAATGCTTCTGTCTAGTTTTTATTTGAAGATATTTCCTTTCTCACCACAGGCCTGAAAGCGCTTAAAACGTCCGCTTGCAGATACTACAGAAAGAGTGTTTCAAACCTGCTCTATGAAAGGGAATGTTCAGTTCTGTGACTTGAATGCAAACATCACAAAGAAGTTCCTGAGAATGCTTCTCTCTAGATTTTATATGTAATCCAGTTTCCAACGAAATCCTCAAAGCTATCCAAATATCCACTTTCAGATCCAACAAAAAGAGTGTTTCAAAACTGCTCTGTAAAAAGAAAGGTTCATCTCTGTTAGTTGAATACACACATCACAAACAAGTTTCTGAGAATGCTTCTGTCTAGTTTTTATGGGAAGATATTTCCTTTTTCAACATAGGCCTCAAAGCGCTCCAAACGTCCACTTCCAGGTAGTGCAGAAAGAGTGTCTCAAACCTGGTATATAACAGGGAACATTCTACTCTGTGACTTGAATGAAAACATCACAAAGCAGTTTCTGAGAATGCTTCCGTCTAGATTTTATATGAAGATATTCCCGTTTCCAACGAAACCTTCAAAGCTATCCGAATATCCACCTGCAGATTCTACAAAAAGAGTGTTTCCAAAATGCCGTATCAAAACAAAGGTTCAACTCTGTTAGTTGAGAACACACATGGCAAATAAGTTTCTGAGAATGCTTCTGTCTAGTTTTTCCTTGAAGATATTTCCTTTCTCACCATAGGCCTGAAAGCGCTTGAAACGTCAGCTTGCAGATACTACAGAAAGAGTGTTTCAAACCTGCTCTATGAAAGGGAATGTTCAGTCCTGTGACTTGAAGGCCAACATCACAAAGAAGTTCCTGAGAATGCTTCTCTCTAGGTTTTATATGTAATCCCGTTTCCAACGAAATCCTCAGAGGTATCAAAATATCCACTTGCAGATTCTACAAAAAGAGTGCTTCAAAACTGCTCTGTCAAAAGGAAGGTTCAACTCTGTTACTTGAGTACACACATCACAAGGAAGTTTCTGAGAATGCTTCTGTCTGGTTTTTAGGAGAAGATATTTCCTTTTTCAACATAGGCCTCAAAGCGCTGCAAATGTCCACTTCCAAATATTAGAAAAAGAGTGTTTCAAACCTACTGTATGAAGGGAAGTGTTCAACTCTATGAGTTGAATGCAAACATCACAGAGAAGTTTCTGAGAATGCTTCTGTCTTGATTTCATATGAAGATATTCCCGTTTCCAACGAAACCTTCAAAGTTATCCAAATATCCACTTGCAGGTTCTACAAAAAGAGTGTTTCCAAAATGTTGTATCAAAAGAAAGGTTCAACTCTGTTAGTTGAGGACACACATCGCAAATAAGTCTCTGAGAATGCTTCTGTCTAGTTTTTATTTGAAGATATTTCCTTTCTCACCACAGGCCTGAAAGCGCTTAAAACGTCCGCTTGCAGATACTACAGAAAGAGTGTTTCAAACCTGCTCTATGAAAGGGAATGTTCAGTTCTGTGACTTGAATGCAAACATCACAAAGAAGTTCCTGAGAATGCTTCTGTCTAGATTTTATATGAAGATATACCGTTTCCAAAGAAATCCTCAAAGGTATCCAAATATCTACTTCCAGATTCTACAAAAAGACTGTTTCAAAACGGCTCTGTCCAAAGTAAGGTTCAACTCTGTTACTTGAGTACACACATCACAAGGAAGTTTCTGAGAATGCTTCTGTCTGGTTTTTAGGAGAAGATATTTCCTTTTTCAACATAGGCCTCAAAGCGCTGCAAATGTCCACTTCCAAATATTACAAAAAGAGTGTTTCAAACCTGCTGTATGAAGGGAAGTGTTCAACTCTATGAGTTGAATGCAAACATCACAGAGAAGTTTCTGAGAATGCTTCTGTCTTGATTTTATATGAAGATATTCCCGTTTCCAACGAAACCTTCAAAGCTATTCAAATATCCACTTGCAGATTCTACAAAAAGAGTGGTTCCAAAATGTTGAATCAAAAGAAAGGTTCAACTCTGATAGTTGAGGACACACATCGCAAATAAGTTTCTGAGAATGCTTCTGTCTAGTTTTTATTTGAAGATATTTCCTTTCTCACCATAGGCCTGAAAGCGTTTGAAATGTCCGCTTGCAGATACTACAGAAAGAGTGTTTCAAACATGCTCTATGAAAGGGAATGTTCAGTTCTGTGACGTGAATGCAAACATCACAAAGAAGTTCCTGAGAATGCTTCTCTCTAGATTTTATATGTAATCCCGTTTCCAACGAAATCCTCAAAGCTATCCAAATATCCACTTTCAGATTCCACAAAAAGAGTGTTTCAAAACTGCTCTGTAAAAAGAAAGGTTCATCTCTGTTAGTTGAATACACACATCACAAACAAGTTTCTGAGAATGCTTCTGTCTAGTTTTTATGGGAAGATATTTCCTTTTTCATCATAGGCCTCAAAGCGCTCCAAATGTCCACTTCCAGATAGTGCAGAAAGAGTGTCTCAAACCTGGTATATAAAAGGGAACATTCTACTCTGTGACTTCAATGAAAACATCACAAAGCAGTTTCTGAGAATGCTTCCGTCTAGATTTTATATGAAGATATTCCCGTTTCCAACGAAACCTTCAAAGCTATCCGAATATCCACCTGCAGATTCTACAAAAAGAGTGTTTCCAAAATGCCGTATCAAAACAAAGGTTCAACTCTGTTAGTTGAGAACACACATGGCAAATAAGTTTCTGAGAATGCTTCTGTCTGGTTTTTAGGAGAAGATATCTCCTTTTTCACCATAGGCTTCAAAGCGCTGCCAATGTCCACTTCCAAATATTACAAAAAGAGTATTTCAAACCAGCTCTATGAAAGGAAGTGTTCAACTCTATGAGTTGAATGCAAGCATCACAGAAAAGTTTCTGAGAATGCTTCCGTCTAGATTTTATGTGAAGATATTCTCGTTTCCAAGGAAATCTTCCTAGCTATCTAAATATCAACTTGCAGATTCTACTAAAGGAGTGTTTCCAAAGTGCTGTATCCGCACAAAGGTTCAACTCTGTTAATTGAGGACATACAGCACAAAGAAGTTTCTGAGAATGCTTCTGTCTAGTTTTTATTTGAAGATATTTCCTTTCTCACCACAGGCCTGAAAGCGCTTAAAACGTCCGCTTGCAGATACTAAAGAAAGAGTGTTTCAAACCTGCTCTATGAAAGGGAATGTTCAGTTCTGTGACTTGAATGCAAACATCACAAAGAAGTTCCTGAGAATGCTTCTCCCTAGATTTTATATGTAATCCCGTTTCCAACGAAATCCTCAAAGCTATCCAAATATCCACTTTCAGATTCCACAAAAAGAGTGTTTCAAAACTGCTCTGTAAAAAGAAAGGTTCATCTCTGTTAGTTGAATACACACATCACAAACAAGTTTCTGAGAATGCTTCTGTCTGGTTTTTAGGAGAAGATATTTCCTTTTTCAACATAGGCCTCAAAGCGCTGCAAATGTCCACTTCCAAATATTACAAAAAGAGTGTTTCAAACCTGCTGTATGAAGGGAAGTGTTCAACTCTATGAGTTGAATGCAAACATCACAGAGAAGTTTCTGAGAATGCTTCTGTCTTGATTTCATATGAAGATATTCCCGTTTCCAACGAAACCTTCAAAGCTATCCAAATATCCACTTGCAGATTCTACAAAAAGAGTGTTTCCAAAATGTTGTATCAAAAGAAAGGTTCAACTCTGTTAGTTGAGGACACACATCGCAAATAAGTTTCTGAGAATGCTTCTGTCTAGTTTTTATTTGAAGATATTTCCTTTCTCACCACAGGCCTGAAAGCGCTTAAAACGTCCGCTTGCAGATACTACAGAAAGAGTGTTTCAAACATGCTCTATGAAAGGGAATGTTCAGTTCTGTGACTTGAATGCAAACATCACAAAGAAGTTCCTGAGAATGCTTCTCCCTAGATTTTATATGTAATCCCGTTTCCAACGAAATCCGCAAAGCTATCCAAATATCCACTTTCAGATTCCACAAAAAGAGTGTTTCAAAACTGCTCTGTAAAAAGAAAGGTTCATCTCTGTTAGTTGAATACACACATCACAAACAAGTTTCTGAGAATGCTTCTGTCTAGTTTTTATGGGAAGATATTTCCTTTTTCATCATAAGCCTCAAAGCGCTGCAAAAGTCCACTTCCAAATATTACAAAAAGAGTGTTTCAAACCTGCTGTATGAAGGGAAGTGTTCAACTCTATGAGTTGAATGCAAACATCACAGAGAAGTTTCTGAGAATGCTTCTGTCTTGATTTTATATGAAGATATTCCCGTTTCCAACGAAACCTTCAAAGCTATTCAAATATCCACTTGCAGATTCTACAAAAAGAGTGTTTCCAAAATGTTGTATCAAAAGAAAGGTTCAACTCTGTTAGTTGAGGACACACATCGCAAATAAGTTTCTGAGAATGCTTCTGTCTAGTTTTTATTTGAAGATATTCCCGTTTCCAACGAAACCTTCAAAGCTATTCAAATATCCACTTGCAGATTCTATAAAAAGTGTGTTTCCAAAATGTTGTATCAAAAGAAAGGTTCAACTCTGTTAGTTGAGGACACACATCGCAAATAAGTTTCTGAGAATGCTTCTGTCTAGTTTTTATTTGAAGATATTTCCTTTCTCACCATAGGCCTGAAAGCGTTTGAAATGTCCGTTTGCAGATACTACAGAAAGAGTGTTTCAAACATGCTCTATGAAAGGGAATGTTCAGTTCTGTGACGTGAATGCAAACATCACAAAGAAGTTCCTGAGAATGCTTCTCTCTAGATTTTATATGTAATCCCGTTTCCAACGAAATCCTCAAAGCTATCCAAATATCCACTTTCAGATTCCACAAAAAGAGTGATTCAAAACTGCTCTGTAAAAAGAAAGGTTCATCTCTGTTAGTTGAATACACACATCACAAACAAGTTTCTGAGAATGCTTCTGTCTAGTTTTCATGGGAAGATATTTCCTTTTTCATCATAGGCCTCAAAGCGCTGCAAATGTCCACTTCCAGGTAGTGCAGAAAGAGTGTCTCAAACCTGGTATATAACAGGGAACATTCTACTCTGTGACTTGAATGAAAACATCACAAAGCAGTTTCTGAGAATGCTTCCGTCTAGATTTTATATGAAGATATTCCCGTTTCCAACGAAACCTTCAAAGCTATCCGAATATCCACCTGCAGATTCTACAAAAAGAGTGTTTCCAAAATGCCATATCAAAACAAAGGTTCAACTCTGTTAGTTGAGAACACACATCGCAAATAAGTTTCTGAGAATGCTTCTGTCTAGTTTTTACTTGAAGATATTTCCTTTCTCACCATAGGCCTGAAAGCGCTTGAAACGTCAGCTTGCAGATACTACAGAAAGAGTGTTTCAAACCTGCTCTATGAAAGGGAATGTTCAGTTCTGTGACTTGAATGCAAACATCACAAAGAAGTTCCTGAGAATGCTTCTCTCTAGGTTTTATATGTAATCCCGTTTCCAACGAAATCCTCAAAGCTATCCAAATATCCACTTTCAGATTCCACAAAAAGAGTGTTTCAAAACTGCTCTGTAAAAAGAAAGGTTCATCTCTGTTAGTTGAATACACACATCACAAACAAGTTTCTGAGAATGCTTCTGTCTAGTTTTTATGGGAACATATTTCCTTTTTCAACATAGGCCTCAAAGCGCTCCAAATATCCACTTCCAGGTAGTGCAGAAAGAGTGTTTCAAACCTGCTCTATAAAAGGGAATATTCAACTCTGTGACTTGAATGCAAACATCACAAAGCACTTTCTGAGAATGCTTCCGTCTAGATTTTATATGAAGTATATTCCCGTTTCCAACGAAACCTTCAAAGCTATCCGAATATCCACCTGCAGATTCTACAAAAAGAGTGTTTCCAAAATGCCATATCAAAACAAAGGTTCAACTCTGTTAGTTGAGAACACACATCGCAAATAAGTTTCTGAGAATGCTTCTGTCTAGTTTTTACTTGCAGAAATTTCCTTTCTCACCATAGGCTTGAAAGCGCTTGAAACGTCAGCTTGCAGATACTACAGAAAGAGTGTTTCAAACCTGATCTATGAAAGGGAATGTTCAGTTCTGTGACTTGAATGCAAACATCGCAAAGTAGTTCCTGAGAATGCTTCTCTCTAGGTTTTATATGTAATCCCGTTTCCAACGAAATCCTCAAAGCTATCCAAATATCCACTTTCAGATTCCACAAAAAGAGTGTTTCAAAACTGCTCTGTAAAAAGAAAGGTTCATCTCTGTTAGTTGAATACACACATCACAAACAAGTTTCTGAGAATGCTTCTGTCTAGTTTTTATGGGAAGATATTTCCTTTTTCAACATAGGCCTCAAAGCCCTCCAAATGTCCACTTCCAGGTAGTGCAGAAAGAGTGTTTCAAACCTGCTCTATAAAAGGGAATATTCAACTCTGTGACTTGAATGCAAACATCACAAAGCACTTTCTGAGAATGCTTCCATCTAGATTTTATATGAAGATATTCCCGTTTCCAAGGAAATCTTCCTAGCTATCTAAATATCAACTTGCAGATTCTACTAAAGGAATGTTTCCAAAATGCTGTATCCACACAAAGGTTCAACTCTGTTAATTGAGGACATACAGCACAAAGAAGTTTCTGAGAATGCTTCTGTCTAGATTTTATATGAAGATATCCCGTGTCCAACGAAATCCTCAAAGGTATCAAAATATCCACTTGCAGATTCTACAAAAAGAGTGCTTCAAAACTGCTCTGTCAAAAGGAAGGTTCAACTCTGTTACTTGAGTACACACATCACAAGGAAGTTTCTGAGAATGCTTCCGTCTGGTTTTTAGGAGAAGATATTTCCTTTTTCAACATAGGCCTCAAAGCGCTGCAAATGTCCACTTCCAAATATTAGAAAAAGAGTGTTTCAAACCTGCTGTATGAAGGGAAGTGTTCAACTCTATGAGTTGAATGCAAACATCACAGAGAAGTTTCTGAGAATGCTTCTGTCTTGATTTTATATGAAGATGTTCCCGTTTCCAACGAAACCTTCAAAGCTATCCAAATATCCACTTGCAGATTCCACAAAAAGAGTGTTTCCAAAATGTTGTATCAAAAGAAAGGTTCAACTCTGTTAGTTGAGGATACACATCGCAAATAAGTTTCTGAGAATGCTTCTGTCTAGTTTTTATTTGAAGATATTTCCTTTCTCACCATAGGCCTGAAAGCGTTTGAAATGTCCGTTTGCAGATACTACAGAAAGAGTGTTTCAAACATGGTCTATGAAAGGGAATGTTCTGTTATGTGACATGAATGCAAACATCACAAAGAAGTTCCTGAGAATGCTTCTCCCTAGATTTTATATGTAATCCCGTTTCCAACGAAATCCGCAAAGCTATCCAAATATCCACTTTCAGATTCCACAAAAAGAGTGTTTCAAAACTGCTCTGTAAAAAGAAAGGTTCATCTCTGTTAGTTGAATACACACATCACAAACAAGTTTCTGAGAATGCTTCTGTCTGGTTTTTAGGAGAAGATATTTCCTTTTTCAACATAGGCCTCAAAGCGCTGCAAATGGCCACTTCCAAATATTACAAAAAGAGTGTTTCAAACCTGCTGTATGAAGGGAAGTGTTCAACTCTATGAGTTGAATGCAAACATCACAGAGAAGTTTCTGAGAATGCTTCTGTGTTGATTTTATATGAATATATTCCCGTTTCCAACGAAACCTTCAAAGCTATCCAAATATCCACTTGCAGATTCTACAAAAAGAGTGGTTCCAAAATGTTGTATCAAAAGAAAGGTTCAACTCTGTTAGTTGAGGACACACATCGCAAATAAGTTTCTGAGAATGCTTCTGTCTAGTTTTTATTTGAAGATATTTCCTTTCTCACCATAGGCCTGAAAGCGCTTGGAATGTCCGTTTTCAGATACTACAGAAAGAGTGTTTCAAACATCCTCTATGAAAGGGAATGTTCAGTTCTGTGACGTGAATGCAAACATCACAAAGAAGTTCCTGAGAATGCTTCTCTCTAGATTTTATATGTAATCCCGTTTCCAACGAAATCCTCAAAGCTATCCAAATATCGACTTTCAGATTCCACAAAAAGAGTGTTTCAAAACTGCTCTGTAAAAAGAAAGGTTCATCTCTGTTAGTTGAATACACACATCACAAACAAGTTTCTGAGAATGCTTCTGTCTAGTTTTTATGGGAAGATATTACCTTTTTCATCATAGGCCTCAAAGCGCTGCAAATGTCCACTTCCAAATATTACAAAAAGAGTGTTTCAAACCTGCTGTATGAAGGGAAGTGTTCAACTCTATGAGTTGAATGCAAACATCACAGAGAAGTTTACTGAGAATGCTTTCTGTCTTGTTTTTATATGAAGATATTCCCGTTTCCAACGAAACCTTCAAAGCTATCCAAATATCCACTTGCAGATTCTACAAAAAGAGTGGTTCCAAAATGTTGTATCAAAAGAAAGGTTCAACTCTGTTAGTTGAGGACACACATCGCAAATAAGTTTCTGAGAATTCTTCTGTCTAGTTTTTATTTGAAGATATTTCCTTTCTTACCATAGGCCTGAAAGCGCTTGAAATGTCCGTTTGCAGATACTAGAGAAAGAGTGTTTCAAACATGCTCTATGAAAGGGAATGTTCAGTTCTGTGACGTGAATGCAAACATCACAAAGAAGTTCCTGAGAATGCTTCTCTCTAGATTTTATATGTAATCCCGTTTCCAACGAAATCCTCAAAGCTATCCAAATATCCACTGTCAGATTCCACAAAAAGAGTGTTTCAAAACTGCTCTGTTAAAAGAAAGGTTCATATCTGTTAGTTGAATACACACATCACAAACAAGTTTCTGAGAATGCTTCTGTCTAGTTTTTATGGGAAGATATTTCCTTTTTCATCATAGGCCTCAAAGCGCTCCAAATGTCCACTTCCAGATAGTGCAGAAAGAGTGTCTCAAACCTGGTATATAAAAGGGAACATTCTACTCTGTGACTTGAATGAAAACATCACAAAGCAGTTTCTGAGAATGCTTCCGTCTAGATTTTCTATGAAGATATTCCCGTTTCCAACGAAACCTTCAAAGCTATCCGAATATCCACCTGCAGATTCTACAAAAAGAGTGTTTCCAAAATGCCGTATCAAAACAAAGGTTCAACTCTGTTAGTTGAGAACACACATGGGAAATAAGTTTCTGAGAATGCTTCTGTCTAGTTTTTACTTGAAGATATTTCCTTTCTCACCATAGGCCTGAAAGCGCTTGAAACGTCCGCTTGCAGATACTACAGAAAGAGTGTTTCAAACATGCTCTATGAAAGGGAATGTTCAGTTCTGTGACTTGAATGCAAACATCACAAAGAAGTTCCTGAGAATGCTTCTGTCTAGATTTTATATGAAGATATCCCGTGTCCAACGAAATCCTCAAAGGTATCAAAATATCCACTTGCAGATTCTACAAAAAAAATGCTTCAAAACTGCTCTGTCAAAAGGAAGGTTCAACTCTGTTACTTGAGTACACACATCACAAGGAAGTTTCTGAGAATGCTTCCTGTCTGGTTTTTAGGAGAAGATATTTCCTTTTTCAACATAGGCCTCAAAGCGCTGCAAATGTCCACTTCCAAATATTAGAAAAAGAGTGTTTCAAACCTGCTGTATGAAGGGAAGTGTTCAACTCTATGAGTTGAATGCAAACATCACAGAGAAGTTTCTGAGAATGCTTCTGTCTTGATTTCATATGAAGATATTCCCGTTTCCAACGAAACCTTCAAAGCTATCCAAATATCCACTTGCAGATTCTACAAAAAGAGTGTTTCCAAAATGTTGTATCAAAAGAAAGGTTCAACTCTGTTAGTTGAGGACACACATCGCAAATAAGTTTCTGAGAATGCTTCTGTCTAGTTTTTATTTGAAGATATTTCCTTTCTCACCACAGGCCTGAAAGCGCTTAAAACGTCCGCTTGCAGATACTACAGAAAGAGTGTTTCAAACCTGCTCTATGAAAGGGAATGTTCAGTTCTGTGACTTGAATGCAAACATCACAAAGAAGTTCCTGAGAATGCTTCTCCCTAGATTTTATATGTAATCCCGTTTCCAACGAAATCCGCAAAGCTATCCAAATATCCACTTTCAGATTCCACAAAAAGAGTGTTTCAAAACTGCTCTGTAAAAAGAAAGGTTCATCTCTGTTAGTTGAATACACACATCACAAACAAGTTTCTGAGAATGCTTCTGTCTAGTTTTTATGGGAAGATATTACCTTTTTCATCATAGGCCTCAAAGCGCTGCAAATGTCCACTTCCAAATATTACAAAAAGAGTGTTTCAAACCTGCTGTATGAAGGGAAGTGTTCAACTCTATGAGTTGAATGCAAGCATCACAGAGAAGTTTCTGAGAATGCTTCCGTCTAGATTTTATATGAAGATATTCCCGTTTCCAACGAAACCTTCAAAGCTATCCGAATATCCACCTGCAGATTCTACAAAAAGAGTGTTTCCAAAATGCCATATCAAAACAAAGGTTCAACTCTGTTAGTTGAGAACACACATCGCAAATAAGTTTCTGAGAATGGTTCTGTCTAGTTTTTACTTGAAGATATTTCCTTTCTCACCATAGGCCTGAAAGCGCTTGAAACGTCAGCTTGCAGATACTACAGAAAGAGTGTTTCAAACCTGCTCTATGAAAGGGAATGTTGAGTTCTGTGACTTGAATGCAAACATCACAAAGAAGTTCCTGAGAATGCTTCTCTCTAGGTTTTATATGTAATCCCGTTTCCAACGAAATCCTCAAAGCTATCCAAATATCCACTTTCAGATTCCACAAAAAGAGTGTTTCAAAACTGCTCTGTAAAAAGAAAGGTTCATCTCTGTTAGTTGAATACACACATCACAAACAAGTTTCTGAGAATGCTTCTGTCTAGTTTTTATGGGAAGATATTTCCTTTTTCAACATAGGCCTCAAAGCGCTCCAAACGTCCACTTCCAGGTAGTGCAGAAAGAGTGTCTCAAACCTGGTATATAACAGGGAACATTCTACTCTGTGACTTGAATGAAAACATCACAAAGCAGTTTCTGAGAATGCTTCCGTCTAGATTTTATATGAAGATATTCCCGTTTCCAACGAAACCTTCAAAGCTATCCGAATATCCACCTGCAGATTCTACAAAAAGAGTGTTTCCAAAATGCCGTATCAAAACAAAGGTTCAACTCTGTTAGTTGAGAACACACATGGCAAATAAGTTTCTGAGAATGCTTCTGTCTAGTTTTTACTTGAAGATATTTCCTTTCTCACCATAGGCCTGAAAGCGCTTGAAACGTCAGCTTGCAGATACTACAGAAAGAGTGTTTCAAACCTGCTCTATGAAAGGGAATGTTCAGTCCTGTGACTTGAAGGCAAACATCACAAAGAAGTTCCTGAGAATGCTTCTCTCTAGGTTTTATATGTAATCCCGTTTCCAACGAAATCCTCAAAGCTATCCAAATATCCACTTTCAGATTCCACAAAAAGAGTGTTTCAAAACTGCTCTGTAAAAAGAAAGGTTCATCTCTGTTAGTTGAATACACACATCACAAACAAGTTTCTGAGAATGCTTCTGTCTAGTTTTTATGGGAAGATATTCCCTTTTTCAACATAGGCCTCAAAGCGCTCCAAATGTCCACTTCCAGGTAGTGCAGAAAGAGTGTTTCAAACCTGCTCTATAAAAGGGAATATTCAACTCTGTGACTTGAATGCAAACATCACAAAGCACTTTACTGAGAATGCTTCTGTCTTGATTTCATATGAAGTATATTCCCGTTTCCAACGAAACCTTCAAAGCTATCCAAATATCCACTTGCAGATTCTACAAAAAGAGTGTTTCCAAAATGTTGTATCAAAAGAAAGGTTCAACTCTGTTAGTTGAGGACACACATCGCAAATAAGTTTCTGAGAATGCTTCTGTCTAGTTTTTATGGGAAGATATTTCCTTTTTCATCATAGGCCTCAAAGCGCTCCAAATGTCCACTTCCAGATAGCGCAGAAAGAGTGTCTCAAACCTGGTATATAAAAGGGAACATTCTACTCTGTGACTTCAATGGAAACATCACAAAGCAGTTTCTGAGAATGCTTCCGTCTAGATTTTATATGAAGATATTCCCGTTTCCAACGAAACCTTCAAAGCTATCCGAATATCCACCTGCAGATTCTCCAAAAAGAGTGTTTCCAAAATGCCTTATCAAAACAAAGGTTCAACTCTGTTAGTTGAGAACACACATGGCAAATAAGTTTCTGAGAATGCTTCTGTCTAGTTTTTACTTGAAGATATTTCCTTTCTCACCATAGGCCTGAAAGCGCTTGAAACGTCAGCTTGCAGATACTACAGAAAGAGTGTTTCAAACCTGCTCTATGAAAGGGAATGTTCAGTCCTGTGACTTGAAGGCAAACATCAAAGAGAAGTTCCTGAGAATGCTTCTCTCTAGGTTTTATATGTAATCCCGTTTCCAACGAAATCCTCAAAGCTATCCAAATATCCACTTTCAGATTCCACAAAAAGAGTGTTTCAAAACTGCTCTGTAAAAAGAAAGGTTCATCTCTGTTAGTTGAATACACACATCACAAACAAGTTTCTGAGAATGCTTCTGTCTATTTTCTATGGGAAGATATTTCCTTTTTCAACATAGGCCTCAAAGCGCTCCAAATGTCCACTTCCAGATAGTGCAGAAAGAGTGTTTCAAACCTGCTCTATAAAAGGGAATATTCAACTCTGTGACTTGAATGCAAACATCACAAAGCACTTTCTGAGAATGCTTCCGTCTAGATTTTATATGAAGATATTCCCGTTTCCAAGGAAATCTTCCTAGCTATCTAAATATCAACTTGCAGATTCTACTAAAGGAATGTTTCCAAAATGCTGTATCCACACAAAGGTTCAACTCTGTTAATTGAGGACATACAGCACAAAGAAGTTTCTGAGAATGCTTCTGTCTAGTTTTTATTTGAAGATATTTCCTTTCTCACCACAGGCCTGAAAGCGCTTAAAACGTCCGCTTGCAGATACTACAGAAAGAGTGTTTCAAACCTGCTCTATGAAAGGGAATGTTCAGTTCTGTGACTTGAATGCAAACATCACAAAGAAGTTCCTGAGAATGCTTCTCTCTAGGTTTTATATGTAATCCCGTTTCCAACGAAATCCTCAAAGCTATCCAAATATCCACTTTCAGATTCCACAAAAAGAGTGTTTCAAAACTGCTCTGTAAAAAGAAAGGTTCATCTCTGTTAGTTGAATACACACATCACAAACAAGTTTCTGAGAATGCTTCTGTCTGGTTTTTAGGAGAAGATATTTCCTTTTTCAACATAGGCCTCAAAGCGCTGCAAATGTCCACTTCCAAATATTACAAAAAGAGTGTTTCAAACCTGCTGTATGAAGGGAAGTGTTCAACTCTATGAGTTGAATGCAAACATCACAGAGAAGTTTCTGAGAATGCTTCTGTCTTGATTTTATATGAAGATATTCCCGTTTCCAACGAAACCTTCAAAGCTATTCAAATATCCACTTGCAGATTCTACAAAAAGAGTGTTTCCAAAATGTTGTATCAAAAGAAAGGTTCAACTCTGTTAGTTGAGGACACACATCGCAAATAAGTTTCTGAGAATGCTTCTGTCTAGTTTTTATTTGAAGATATTTCCTTTCTCACCATAGGCCTGAAAGCGTTTGAAATGTCCGTTTGTAGATACTACAGAAAGAGTGTTTCAAACATGCTCTATGAAAGGGAATGTTCAGTTCTGTGACGTGAATGCAAACATCACAAAGAAGTTCCTGAGAATGCTTCTCTCTAGATTTTATATGTAATCCCGTTTCCAACGAAATCCTCAAAGCTATCCAAATATCCACTTTCAGATTCCACAAAAAGAGTGTTTCAAAACTGCTCTGTAAAAAGAAAGGTTCATCTCTGTTAGTTGAATACACACATCACAAACAAGTTTCTGAGAATGCTTCTGTCTAGTTTTTATGGGAAGATATTTCCTTTTTCATCATAGGCCTCAAAGCGCTGCAAATGTCCACTTCCAGGTAGTGCAGAAAGAGTGTCTCAAACCTGGTATATAACAGGGAACATTCTACTCTGTGACTTGAATGAAAACATCACAAAGCAGTTTCTGAGAATGCTTCCGTCTAGATTTTATATGAAGATATTCCCGTTTCCAACGAAACCTTCAAAGCTATCCGAATATCCACCTGCAGATTCTACAAAAAGAGTGTTTCCAAAATGCCATATCAAAACAAAGGTTCAACTCTGTTAGTTGAGAACACACATCGCAAATAAGTTTCTGAGAATGCTTCTGTCTAGTTTTTACTTGAAGATATTTCCTTTCTCACCATAGGCCTGAAAGCGCTTGAAACGTCAGCTTGCAGATACTACAGAAAGAGTGTTTCAAACCTGCTCTATGAAAGGGAATGTTGAGTTCTGTGACTTGAATGCAAACATCACAAAGAAGTTCCTGAGAATGCTTCTCTCTAGGTTTTATATGTAATCCCGTTTCCAACGAAATCCTCAAAGCTATCCAAATATCCACTTTCAGATTCCACAAAAAGAGTGTTTCAAAACTGCTCTGTAAAAAGAAAGGTTCATCTCTGTTAGTTGAATACACACATCACAAACAAGTTTCTGAGAATGCTTCTGTCTAGTTTTTATGGGAAGATATTTCCTTTTTCATCATAGGCCTCAAAGCGCTGCAAATGTCCACTTCCAGGTAGTGCAGAAAGAGTGTCTCAAACCTGGTATATAACAGGGAACATTCTACTCTGTGACTTGAATGAAAACATCACAAAGCAGTTTCTGAGAATGCTTCCGTCTAGATTTTATATGAAGATATTCCCGTTTCCAAGGAAATCTTCCTAGCTATCTAAATATCAACTTGCAGATTCTACTAAAGGAATGTTTCCAAAATGCTGTATCCACACAAAGGTTCAACTCTGTTAATTGAGGACATACAGCACAAAGAAGTTTCTGAGAATGTTTCTGTCTAGATTTCATATGAAGATATCCCGTGTCCAACGAAATCCTCAAAGGTATCAAAATATCCACTTGCAGATTCTACAAAAAGAGTGCTTCAAAACTGCTCTGTCAAAAGGAAGGTTCAACTCTGTTACTTGAGTACACACATCACAAGGAAGTTTCTGAGAATGCTTCTGTCTGGTTTTTAGGAGAAGATATTTCCTTTTTCAACATAGGCCTCAAAGCGCTGCAAATGTCCACTTCCAAATATTACAAAAAGAGTGTTTCAAACCTGCTGTATGAAGGGAAGTGTTCAACTCTATGAGTTGAATGCAAACATCACAGAGAAGTTTCTGAGAATGCTTCTGTCTTGATTTCATATGAAGATATTCCCGTTTCCAACGAAACCTTCAAAGCTATCCAAATATCCACTTGCAGATTCTACAAAAAGAGTGTTTCCAAAATGTTGTATCAAAAGAAAGGTTCAACTCTGTTAGTTGAGGACACACATCGCAAATAAGTTTCTGAGAATGCTTCTGTCTAGTTTTTACTTGAAGATATTTCCTTTCTCACCATAGGCCTGAAAGCGTTTGAAATGTCCGTTTGCAGATACTACAGAAAGAGTGTTTCAAACATGCTCTATGAAAGGGAATGTTCAGTTCTGTGACGTGAATGCAAACATCACAAAGAAGTTCCTGAGAATGCTTCTCTCTAGATTTTATATGTAATCCCGTTTCCAACGAAATCCTCAAAGCTATCCAAATATCCACTTTCAGATTCCACAAAAAGAGTGTTTCAAAACTGCTCTGTAAAAAGAAAGGTTCATCTCTGTTAGTTGAATACACACATCACAAACAAGTTTCTGAGAATGCTTCTGTCTAGTTTTTATGGGAAGATATTTCCTTTTTCATCATAGGCCTCAAAGCGCTGCAAATGTCCACTTCCAAATATTACAAAAAGAGTGTTTCAAACCTGCTGTATGAAGGGAAGTGTTCAACTCTATGAGTTGAATGCAAACATCACAGAGAAGTTTCTGAGAATGCTTCCGTCTAGATTTCATATGAAGATATTCCCGTTTCCAACGAAACCTTCAAAGCTATCCGAATATCCACCTGCAGATTCTACAAAAAGAGTGTTTCCAAAATGCCATATCAAAACAAAGGTTCAACTCTGTTAGTTGAGAACACACATCGCAAATAAGTTTCTGAGAATGCTTCTGTCTAGTTTTTACTTGAAGATATTTCCTTTCTCACCATAGGCCTGAAAGCGCTTGAAACGTCAGCTTGCAGATACTACAGAAAGAGTGTTTCAAACCTGCTCTATGAAAGGGAATGTTCAGTTCTGTGACTTGAATGCAAACATCACAAAGAAGTTCCTGAGAATGCTTCTCTCTAGGTTTTATATGTAATCCCGTTTCCAACGAAATCCTCAAAGCTATCCAAATATCCACTTTCAGATTCCACAAAAAGAGTGTTTCAAAACTGCTCTGTAAAAAGAAAGGTTCATCTCTGTTAGTTGAATACACACATCACAAACAAGTTTCTGAGAATGCTTCTGTCTAGTTTTTATGGGAAGATATTTCCTTTTTCAACATAGGCCTCAATGCGCTCCAAATGTCCACTTCCAGGTAGTGCAGAAAGAGTGTTTCAAACCTGCTCTATAAAAGGGAATATTCAACTCTGTGACTTGAATGCAAACATCACAAAGCACTTTCTGAGAATACTTCCGTCTAGATTTTATATGAAGATATTCCCGTTTCCAAGGAAATCTTCCTAGCTATCTAAATATCAACTTGCAGATTCTACTAAAGGAATGTTTCCAGAATGCTGTATCAAAACAAAGGTTCAACTCTGTTAATTGAGGACATACAGCACAAAGAAGTTTCTGAGAATGCTTCTGTCTAGATTTTATATGAAGATATCCCGTGTCCAACGAAATCCTCAAAGGTATCAAAATATCCACTTGCAGATTCTACAAAAAGAGTGTTTCAAAACTGCTCTGTCAAAAGGAAAGTTCATCTCTGTTACTTGAGTACACACATCACAAGGAAGTTTCTGAGAATGCTTCTGTCTGGTTTTTAGGAGAAGATATTTCCTTTTTCAACATAGGCCTCAAAGCGCTGCCAATGTCCACTTCCAAATATTACAAAAAGAGTGTTTCAAACCTGCTCTATGAAAGGAAGTGTTCCACTCTATGAGTTGAATGCAAACATCACAGAGAAGTTTCTGAGAATGCTTCCGTCTAGATTTTATATGAAGAGATTCCCGTTTCCAACGAAATCTTCCTATCTAAATATCAACTTGCAGATACTACTAAAGGAATGTTTCCAAAATGCTGTATCCAAACAAAGGTTCAACTCTGTTAGTTGAGGACACACATCGCAAATAAGTTTCTGAGAATGCTTCTGTCTAGTTTTTATTTGAAGATATTTCCTTTCTCACCACAGGCCTGAAAGCGCTTGAAATGTCCGGTTGCAGATACTACAGAAAGAGTGTTTCAAACATGCTCTATGAAAGGGAATGTTCAGTTCTGTGACTTGAATGCAAACATCACAAAGAAGTTCCTGAGAATGCTTCTCTCTAGATTTTGTATGTAATCCCGTTTCCAACGAAATCCTCAAAGGTATCCAAATATCCACTTTCAGATTCCACAAAAAGAGTGTTTTAAAACTGCTCTGTAAAAAGAAAGGTTCATCTCTGTTAGTTGAATACACACATCACAAACAAGCTTCTGAGAATGCTTCTGTCTAGTTTTTATGGGAAGATATTACCTTTTTCATCATAGGCCTCAAAGCGCTGCAAATGTCCACTTCCAAATATTACAAAAAGAGTGTTTCAAACCTCCTGTATGAAGGGAAGCGTTCAACTCTATGAGTTGAATGCAAACATCACAGAGAAGTTTCTGAGAATGCTTCCGTCTAGATTTTATGTGAAGATATTCCCGTTTCCAACGAAACCTTCAAAGCTATCCCAATATCCACCTGCAGATTCTACAAAAAGAGTGTTTCCAAAATGCCGTATCAAAACAAAGGTTCAACTCTGTTAGTTGAGAACACACATGGCAAATAAGTTTCTGAGAATGCTTCTGTCTAGTTTTTACTTGAAGATATTTCCTTTCTCACCATAGGCCTGAAAGCGCTTGAAACGTCAGCTTGCAGATACTACAGAAAGAGTGTTTCAAACCTGCTCTATGAAAGGGAATGTTCAGTCCTGTGACTTGAAGGCAAACATCACAAAGAAGTTCCTGAGAATGCTTCTCTCTAGGTTTTATATGTAATCCCGTTTCCAACGAAATCCTCAAAGCTATCCAAATATCCACTTTCAGATTCCACAAAAAGAGTGTTTCAAAACTGCTCTGTAAAAAGAAAGGTTCATCTCTGTTAGTTGAATACACACATCACAAACAAGTTTCTGAGAATGCTTCTGTCTAGTTTTTATGGGAAGATATTTCGTTTTTCAACATAGGCCTCAAAGCGCTCCAAATGTCCACTTCCAGGTAGTGCAGAAAGAGTGTTTCAAACCTGCTCTATAAAAGGGAATATTCAACTCTGTGACTTGAATGCAAACATCACAAAGCACTTTCTGAGAATGCTTCCGTCTAGATTTTATATGAAGATATTCCCGTTTCCAAGGAAATCTTCCTAGCTATCTAAATATCAACTTGCAGATTCTACTAAAGGAATGTTTCCAAAATGCTGTATCCACACAAAGGTTCAACTCTGTTAATTGAGGACATACAGCACAAAGAAGTTTCTGAGAATGCTTCTGTCTAGATTTTATATGAAGATATCCCGTGTCCAACGAAATCCTCAAAGGTATCAAAATATCCACTTGCAGATTCTACAAAAAGAGTGCTTCAAAACTGCTCTGTCAAAAGGAAGGTTCAACTCTGTTACTTGAGTACACACATCACAAGGAAGTTTCTGAGAATGCTTCTGTCTGGTTTTTAGGAGAAGATATTTCCCTTTTCAACATAGGCCTCAAAGCGCTGCAAATGTCCACTTCCAAATATTAGAAAAAGAGTGTTTCAAACCTGCTGTATGAAGGGAAGTGTTCAACTCTATGAGTTGAATGCAAACATCACAGAGAAGTTTCTGAGAATGCTTCTGTCTTGATTTCATATGAAGATATTCCCGTTTCCAACGAAACCTTCAAAGCTATCCAAATATCCACTTGCAGATTCTACAAAAAGAGTGTTTCCAAAATGTTGTATCAAAAGAAAGGTTCAACTCTGTTAGTTGAGGACACACATCGCAAATAAGTTTCTGAGAATGCTTCTGTCTAGTTTTTATTTGAAGATATTTCTTTTCTCACCACAGGCCTGAAAGCGCTTAAAACGTCCGCTTGCAGATACTACAGAAAGAGTGTTTCAAACCTGCTCTATGAAAGGGAATGTTCAGTTCTGTGACTTGAATACAAACATCACAAAGAAGTTCCTGATAATGCTTCTCCCTAGATTTTATATGTAATCCCGTTTCCAACGAAATCCGCAAAGCTATCCAAATATCCACTTTCAGATTCCACAAAAAGAGTGTTTCAAAACTGCTCTGTAAAAAGAAAGGTTCATCTCTGTTAGTTGAATACACACATCACAAACAAGTTTCTGAGAATGCTTCTGTCTAGTTTTTATGGGAAGATATTACCTTTTTCATCATAGGCCTCAAAGCGCTGCAAATGTCCACGTCCAAATATTACAAAAAGAGTGTTTCAAACCTGCTGTATGAAGGGAAGTGTTCAACTCTATGAGTTGAATGCAAACATCAAAGAGAAGTTTCTGAGAATGCTTCTGTCTTGATTTTATATGAAGATATTCCCGTTTCCAACGAAACCTTCAAAGCTATTCAAATATCCACTTGCAGATTCTACAAAAAGAGTGTTTCCAAAATGTTGTATCAAAAGAAAGGTTCAACTCTGTTAGTTGAGGACACACATCGCAAATAAGTTTCTGAGAATGCTTCTGTCTAGTTTTTACTTGAAGATATTTCCTTTCTCACCATAGGCCTGAAAGCGTTTGAAATGTCCGTTTGCAGATACTACAGAAAGAGTGTTTCAAACATGCTCTATGAAAGGGAATGTTCAGTTCTGTGACGTGAATGCAAACATCACAAAGAAGTTCCTGAGAATGCTTCTCTCTAGATTTTATATGTAATCCCGTTTCCAACGAAATCCTCAAAGCTATCCAAATATCCACTTTCAGATTCCACAAAAAGAGTGTTTCAAAACTGCTCTGTAAAAAGAAAGGTTCATCTCTGTTAGTTGAATACACACATCACAAACAAGTTTCTGAGAATGCTTCTGTCTAGTTTTTATTGGAAGATATTTCCTTTTTCATCATAGGCCTCAAAGCGCTGCAAATGTCCACTTCCAAATATTACAAAAAGAGTGTTTCAAACCTGCTGTATGAAGGGAAGTGTTCAACTCTATGAGTTGAATGCAAACATCACAGAGAAGTTTCTGAGAATGCTTCTGTCTTGATTTTATATGAAGATATTCCCGTTTCCAACGAAACCTTCAAAGCTATCCAAATATCCACTTGCAGATTCCACAAAAAGAGTGTTTCCAAAATGTTGTATCAAAAGAAAGGTTCAACTCTGTTAGTTGAGGACACACATCGCAAATAAGTTTCTGAGAATGCTTCTGTCTAGTTTTTATTTGAAGATATTTCCTTTCTCACCATAGGCCTGAAAGCGTTTGAAATGTCCGTTTGCAGATACTACAGAAAGAGTGTTTCAAACATGCTCTATGAAAGGGAATGTTCAGTTCTGTGACGTGAATGCAAACATCACAAAGAAGTTCCTGAGAATGCTTCTCTCTAGATTTTATATGTAATCCCGTTTCCAACGAAATCCTCAAAGCTATCCAAATATCCACTTTCAGATTCCACAAAAAGAGTGTTTCAAAACTGCTCTGTAAAAAGAAAGGTTCATCTCTGTTAGTTGAATACACACATCACAAACAAGTTTCTGAGAATGCTTCTGTCTAGTTTTTATGGGAAGATATTTCCTTTTTCATCATAGGCCTCAAAGCGCTGCAAATGTCCACTTCCAGGTAGTGCAGAAAGAGTGTCTGAAACCTGGTATATAACAGGGAAGATTCTACTCTGTGACTTGAATGAAAACATCACAAAGCAGTTTCTGAGAATGCTTCCGTCTAGATTTTATATGAAGATATTCCCGTTTCCAACGAAACCTTCAAAGCTATCCGAATATCCACCTGCAGATTCTACAAAAAGAGTGTTTCCAAAATGCCGTATCAAAACAAAGGTTCAACTCTGTTAGTTGAGAACACACATGGCAAATAAGTTTCTGAGAATGCTTCTGTCTAGTTTTTACTTGAAGATATTTCCTTTCTCACCATAGGCCTGAAAGCGCTTGAAACGTCAGCTTGCAGATACTACAGAAAGAGTGTTCCAAACCTGCTCTATGAAAGGGAATGTTCAGTCCTGTGACTTGAAGGCAAACATCACAAAGAAGTTCCTGAGAATGCTTCTCTCTAGGTTTTATATGTAATCCCGTTTCCAACGAAATCCTCAAAGCTATCCAAATATCCACTTTCAGATTCCACAAAAAGAGTGTTTCAAAACTGCTCTGTAAAAAGAAAGGTTCATCTCTGTTAGTTGAATACACACATCACAAACAAGTTTCTGAGAATGCTTCTGTCTAGTTTTTATGGGAAGATATTTCGTTTTTCAACATAGGCCTCAAAGCGCTCCAAATGTCCACTTCCAGGTAGTGCAGAAAGAGTGTTTCAAACCTGCTCTATAAAAGGGAATATTCAACTCTGTGACTTGAATGCAAACATCACAAAGCACTTTCTGAGAATGCTTCCGTCTAGATTTTATATGAAGATATTCCCGTTTCCAAGGAAATCTTCCTAGCTATCTAAATATCAACTTGCAGATTCTACTAAAGGAATGTTTCCAAAATGCTGTATCCACACAAAGGTTCAACTCTGTTAATTGAGGACATAAAGCACAAAGAAGTTTCTGAGAATGCTTCTGTCTAGATTTTATATGAAGATATCCCGTGTCCAACGAAATCCTCAAAGGTATCAAAATATCCACTTGCAGATTCTACAAAAAGAGTGCTTCAAAACTGCTCTGTCAAAAGGAAGGTTCAACTCTGTTACTTGAGTACACACATCACAAGGAAGTTTCTGAGAATGCTTCTGTCTGGTTTTTAGGAGAAGATATTTCCTTTTTCATCATAGGCCTCAAAGCGCTGCAAATGTCCACTTCCAGGTAGTGCAGAAAGAGTGTCTCAAACCTGGTATATAACAGGGAACATTCTACTCTGTGACTTGAATGAAAACATCACAAAGCAGTTTCTGAGAATGCTTCCGTCTAGATTTTATATGAAGATATTCCCGTTTCCAACGAAACCTTCAAAGCTATCCGAATATCCACCTGCAGATTCTACAAAAAGAGTGTTTCCAAAATGCCATATCAAAACAAAGGTTCAACTCTGTTAGTTGAGAACACACATCGCAAATAAGTTTCTGAGAATGCTTCTGTCTAGTTTTTACTTGAAGATATTTCCTTTCTCACCATAGGCCTGAAAGCGCTTGAAACGTCAGCTTGCAGATACTACAGAAAGAGTGTTTCAAACCTGCTCTATGAAAGGGAATGTTCAGTTCTGTGACTTGAATGCAAACATCACAAAGAAGTTCCTGAGAATGCTTCTGTCTAGATTTTATATGAATATATCCCGTGTCCAACGAAATCCTCAAAGGTATCAAAATATCCACTTGCAGATTCTACAAAAAGAGTGCTTCAAAACTGCTCTGTCAAAAGGAAGGTTCAACTCTGTTACTTGAGTACACACATCACAAGGAAGTTTCTGAGAATGCTTCTGTCTGGTTTTTAGGAGAAGATATTTCCTTTTTCAACATAGGCCTCAAAGCGCTGCAAATGTCCACTTCCAAATATTAGAAAAAGAGTGTTTCAAACCTGCTGTATGAAGGGAAGTGTTCAACTCTATGAGTTGAATGAAAACATCACAGAGAAGTTTCTGAGAATGCTTCTGTCTTGATTTCATATGAAGATATTCCCGTTTCCAACGAAACCTTCAAAGCTATCCAAATATCCACTTGCAGATTCTACAAAAAGAGTGTTTCCAAAATGTTGTATCAAAAGAAAGGTTGAACTCTGTTAGTTGAGGACACACATCGCAAATAAGTTTCTGAGAATGCTTCTGTCTAGTTTTTATTTGAAGATATTTCCTTTCTCACCACAGGCCTGAAAGCGCTTAAAACGTCCGCTTGCAGATACTACAGAAAGAGTGTTTCAAACCTGCTCTATGAAAGGGAATGTTCAGTTCTGTGACTTGAATGCAAACATCACAAAGAAGTTCCTGAGAATGCTTCTCCCTAGATTTTATATGTAATCCCGTTTCCAACGAAATCCGCAAAGCTATCCAAATATCCACTTTCAGATTCCACAAAAAGAGTGTTTCAAAACTGCTCTGTAAAAAGAAAGGTTCATCTCTGTTAGTTGAATACACACATCACAAACAAGTTTCTGAGAATGCTTCTGTCTAGTTTTTATGGGAAGATATTACCTTTTTCATCATAGGCCTCAAAGCGCTGCAAATGTCCACTTCCAAATATTACAAAAAGAGTGTTTCAAACCTGCTGTATGAAGGGAAGTGTTCAACTCTATGAGTTGAATGCAAACATCACAGAGAAGTTTCTGAGAATGCTTCTGTCTTGATTTTATATGAAGATATTCCCGTTTCCAACGAAACCTTCAAAGCTATTCAAATATCCACTTGCAGATTCTACAAAAAGAGTGTTTCCAAAATGTTGTATCAAAAGAAAGGTTCAACTCTGTTAGTTGAGGACACACATCGCAAATAAGTTTCTGAGAATGCTTCTGTCTAGTTTTTACTTGAAGATATTTCCTTTCTCACCATAGGCCTGAAAGCGTTTGAAATGTCCGTTTGCAGATACTACAGAAAGAGTGTTTCAAACATGCTCTATGAAAGGGAATGTTCAGTTCTGTGACGTGAATGCAAACATCACAAAGAAGTTCCTGAGAATGCTTCTCCCTAGATTTTATATGTAATCCCGTTTCCAACGAAATCCGCAAAGCTATCCAAATATCCACTTTCAGATTCCACAAAAAGAGTGTTTCAAAACTGCTCTGTAAAAAGAAAGGTTCATGCTCTGTTAGTTGAATACACACATCACAAACAAGTTTCCTGAGAATGCTTTCTGTCTAGTTTTTATGGGAAGATATTTCCTTTTTCATCATAGGCCTCAAAGCGCTCCAAATGTCCACTTCCAGGTAGTGCAGAAAGAGTGTCTCAAACCTGGTATATAACAGGGAACATTGTACTCTGTGACTTGAATGAAAACATCACAAAGCAGTTTCTGAGAATGCTTCCGTCTAGATTTTATATGAAGATATTCCCGTTTCCAAGGAAATCTTCCTAGCTATCTAAATATCAACTTGCAGATTCTACTAAAGGAATGTTTCCAAAATGCTGTATCCACACAAAGCTTCAACTCTGTTAATTGAGGACATACAGCACAAAGAAGTTTCTGAGAATGCTTCTGTCTAGTTTTTATTTGAAGATATTTCCTTTCTCACCATAGGCCTGAAAGCGTTTGAAATGTCCGTTTGCAGATACTACAGAAAGAGTGTTTCAAACATGCTCTATGAAAGGGAATGTTCAGTTCTGTGACTTGAATGCAAACATCACAAAGAAGTTCCTGAGAATGCTTCTCTCTAGGTTTTATATGTAATCCCGTTTCCAACGAAATCCTCAAAGCTATCCAAATATCCACTTTCAGATTCCACAAAAAGAGTGTTTCAAAACTGCACTGTAATAAGAAAGGTTCATCCCTGTTTGTTGAATACACACATCACAAACAAGTTTCTGAGAATGCTTCTGTCTAGTTTTTATGGGAAGATATTTCCTTTTTCAACATAGGCCTCAAAGCGCTCCAAACGTCCACTTCCAGGTAGTGCAGAAAGAGTGTCTCAAACCTGGTATATAACAGGGAACATTCTACTCTGTGACTTGAATGAAAACATCACAAAGCAGTTTCTGAGAATGCTTCCGTCTAGATTTTATATGAAGATATTCCCGTTTCCAACGAAACCTTCAAAGCTATCTGAATATCCACCTGCAGATTCTACAAAAAGAGTGTTTCCAAAATGCCGTATCAAAACAAAGGTTCAACTCTGTTAGTTGAGAACACACATGGCAAATAAGTTTCTGAGAATGCTTCTGTCTAGTTTTTACTTGAAGATATTTCCTTTCTCACCATAGGCCTGAAAGCGCTTGAAACGTCAGCTTGCAGATACTACAGAAAGAGTGTTTCAAACCTGCTCTATGAAAGGGAATGTTCAGTTCTGTGACTTGAATGCAAACATCACAAAGAAGTTCCTGAGAATGCTTCTGTCTAGATTTTATATGAAGATATCCCGTGTCCAACGAAATCCTCAAAGGTATCAAAATATCCACTTGCAGATTCTACAAAAAGAGTGCTTCAAAACTGCTCTGTCAAAAGGAAGGTTCAACTGTGTTACTTGAGTACACACATCACAAGGAAGTTTCTGAGAATGCTTCTGTCTAGTTTTTATGGGAAGATATTTCCTTTTTCAACATAGGCCTCAAAGCGCTCCCAATGTCCACTTCCACGTAGTGCACAGAGTGTTTCAAACCTGCTCTATAAAAGGGAACATTCTACTCTGTGACTTGAATGAAGACATCACAAAGCAGTTTCTGAGAATGCTTCCGTCTAGATTTTATATGAAGATATTCCCGTTTCCAAGGATATCTTCCTAGCTATCTAAATATCAACTTGCAGATTCTACTAAAGGAATGTTTCCAAAATGCTGTATCCACACAAAGGTTCAACTCTGTTAATGGAGGACACACAGCAAGAAGAAGTTTCTGAGAATGCTTCTGTCTAGATTTTATATGAAGATATCCCGTGTCCAACGAAATCCTCAAAGGTATCAAAATATCCACTTGCAGATTCTACAAAAAGAGTGCTTCAAAACTGCTCTGTCAAAAGGAAGGTTCAACTCTGTTACTTGAGTACACACATCACAAGGAAGTTTCTGAGAATGCTTCTGTCTGGTTTTTAGGAGAAGATATTTCCTTTTTCAACATAGGCCTCAAAGCGCTGCAAATGTCCACTTCCAAATATTAGAAAAAGAGTGTTTCAAACCTGCTGTATGAAGGGAAGTGTTCAACTCTATGAGTTGAATGCAAACATCACAGAGAAGTTTCTGAGAATGCTTCTGTCTTGATTTCATATGAAGATATTCCCGTTTCCAACGAAACCTTCAAAGCTATCCAAATATCCACTTGCAGATTCTACAAAAAGAGTGTTTCCAAAATGTTGTATCAAAAGAAAGGTTCAACTCTGTTAGTTGAGGACACACATCGCAAATAAGTTTCTGAGAATGCTTCTGTCTAGTTTTTATTTGAAGATATTTCCTTTCTCACCACAGGCCTGAAAGCGCTTAAAACGTCCGCTTGCAGATACTACAGAAAGAGTGTTTCAAACCTGATCTATGAAAGGGAATGTTCAGTTCTGTGACTTGAATGCAAACATCACAAAGAAGTTACCTGAGAATGCTTCTCCCTAGATTTTATATGTAATCCCGTTTCCAACGAAATCCGCAAAGCTATCCAAATAGCCACTTTCAGATTCCACAAAAAGAGTGTTTCAAAACTGCTCTGTAAAAAGAAAGGTTCATCTCTGTTAGTTGAATACACACATCACAAACAAGTTTCTGAGAATGCTTCTGTCTAGTTTTTATGGGAAGATATTACCTTTTTCATCATAGGCCTCAAAGCGCTGCAAATGTCCACTTCCAAATATTACAAAAAGAGTGTTTCAAGCCTGCTGTATGAAGGGAAGTGTTCAACTCTATGAGTTGAATGCAAACATCACAGAGAAGTTTCTGAGAATGCTTCTGTCTTGATTTTATATGAAGATATTCCCGTTTCCAACGAAACCTTCAAAGCTATTCAAATATCCACTTGCAGATTCTACAAAAAGAGTGTTTCCAAAATGTTGTATCAAAAGAAAGGTTCAACTCTGTTAGTTGAGGACACACATCGCAAATAAGTTTCTGAGAATGCTTCTGTCTAGTTTTTATTTGAAGATATTTCCTTTCTCACCATAGGCCTGAAAGCGTTTGAAATGTCCGTTTGCAGATACTACAGAAAGAGTGTTTCAAACATGCTCTATGAAAGGGAATGTTCAGTTGCTGTGACGTGAATGCAAACATCACAAAGAAGTTCCTGAGAATGCTTCTGTCTAGATTTTATATGAAGATATCCCGTGTCCAACGAAATCCTCAAAGGTATCAAAATATCCACTTGCAGATTCTACAAAAAGAGTGCTTCAAATCTGCTCTTTCAAAAGGAAGGTTCAACTCTGTTACTTGAGTACACACATCACAAGGAAGTTTCTGAGAATGCTTCTGTCTGGTTTTTAGGAGAAGATATTTCCTTTTTCAACATAGGCCTCAAAGCGCTGCAAATGTCCACTTCCAAATATTAGAAAAAGAGTGTTTCAAACCTGCTGTATGAAGGGAAGTGTTCAACTCTATGAGTTGAATGCAAACATCACAGAGAAGTTTCTGAGAATGCTTCTGTCTTGATTTTATATGAAGATATTCCCGTTTCCAACGAAACCTTCAAAGCTATCCAAATATCCACTTGCAGATTCTACAAAAAGAGTGTTTCCAAAGTGCTGTATCCAAACAAAGGTTCAACTCTTTTAGTTGAGAACACACATCGCAAATAAGTTTCTGAGAATGCTTCTGTCTAGTTTTTATGGGAAGATATTTCCTTTTTCAACATACGCCTCAAAGCGCTCCAAACGTCCACTTCCAGGTAGTGCAGAAAGAGTGTCTCAAACCTGGTATATAACAGGGAACATTCTACTCTGTGACTTGAATGAGAACATCACAAAGCAGTTTCTGAGAATGCTTCTGTCTATATTTTATATGAAGATATCCCGTTTCCAAAGAAATCCTCAAAGATATCCAAATATCTACTTCCAGATTCTACAAAAAGACTGTTTCAAAACGGCTCTGTCAAAAGGAAGGTTCAACTCTGTTACTTGAGTACACACATCACAAGGAAGTTTCTGAGAATGCTTCTGTCTGGTTTTTAGGAGAAGATATTTCCTTTTTCAACATAGGCCTCAAAGAGCTGCAAATGTCCACTTCCAAATATTACAAAAAGAGTGTTTCAAATCTGCTCTATGAAGGGAAGTGTTCAACTCTATGAGTTGAATGCAAACATCACAGAGAAGTTTCTGAGAATGCTTCTGTCTTGATTTTATATGAAGATATTCCCGTTTCCAACGAAACCTTCAAAGCTATCCAAATATCCACTTGCAGATTCTACAAAAAGAGTGTTTCCAAAATGTTGTATCAAAACAAAGGTTCAACTCTGTTAGTTGAGGACACACATCGCAAATAAGTTTCTGAGAATGCTTCTGTCTAGTTTTTACTTGAAGATATTTCCTTTCTTACCATAGGCCTGAAAGCGCTTGAAATGTCCGTTTGCAGATACTACAGAAAGAGTGTTTCAAACATGCTCTATGAAAGGGAATGTTCAGTTCTGTGACGTGAAGGCAAACATCACAAAGAAGTTCCTGAGAATGCTTCTGTCTAGATTTTATATGAAGATATCCCGTGTCCAACGAAATCCTCAAAGGTATCAAAATATCCACTTGCAGATTCTACAAAAAGAGTGCTTCAAAACTGCTCTGTCAAAAGGAAGGTTCAACTCTGTAACTTGAGTACACACATCACAAGGAAGTTTCTGAGAATGCTTCTGTCTGGTTTTTAGGAGAAGATATTTCCTTTTTCAACATAGGCCTCAAAGCGCTGCAAAAGTCCACTTCCAAATATTACAAAAAGAGTGTTTCAAACCTGCTGTATGAAGGGAAGGGTTCAACTCTATGAGTTGAATGCAAACATCACAGAGAAGTTTCTGAGAATGCTTCTGTCTTGATTTTATATGAAGATATTCCCGTTTCCAACGAAACCTTCAAAGCTATCCAAATATCCACTTGCAGATTCTACAAAAAGAGTGTTTCCAAAATGCTGTATCAAAACAAAGGTTCAACTCTTTTAGTTGAGAACACACATCGCAAGTAAGTTTCTGAGAATGCTTCTGTCTAGTTTTTATTTGAAGATATTTCCTTTTTCACCACAGGCCTGAAAGCGCTTGAAACGTCCGCTTGCAGATACTACAGAAAGAGTGTTTCAAACCTGCTCTATGAAAGGGAATGTTCAGTTCTGTGACTTGAATGCAAACATCACAAAGAAGTTCCTGAGAATGCTTCTCCCTAGATTTTATATGTAATCCCGTTTCCAACGATATCCTCAAAGCTGTCCAAATATCCACTTTCAGATTCCACAAAAAGAGTGTTTCAAAACTGCTCTGTAAAAAGAAAGGTTCATCTCTGTTAGTTGAATACACACATCACAAACAAGTTTCTGAAAATGCTTCTGTCTAGTTTTTATGGGAAGATATTTCCATTTTCAACATAGCCCTCAAAGCGCTCCAAATGTCCACTTCCAGGTAGTGCAGAAAGTGTGTTTGAAACCTGCTCTATAAAAGGGAATATTCTACTCTGTGACTTGAATGCAAACATCACAAAGCACTTTCTGAGAATGTTTCCGTCTAGATTTTATATGAAGATGTTGCCGTTTCCAAGGAAATCTTCCTAGCTATCTAAATATCAACTTGCAGATTCTACTAAAGGAATGTTTCCAAAGTGCTGTATCCACACAAAGGTTCAACTCTGTTAATTGAGGACATACAGCACAAAGAAGTTTCTGAGAATGCTTCTGTCTAGTTTTTATTTGAAGATATTTCCTTTCTCACCATAGGCCTGAAAGCGCTTGAAATGTCCGCTTGCAGATACTACAGAAAGAGTTTTTCAAACATGCTCTATGAAAGGGAATATTCAGTTCTGTGACGTGAATGCAAACATCACAAAGAAGTTCCTGAGAATGCTTCTCTCTAGGTTTTATATGTAATCCCGTTTCCAACGAAATCCTCAGAGGTATCAAAATATCCACTTGCAGATTCTACAAAAAGAGTGCTTCAAAACTGCTCTGTCAAAAGGAAGGTTCAACTCTGTTACTTGAGTACACACATCACAAGGAAGTTTCTGAGAATGCTTCTGTCTGGTTTTTAGGAGAAGATATTTCCTTTTTCAACATAGGCCTCAAAGCGCTGCAAATGTCCACTTCCAAATATTAGAAAAAGAGTGTTTCAAACCTGCTGTATGAAGGGAAGTGTTCAACTCTATGAGTTGAATGCAAACATCACAGAGAAGTTTCTGAGAATGCTTCCGTGTAGATTTTATATGAAGATATTCCCGTTTCCAAGGAAATCTTCCTAGCTATCTAAATATCAACTTGCAGATTCTACTAAAGGAATGTTTCCAAAATGCTGTATCCACACAAAGGTTCAACTCTGTTAATTGAGGACATACAGCACAAAGAAGTTTCTGAGAATGCTTCTGTCTAGATTTTATATGAAGATATCCCGTGTCCAACGAAATCCTCAAAGGTATCAAAATATCCACTTGCAGATTCTACAAAAAGAGTGCTTCAAAACTGCTCTGTCAAAAGGAAGGTTCAACTCTGTTACTTGAGTACACACATCACAAGGAAGTTTCTGAGAATGCTTCTGTCTGGTTTTTAGGAGAAGATATTTCCTTTTTCAACATAGGCCTCAAAGCGCTGCAAATGTCCACTTCCAAATATTAGAAAAAGAGTGTTTCAAACCTGCTGTATGAAGGGAAGTGTTCAACTCTATGAGTTGAATGCAAACATCACAGAGAAGTTTCTGAGAATGCTTCTGTCTTGATTTCATATGAAGATATTCCCGTTTCCAACGAAACCTTCAAAGCTATCCAAATATCCACTTGCAGATTCTACAAAAAGAGTGTTTCCAAAATGTTGTATCAAAAGAAAGGTTCAACTCTGTTAGTTGAGGACACACATCGCAAATAAGTTTCTGAGAATGCTTCTGTCTAGTTTTTATTTGAAGATATTTCCTTTCTCACCACAGGCCTGAAAGCGCTTAAAACGTCCGCTTGCAGATGCTACAGAAAGAGTGTTTCAAACCTGCTCTATGAAAGGGAATGTTCAGTTCTGTGACTTGAATGCAAACATCACAAAGAAGTTCCTGAGAATGCTTCTCCCTAGATTTTATATGTAATCCCGTTTCCAACGAAATCCGCAAAGCTATCCAAATATCCACTTTCAGATTCCACAAAAAGAGTGTTTCAAAACTGCTCTGTAAAAAGAAAGGTTCATCTCTGTTAGTTGAATACACACGTCACAAACAAGTTTCTGAGAACGCTTCTGTCTAGTTTTTATGGGAAGATATTACCTTTTTCATCATAGGCCTCAAAGCGCTGCAAATGTCCACTTCCAAATATTACAAAAAGAGTGTTTCAAACCTGCTGTATGAAGGGAAGTGTTCAACTCTATGAGTTGAATGCAAACATCACAGAGAAGTTTCTGAGAATGCTTCTGTCTTGATTTTATATGAAGATATTCCCGTTTCCAACGAAACCTTCAAAGCTATCCAAATATCCACTTGCAGATTCTACAAAAAGAGTGTTTCCAAAATGTTGTATCAAAAGAAAGGTTCAACTCTGTTAGTTGATGACACACATCGCAAATAAGTTTCTGAGAATGCTTCTGTCTGGTTTTTAGGGGAAGATATCTCCTTTTTCACCATAGGCTTCAAAGCGCTGCAAATGTCCACTTCCAAATATTACAAAAAGAGTATTTCAAACCAGCTCTATGAAAGGAAGTGTTCAACTCTATGAGTTGAATGCAAACATCACAGAGAAGTTTCTGAGAATGCTTCTCCCTAGATTTTATATGTAATCCCGTTTCCAACGAAATCCGCAAAGCTATCCAAATATCCACTTTCAGATTCCACAAAAAGAGTGTTTCAAAACTGCTCTGTAAAAAGAAAGGTTCATCTCTGTTAGTTGAATACACACATCACAAACAAGTTTCTGAGAATGCTTCCTGTCTAGTTTTTATGGGAAGATATTTCCTTTTTCATCATAGGCCTCAAAGCGCTGCAAATGTCCACTTCCAAATATTACAAAAAGAGTGTTTCAAACCTGCTGTATGAAGGGAAGTGTTCAACTCTATGAGTTGAATGCAAACATCACAGAGAAGTTTCTGAGAATGCTTCTGTCTTGATTTTATATGAAGATATTCCCGTTTCCAACGAAACCTTCAAAGCTATCCAAATATCCACTTGCAGATTCTACAAAAAGAGTGTTTCCAAAATGTTGTATCAAAAGAAAGGTTCAACTCTGTTAGTTGAGGACACACATCGCAAATAAGTTTCTGAGAATGCTTCTGTCTAGTTTTTATTTGAAGATATTTCCTTTCTCACCATAGGCCTGAAAGCGTTTGAAATGTTCGTTTGCAGATACTACAGAAAGAGTGTTTCAAACATGCTCTATGAAAGGGAATGTTCAGTTCTGTGACGTGAATGCAAACATCACAAAGAAGTTCCTGAGAATGCTTCTCTCTAGATTTTATATGTAATCCCGTTTCCAACGAAATCCTCGAAGCTCTCCAAATATCCACTTTCAGATTCCACAAAAAGAGTGTTTCAAAACTGCTCTGTAAAAAGAAAGGTTCATCTCTGTTAGTTGAATACACACATCACAAACAAGTTTCTGAGAATGCTTCTGTCTAGTTTTTATGGGAAGATATTTCCTTTTTCAACATAGGCCTCAAAGCGCTCCAAACGTCCACTTCCAGGTAGTGCAGAAAGAGTGTCTCAAACCTGGTATATAACAGGGAACATTCTACTCTGTGACTTGAATGAAAACATCACAAAGCAGTTTCTGAGAATGCTTCCGTCTAGATTTTATATGAAGATATTCCCGTTTCCAACGAAACCTTCAAAGCTATCCGAATATCCACCTGCAGATTCTACAAAAAGAGTGTTTCCAAAATGCCGTATCAAAACAAAGGTTCAACTCTGTTAGTTGAGAACACACATGGCAAATAAGTTTCTGAGAATGCTTCTGTCTAGTTTTTACTTGAAGATATTTCCTTTCTCACCATAGGCCTGAAAGCGCTTGAAACGTCAGCTTGCAGATACTACAGAAAGAGTGTTTCAAACCTGCTCTATGAAAGGGAATGTTCAGTCCTGTGACTTGAAGGCCAACATCACAAAGAAGTTCCTGAGAATGCTTCTCTCTAGGTTTTATATGTAATCCCGTTTCCAACGAAATCCTCAGAGGTATCAAAATATCCACTTGCAGATTCTACAAAAAGAGTGCTTCAAAACTGCTCTGTCAAAAGGAAGGTTCAACTCTGTTACTTGAGTACACACATCACAAGGAAGTTTCTGAGAATGCTTCTGTCTGGTTTTTAGGAGAAGATATTTCCTTTTTCAACATAGGCCTCAAAGCGCTGCAAATGTCCACTTCCAAATATTAGAAAAAGAGTGTTTCAAACCTACTGTATGAAGGGAAGTGTTCAACTCTATGAGTTGAATGCAAACATCACAGAGAAGTTTCTGAGAATGCTTCCGTCTAGATTTTATATGAAGATATTCCCGTTTCCAACGAAACCTTCAAAGCTATCCGAATATCCACCTGCAGATTCTACAAAAAGAGTGTTTCCAAAATGCCATATCAAAACAAAGGTTCAACTCTGTTAGTTGAGAACACACATCGCAAATAAGTTTGTGAGAATGCTTCTGTCTAGTTTTTACTTGAAGATATTTCCTTTCTCACCATAGGCCTGAAAGCGCTTGAAACGTCAGCTTGCAGATACTACAGAAAGAGTGTTTCAAACCTGCTCTATGAAAGGGAATGTTCAGTTCTGTGACTTGAATGCAAACATCACAAAGAAGTTCCTGAGAATGCTTCTCTCTAGGTTTTATATGTAATCCCGTTTCCAACGAAATCCTCAAAGCTATCCAAATATCCACTTTCAGATTCCACAAAAAGAGTGTTTCAAAACTGCTCTGTAAAAAGAAAGGTTCATCTCTGTTAGTTGAATACACACATCACAAACAAGTTTCTGAGAATGCTTCTGTCTAGTTTTTATGGGAAGATATTTCCTTTTTCAACATAGGCCTCAAAGCGCTCCAAATGTCCACTTCCAGGTAGTGCAGAAAGAGTGTTTCAAACCTGCTCTATAAAAGGGAATATTCAACTCTGTGACTTGAATGCAAACATCACAAAGCACTTTCTGAGAATGCTTCCGTCTAGATTTTATATGAAGATATTCCCGTTTCCAAGGAAATCTTTCTAGCTATCTAAATATCAACTTGCAGATTCTACTAAAGGAATGTTTCCAAAATCCTGTATCCACACAAAGGTTCAACTCTGTTAATTGAGGACATACAGAACAAAGAAGTTTCTGAGAATGCTTCTGTCTAGATTTTATATGAAGATATCCCGTGTCCAACGAAATCCTCAAAGGTATCAAAATATCCACTTGCAGATTCTACAAAAAGAGTGCTTCAAAACTGCTCTGTCAAAAGGAAGGTTCAACTCTGTTACTTGAGTACACACATCACAAGGAAGTTTCTGAGAATGCTTCTGTCTGGTTTTTAGGAGAAGATATTTCCTTTTTCAACATAGGCCTCAAAGCGCTGCAAATGTCCACTTCCAAATATTAGAAAAAGAGTGTTTCAAACCTGCTGTATGAAGGGAAGTGTTCAACTCTATGAGTTGAATGCACACATCACAGAGAAGTTTCTGAGAATGCTTCCGTCTAGATTTTATATGAAGATATTCCCGTTTCCAACGAAACCTTCAAAGCTATCCGAATATCCACCTGCAGATTCTACAAAAAGAGTGTTTCCAAAATGCCGCATCAAAACAAAGGTTCAACTCTGTTAGTTGAGAACACACATGGCAAATAAGTTTCTGAGAATGCTTCTGTCTAGTTTTTACTTGAAGATATTTCCTTTCTCACCATAGGCCTGAAAGCGCTTGAAACATCAGCTTGCAGATACTACAGAAAGAGTGTTTCAAACCTGCTCTATGAAAGGGAATGTTCAGTCCTGTGACTTGAAGGCCAACATCACAAAGAAGTTCCTGAGAATGCTTCTCTCTAGGTTTTATATGTAATCCCGTTTCCAACGATATCCTCAGAGGTATCAAAATATCCACTTGCAGATTCTACAAAAAGAGTGCTTCAAAACTGCTCTGTCAAAAGGAAGGTTCAACTCTGTTACTTGAGTACACACATCACAAGGAATTTTCTGAGAATGCTTCTGTCTGGTTTTTAGGAGAAGATATTTCCTTTTTCAACATAGGCCTCAAAGCGCTGCAAATGTCCACTTCCAAATATTAGAAAAAGAGTGTTTCAAACCTGCTGTATGAAGGGAAGTGTTCAACTCTATGAGTTGAATGCAAACATCACAGAGAAGTTTCTGAGAATGCTTCTGTCTTGATTTTATATGAAGATATTCCCGTTTCCAACGAAACCTTCAAAGCTATCCAAATATCCACTTGCAGATTCTACAAAAAGAGTGTTTCCAAAATGTTGTATCAAAAGAAAGGTTCAACTCTGTTAGTTGAGGACACACATCGCAAATAAGTTTCTGAGAATGCTTCTGTCTAGTTTTTATTTGAAGATATTTCCTTTCTCACCACAGGCCTGAAAGCACTTAAAACGTCCGCTTGCAGATACTACAAAAAGAGTGTTTCGAACCTGCTCTATGAAAGGGAATGTTCAGTTCTGTGACTTGAATGCAAACATCACAAAGAAGTTCCTGAGAATGCTTCTCCCTAGATTTTATATGTAATCCCGTTTCCAACGAAATCCGCAAAGCTATCCAAATATCCACTTTCAGATTCCACAAAAAGAGTGTTTCAAAACTGCTCTGTAAAAAGAAAGGTTCATCTCTGTTAGTTGAATACACACATCACAAACAAGTTTCTGAGAATGCTTCTGTCTAGTTTTTATGGGAAGATATTACCTTTTTCATCATAGGCCTCAAAGCGCTGCAAATGTCCACTTCCAAATATTACAAAAAGAGTGTTTCAAACCTGCTGTATGAAGGGAAGTGTTCAACTCTATGAGTTGAATGCAAACATCACAGAGAAGTTTCTGAGAATGCTTCTGTCTTGATTTTATATGAAGATATTCCCGTTTCCAACGAAACCTTCAAAGCTATCCAAATATCCACTTGCAGATTCCACAAAAAGAGTGTTTCCAAAATGTTGTATCAAAAGAAAGGTTCAACTCTGTTAGTTGAGGACACACATCGCAAATAAGTTTCTGAATATGCTTCTGTCTAGTTTCTTTTGAAGATATTTCCTTTCTCACCATAGGCCTGAAAGCGTTTGAAATGTCCGTTTGCAGATACTACAGAAAGAGTGTTTCAAACATGCTCTATGAAAGGGAATGTTCAGTTCTGTGACGTGAATGCAAACATCACAAAGAAGTTCCTGAGAATGCTTCTCTCTAGATTTTATATGTAATCCCGTTTCCAACGAAATCCTCAAAGCTATCCAAATATCCACTTTCAGATTCCACAAAAAGAGTGTTTCAAAACTGCTCTGTAAAAAGGAAGGTTCATCTCTGTTAGTTGAATACACACATCACAAACAAGTTTCTGAGAATGCTTCTGTCTAGTTTTTATGGGAAGGTATTTCCTTTTTCATCATAGGCCTCAAAGCGCTGCAAATGTCCACTTCCAGGTAGTGCAGAAAGAGTGTCTCAAACCTGGTATATAACAGGGAACATTCTACTCTGTGACTTGAATGAAAACATCACAAAGCAGTTTCTGAGAATGCTTCCGTCTAGATTTTATATGAAGATATTCCCGTTTCCAACGAAACCTTCAAAGCTATCCGAATATCCACCTGCAGATTCTACAAAAAGAGTGTTTCCAAAATGCCATATCAAAACAAAGGTTCAACTCTGTTAGTTGAGAACACACATCGCAAATAAGTTTCTGAGAATGCTTCTGTCTACTTTTTACTTGAAGATATTTCCTTTCTCACCATAGGCCTGAAAGCGCTTGAAACGTCAGCTTGCAGATACTACAGAAAGAGTGTTTCAAACCTGCTCTATGAAAGGGAATGTTCAGTTCTGTGACTTGAATGCAAACATCACAAAGAAGTTCCTGAGAATGCTTCTCTCTAGATTTTATATGTAATCCCGTTTCCAACGAAATCCTCAAAGCTATCCAAATATCCACTTTCAGATTCCACAAAAAGAGTGTTTCAAAACTGCTCTGTAAAAAGAAAGGTTCATCTCTGTTAGTTGAATACACACATCACAAACAAGTTTCCGAGAATGCTTCTGTCTAGTTTTTATGGGAAGATATTACCTTTTTCATCATAGGCCTCAAAGCGCTGCAAATGTCCACTTCCAAATATTACAAAAAGAGTGTTTCAAACCTGCTGTATGAAGGGAAGTGTTCAACTCTATGAGTTGAATGCAAACATCACAGAGAAGTTTCTGAGAATGCTTCTGTCTTGATTTTATATGAAGATATTCCCGTTTCCAACGAAACCTTCAAAGCTATTCAAATATCCACTTGCAGATTCTACAAAAAGAGTGTTTCCAAAATGTTGTATCAAAAGAAAGGTTCAACTCTGTTAGTTGAGGACACACATCGCAAATAAGTTTCTGAGAATGCTTCTGTCTAGTTTTTATGTGAAGATATTTCCTTTCTCACCATAGGCCTGAAAGCGTTTGAAATGTCCGTTTGCAGATACTACAGAAAGAGTGTTTCAAACATGCTCTATGAAAGGGAATGTTCAGTTCTGTGACGTGAATGCAAACATCACAAAGAAGTTCCTGAGAATGCTTCTCTCTAGATTTTATATGTAATCCTGTTTCCAACGAAATCCTCAAAGCTATCCAAATATCCACTTTCAGATTCCACAAAAAGAGTGTTTCAAAACTGCTCTGTAAAAAGAAAGGTTCATCTCTGTTAGTTGAATACACACATCAAAAACAAGTTTCTGAGAATGCTTCTGTCTAGTTTTTATGGGAAGATATTTCCTTTTTCATCATAGGCCTCAAAGCGCTGCAAATGTCCACTTCCAGGTAGTGCAGAAAGAGTGTCTCAAACCTGGTATATAACAGGGAACATTCTACTCTGTGACTTGAATGAAAACATCACAAAGCAGTTTCTGAGAATGCTTCCGTCTAGATTTTATATGAAGATATTCCCGTTTCCAACGAAACCTTCAAAGCTATCCGAATATCCACCTGCAGATTCTACAAAACAGTGTTTCCAAAATGCCATATCAAAACAAAGGTTCAACTCTGTTAGTTGAGAACACACATCGCAAATAAGTTTCTGAGAATGCTTCTGTCTAGTTTTTACTTGAAGATATTTCCTTTCTCACCATAGGCCTGAAAGCGCTTGAAACGTCAGCTTGCAGATACTACAGAAAGAGTGTTTCAAACCTGCTCTATGAAAGGGAATGTTCAGTTCTGTGACTTGAATGCAAACATCACAAAGAAGTTCCTGAGAATGCTTCTCTCTAGGTTTTATATGTAATCCCGTTTCCAACGAAATCCTCAAAGCTATCCAAATATCCACTTTCAGATTCCACAAAAAGAGTGTTTCAAAACTGCTCTGTAAAAAGAAAGGTTCATCTCTGTTAGTTGAATACACACATCACAAACAAGTTTCTGAGAATGCTTCTGTCTAGTTTTTATGGGAAGATATTTCGTTTTTCAACATAGGCCTCAAAGCGCTCCAAATGTCCACTTCCAGGTAGTGCAGAAAGAGTGTTTCAAACCTGCTCTATAAAAGGGAACATTCTACTCTGTGACTTGAATGAAGACATCACAAAGCACTTTCTGAGAATGCTTCCGTCTAGATTTTATATGAAGATATTCCCGTTTCCAACGAAACCTTCAAAGCTATCCGAATATCCACCTGCAGATTCTACAAAAAGAGTGTTTCCAAAATGCCATATCAATACAAAGGTTCAACTCTGTTAGTTGAGAACACACATCGCAAATAAGTTTCTGAGAATGCTTCTGTCTAGTTTTTACTTGAAGATATTTCCTTTGTCACCATAGGCCTGAAAGCGCTTGAAACGTCAGCTTGCAGATACTACAGAAAGAGTGTTTCAAACCTGCTCTATGAAAGGGAATGTTCAGTCCTGTGACTTGAAGGCAAACATCACAAAGAAGTTCCTGAGAATGCTTCTCTCTAGGTTTTATATGTAATCCCGTTTCCAACGAAATCCTCAAAGCTATCCAAATATCCACTTTCAGATTCCACAAAAAGAGTGTTTCAAAACTGCTCTGTAAAAAGAAAGGTTCATCTCTGTTAGTTGAATACACACATCACAAACAAGTTTCTGAGAATGCTTCTGTCTAGTTTTTATGGGAAGATATTTCCTTTTTCAACATAGGCCTCAAAGCGCTCCAAATGTCCACTTCCAGGTAGTGCAGAAAGAGTGTTTCAAACCTGCTCTATAAAAGGGAACATTCTACTCTGTGACTTGAATGAAGACATCACAAAGCACTTTCTGAGAATGCTTCCGTCTAGATTTTATATGAAGATATTCCCGTTTCCAAGGAAATCTTCCTAGCTATCTAAATATCAACTTGCAGATTCTACTAAAGGAATGTTTCCAAAATGCTGTATCCACACAAAGGTTCAACTCTGTTAATTGAGGACATACAGCACAAAGAAGTTTCTGAGAATGCTTCTGTCTAGATTTTATATGAAGATATCCCGTGTCCAACGAAATCCTCAAAGGTATCAAAATATCCACTTGCAGATTCTACAAAAAGAGTGCTTCAAAACTGCTCTGTCAAAAGGAAGGTTCAACTCTGTTACTTGAGTACACACATCACAAGGAAGTTTCTGAGAATGCTTCTGTCTGGTTTTTAGGAGAAGATATTTCCTTTTTCAACATAGGCCTCAAAGCGCTGCAAATGTCCACTTCCAAATATTAGAAAAAGAGTGTTTCAAACCTACTGTATGAAGGGAAGTGTTCAACTCTATGAGTTGAATGCAAACATCACAGAGAAGTTTCTGAGAATGCTTCTGTCTTGATTTCATATGAAGATATTCCCGTTTCCAACGAAACCTTCAAAGCTATCCAAATATCCACTTGCAGATTCTACAAAAAGAGTGTTTCCAAAATGTTGTATCAAAAGAAAGGTTCAACTCTGTTAGTTGAGGACACACATCGCAAATAAGTTTCTGAGAATGCTTCTGTCTAGTTTTTATTTGAAGATATTTCCTTTCTCACCACAGGCCTGAAAGCGCTTAAAACGTCCGCTTGCAGATACTACAGAAAGAGTGTTTCAAACCTGCTCTATGAAAGGGAATGTTCAGTTCTGTGACTTGAATGCAAACATCACAAAGAAGTTCCTGAGAATGCTTCTCCCTAGATTTTATATGTAATCCCGTTTCCAACGATATCCGCAAAGCTATCCAAATATCCACTTTCAGATTCCACAAAAAGAGTGTTTCAAAACTGCTCTGTAAAAAGAAAGGTTCATCTTCTGTTAGTTGAATACACACATCACAAACAAGTTTCTGAGAATGCTTCTGTCTAGTTTTTATGGGAAGATATTACCTTTTTCATCATAGGCCTCAAAGCGCTGCAAATGTCCACTTCCAAATATTACAAAAAGAGTGTTTCAAACCTGCTGTATGAAGGGAAGTGTTCAACTCTATGAGTTGAATGCAAACATCAAAGAGAAGTTTCTGAGAATGCTTCTGTCTTGATTTTATATGAAGATATTCCCGTTTCCAACGAAACCTTCAAAGCTATTCAAATATCCACTTGCAGATTCTACAAAAAGAGTGTTTCCAAAATGTTGTATCAAAAGAAAGGTTCAACTCTGTTAGTTGAGGACACACATCGCAAATAAGTTTCTGAGAATGCTTCTGTCTAGTTTTTACTTGAAGATATTTCCTTTCTCACCATAGGCCTGAAAGCGTTTGAAATGTCCGTTTGCAGATACTACAGAAAGAGTGTTTCAAACATGCTCTATGAAAGGGAATGTTCAGTTCTGTGACGTGAATGCAAACATCACAAAGAAGTTCCTGAGAATGCTTCTCTCTAGATTTTATATGTAATCCCGTTTCCAACGAAATCCTCAAAGCTATCCAAATATCCACTTTCAGATTCCACAAAAAGAGTGTTTCAAAACTGCTCTGTAAAAAGAAAGGTTCATCTCTGTTAGTTGAATACACACATCACAAACAAGTTTCTGAGAATGCTTCTGTCTAGTTTTTATGGGAAGATATTTCCTTTTTCAACATAGGCCTCAAAGCGCTCCAAACGTCCACTTCCGGGTAGTGCAGAAAGAGTGTCTCAAACCTGGTATATAACAGGGAACATTCTACTCTGTGACTTGAATGAAAACATCACAAAGCAGTTTCTGAGAATGCTTCCGTCTAGATTTTATATGAAGATATTCCCGTTTCCAACGAAACCTTCAAAGCTATCCGAATATCCACCTGCAGATTCTACAAAAAGAGTGTTTCCAAAATGCCGTATCAAAACAAAGGTTCAACTCTGTTAGTTGAGAACACACATGGCAAAGAAGTTTCTGAGAATGCTTCTGTCTAGTTTTTACTTGAAGATATTTCCTTTCTCACCATAGGCCTGAAAGCGCTTGAAACGTCAGCTTGCAGATACTACAGAAAGAGTGTTTCAAACCTGCTCTATGAAAGGGAATGTTCAGTCCTGTGACTTGAAGGCAAACATCACAAAGAAGTTCCTGAGAATGCTTCTCTCTAGGTTTTATATGTAATCCCGTTTCCAACGAAATCCTCAAAGCTATCCAAATATCCACTTTCAGATTCCACAAAAAGAGTGTTTCAAAACTGCTCTGTAAAAAGAAAGGTTCATCTCTGTTAGTTGAATACACACATCACAAACAAGTTTCTGAGAATGCTTCTGTCTAGTTTTTATGGGAAGATATTTCCTTTTTCAACATAGGCCTCAAAGCGCTCCAAATGTCCACTTCCAGGAAGTGCAGAAAGAGTGTTTCAAACCTACTCTATAAAAGGGAATATTCAACTCTGTGACTTGAATGCAAACATCACAAAGCACTTTCTGAGAATGCTTCCGTCTAGATTTTATATGAAGATATTCCCGTTTCCAAGGAACTCTTCCTAGCTATCTAAATATCAACTTGCAGATTCTACTAAAGGAATGTTTCCAAAATGCTGTATCCACACAAAGGTTCAACTCTGTTAATTGAGGACATACAGCACAAAGAAGTTTGCTGAGAATGCTTCTGTCTAGTTTTTATTTGAAGTATATTTCCTTTCTCACCACAGGCCTGAAAGCGCTTAAAACGTCCGCTTGCAGATACTACAGAAAGAGTGTTTCAAACCTGCTCTATGAAAGGGAATGTTCAGTTCTGTGACTTGAATGCAAACATCACAAAGAAGTTCCTGAGAATGCTTCTCCCTAGATTTTATATGTAATCCCGTTTCCAACGAAATCCGCAAAGCTGTCCAAATATCCACTTTCAGATTCCACAAAAACAGTGTTTCAAAACTGCTCTGTAAAAACAAAGGTTCATCTCTGTTAGTTGAATACACACATCACAAACAAGTTTCTGAGAATGCTTCTGTCTAGTTTTTATGGGAAGATATTACCTTTTTCATCATAGGCCTCAAAGCGCTGCAAATGTCCACTTCCAAATATTACAAAAAGAGTGTTTCAAACCTGCTGTATGAAGGGAAGTGTTCAACTCTATGAGTTGAATGCAAACATCACAGAGAAGTTTCTGAGAATGCTTCTGTCTTGATTTTATATGAAGATATTCCCGTTTCCAACGAAACCTTCAAAGCTATTCAAATATCCACTTGCAGATTCTACAAAAAGAGTGTTTCCAAAATGTTGTATCAAAAGAAAGGTTCAACTCTGTTAGTTGAGGACACACATCGCAAATAAGTTTCTGAGAATGCTTCTGTCTAGTTTTTACTTGAAGATATTTCCTTTCTCACCATAGGCCTGAAAGCGTTTGAAATGTCCGTTTGCAGATACTACAGAAAGAGTGTTTCAAACATGCTCTATGAAAGGGAATGTTCAGTTCTGTGACATGAATGCAAACATCACAAAGAAGTTCCTGAGAATGCTTCTCTCTAGATTTTATATGTAATCCCGTTTCCAACGAAATCCTCAAAGCTATCCAAATATCCACTTTCAGATTCCACAAAAAGAGTGTTTCAAAACTGCTCTGTAAAAAGAAAGGTTCATCTCTGTTAGTTGAATACACACATCACAAACAAGTTTCTGAGAATGCTTCTGTCTAGTTTTTATGGGAAGATATTTCCTTTTTCAACATTGGCCTCAAAGCGCTCCAAACGTCCACTTCCGGGTAGTGCAGAAAGAGTGTCTCAAACCTGGTATATAACAGGGAACATTCTACTCTGTGACTTGAATGAAAACATCACAAAGCAGTTTCTGAGAATGCTTCCGTCTAGATTTTATATGAAGATATTCCCGTTTCCAACGAAACCTTCAAAGCTATCCGAATATCCACCTGCAGATTCTACAAAAAGAGTGTTTCCAAAATGCCGTATCAAAACAAAGGTTCAACTCTGTTAGTTGAGAACACACATGGCAAATAAGTTTCTGAGAATGCTTCTGTCTAGTTTTTACTTGAAGATATTTCCTTTCTCACCATAGGCCTGAAAGCGCTTGAAACGTCAGCTTGCAGATACTACAGAAAGAGTGTTTCAAACCTGCTCTATGAAAGGGAATGTTCAGTCCTGTGACTTGAAGGCAAACATCACAAAGAAGTTCCTGAGAATGCTTCTCTCTAGGTTTTATATGTAATCCCGTTTCCAACGAAATCCTCAAAGCTATCCAAATATCCACTTTCAGATTCCACAAAAAGAGTGTTTCAAAACTGCTCTGTAAAAAGAAAGGTTCATCTCTGTTAGTTGAATACACACATCACAAACAAGTTTCTGAGAATGCTTCTGTCTAGTTTTTATGGGAAGATATTTCGTTTTTCAACATAGGCCTCAAAGCGCTCCAAATGTCCACTTCCAGGTAGTGCAGAAAGAGTGTTTCAAACCTGCTCTATAAAAGGGAATATTCAACTCTGTGACTTGAATGCAAACATCACAAAGCACTTTCTGAGAATGCTTCCGTCTAGATTTTATATGAAGATATTCCCGTTTCCAAGGAAATCTTCCTAGCTATCTAAATATCAACTTGCAGATTCTACTAAAGGAATGTTTCCAAAATGCTGTATCCACACAAAGGTTCAACTCTGTTAATTGAGGACATACAGCACAAAGAAGTTTCTGAGAATGCTTCTGTCTAGATTTTATATGAAGATATCCCGTGTCCAACGAAATCCTCAAAGGTATCAAAATATCCACTTGCAGATTCTACAAAAAGAGTGTTTCAAAACTGCTCTGTAAAAAGAAAGGTTCATCTCTGTTAGTTGAATACACACATCACAAACAAGTTTCTGAGAATGCTTCTGTCTGGTTTTTAGGAGAAGATATTTCCTTTTTCAACATAGGCCTCAAAGCGCTGCAAATGTCCACTTCCAAATGTTACAAAAAGAGTGTTTCAAACCTGCTGTATGAAGGGAAGTGTTCAACTCTATGAGTTGAATGCAAACATCACAGAGAAGTTTCTGAGAATGCTTCTGTCTTGATTTTATATGAAGATATTCCCGTTTCCAACGAAACCTTCAAAGCTATTCAAATATCCACTTGCAGATTCTACAAAAAGAGTGTTTCCAAAATGTTGTATCAAAAGAAAGGTTCAACTCTGTTAGTTGAGGACACACATCGCAAATAAGTTTCTGAGAATGCTTCTGTCTAGTTTTTATTTGAAGATATTTCCTTTCTCACCATAGGCCTGAAAGCGTTTGAAATGTCCGTTTGCAGATACTACAGAAAGAGTGTTTCAAACATGCTCTATGAAAGGGAATGTTCAGTTCTGTGACGTGAATGCAAACATCACAAAGAAGTTCCTGAGAATGCTTCTCTCTAGATTTTATATTTAATCCCGTTTCCAACGAAATCCTCAAAGCTATCCAAATATCCACTTTCAGATTCCACAAAAAGAGTGTTTCAAAACTGCTCTGTAAAAAGAAAGGTTCATCTCTGTTAGTTGAATACACACATCAAAAACAAGTTTCTGAGAATGCTTCTGTCTAGTTTTTATGGGAAGATATTTCCTTTTTCATCATAGGCCTCAAAGCGCTGCAAATGTCCACTTCCAGGTAGTGCAGAAAGAGTGTCTCAAACCTGGTATATAACAGGGAACATTCTACTCTGTGACTTGAATGAAAACATCACAAAGCAGTTTCTGAGAATGCTTCCGTCTAGATTTTATATGAAGATATTCCCGTTTCCAACGAAACCTTCAAAGCTATCCGAATATCCACCTGCAGATTCTACAAAAAGAGTGTTTCCAAAATGCCATATCAAAACAAAGGTTCAACTCTGTTAGTTGAGAACACACATCGCAAATAAGTTTCTGAGAATGCTTCTGTCTAGTTTTTACTTGAAGATATTTCCTTTCTCACCATAGACCTGAAAGCGCTTGAAACGTCAGCTTGCAGATACTACAGAAAGAGTGTTTCAAACCTGCTCTATGAAAGGGAATGTTCAGTTCTGTGACTTGAATGCAAACATCACAAAGAAGTTCCTGAGAATGCTTCTCTCTAGGTTTTATATGTAATCCCGTTTCCAACGAAATCCTCAAAGCTATCCAAATATCCACTTTCAGATTCCACAAAAAGAGTGTTTCAAAACTGCTCTGTAAAAAGAAAGGTTCATCTCTGTTAGTTGAATACACACATCACAAACAAGTTTCTGAGAATGCTTCTGTCTAGTTTTTATGGGAAGATATTTCCTTTTTCAACATAGGCCTCAAAGCGCTCCAAATGTCCACTTCCAGGTAGTGCAGAAAGAGTGTTTCAAACCTGCTCTATAAAAGGGAACATTCAACTCTGTGACTTGAATGCAAACATCACAAAGCACTTTCTGAGAATGCTTCCGTCTAGATTTTATATGAAGATATTCCCGTTTCCAAGGAAATCTTCCTAGCTATCTAAATATCAACTTGCAGATTCTACTAAAGGAATGTTTCCAAAATGCTGTATCCACACAAAGGTTCAACTCTGTTAATTGAGGACATACAGCACAAAGAAGTTTCTGAGAATGCTTCTGTCTAGATTTTATATGAAGATATCCCGTGTCCAACGAAATCCTCAATGGTATCAAAATATCCACTTGCAGATTCTACAAAAAGAGTGCTTCAAAACTGCTCTGTAAAAAGAAAGGTTCATCTCTGTTAGTTGAATACACACATCACAAACAAGTTTCTGAGAATGCTTCTGTCTGGTTTTTAGGAGAAGATATTTCCTTTTTCAACATAGGCCTCAAAGCGCTGCAAATGTCCACTTCCAAATATTACAAAAAGAGTGTTTCAAACCTGCTGTATGAAGGGAAGTGTTCAACTCTATGAGTTGAATGCAAACATCACAGAGAAGTTTCTGAGAATGCTTCTGTCTTGATTTCATATGAAGATATTCCCGTTTCCAACGAAACCTTCAAAGCTATCCAAATATCCACTTGCAGATTCTACAAAAAGAGTGTTTCCAAAATGTTGTATCAAAAGAAAGGTTCAACTCTGTTAGTTGAGGACACACATCGCAAATAAGTTTCTGAGAATGCTTCTGTCTAGTTTTTATTTGAAGATATTTCCTTTCTCACCATAGGCCTGAAAGTGTTTGAAATGTCCGTTTGCAGATACTACAGAAAGAGTGTTTCAAACATGCTCTATGAAAGGGAATGTTCAGTTCTGTGACGTGAATGCAAACATCACAAAGAAGTTCCTGAGAATGCTTCTCCCTAGATTTTATATGTAATCCCGTTTCCAACGAAATCCGCAAAGCTATCCAAATATCCACTTTCAGATTCCACAAAAAGAGTGTTTCAAAACTGCTCTGTAAAAAGAAAGGTTCATCTCTGTTAGTTGAATACACACATCACAAACAAGTTTCTGAGAATGCTTCTGTCTAGTTTTTATGGGAAGATATTACCTTTTTCATCATAGGCCTCAAAGCGCTGCAAAAGTCCACTTCCAAATATTACAAAAAGAGTGTTTCAAACCTGCTGTATGAAGGGAAGTGTTCAACTCTATGAGTTGAATGCAAACATCACAGAGAAGTTTCTGAGAATGCTTCTGTCTTGATTTTATATGAAGATATTCCCGTTTCCAACGAAACCTTCAAAGCTATTCAAATATCCACTTGCAGATTCTACAAAAAGAGTGTTTCCAAAATGTTGTATCAAAAGAAAGGTTCAACTCTGTTAGTTGAGGACACACATCGCAAATAAGTTTCTGAGAATGCTTCTGTCTAGTTTTTACATGAAGATATTTCCTTTCTCACCATAGGCCTGAAAGCGTTTGAAATGTCCGTTTGCAGATACTACAGAAAGAGTGTTTCAAACATGCTCTATGAAAGGGAATGTTCAGTTCTGTGACGTGAATGCAAACATCACAAAGAAGTTCCTGAGAATGCTTCTCTCTAGATTTTATATGTAATCCCGTTTCCAACGAAATCCTCAAAGCTATCCAAATATCCACTTTCAGATTCCACAAAAAGAGTGTTTCAAAACTGCTCTGTAAAAAGAAAGGTTCATCTCTGTTAGTTGAATACACACATCACAAACAAGTTTCTGAGAATGCTTCTGTCTAGTTTTTATGGGAAGATATTTCCTTTTTCAACATAGGCCTCAAAGCGCTCCAAACGTCCACTTCCAGGTAGTGCAGAAAGAGTGTCTCAAACCTGGTATATAACAGGGAACATTCTACTCTGTGACTTGAATGAAAACATCACAAAGCAGTTTCTGAGAATGCTTCCGTCTAGATTTTATATGAAGATATTCCCGTTTCCAACGAAACCTTCAAAGCTATCCGAATATCCACCTGCAGATTCTACAAAAAGAGTGTTTCCAAAATGCCATATCAAAACAAAGGTTCAACTCTGTTAGTTGAGAACACACATCGCAAATAAGTTTCTGAGAATGCTTCTGTCTAGTTTTTACTTGAAGATATTTCCTTTGTCACCATAGGCCTGAAAGCGCTTGAAACGTCAGCTTGCAGATACTACAGAAAGAGTGTTTCAAACATGCTCTATGAAAGGGAATGTTCAGTCCTGTGACTTGAAGGCAAACATCACAAAGAAGTTCCTGAGAATGCTTCTCTCTAGGTTTTATATGTAATCCCGTTTCCAACGAAATCCTCAAAGCTATCCAAATATCCACTTTCAGATTCCACAAAAAGAGTGTTTCAAAACTGCTCTGTAAAAAGAAAGGTTCATCTCTGTTAGTTGAATACACACATCACAAACAAGTTTCTGAGAATGCTTCTGTCTAGTTTTTATGGGAAGATATTTCCTTTTTCAACATAGGCCTCAAAGCGCTCCAAATGTCCACTTCCAGGTAGTGCAGAAAGAGTGTTTCAAACCTGCTCTATAAAAGGGAATATTCAACTCTGTGACTTGAATGCAAACATCACAAAGCACTTTCTGAGAATGCTTCCGTCTAGATTTTATATGAAGATATTCCCGTTTCCAAGGAAATCTTCCTAGCTATCTAAATATCAACTTGCAGATTCTACTAAAGGAATGTTGCCAAAATGCTGTATCCACACAAAGGTTCAACTCTGTTAATTGAGGACATACAGCACAAAGAAGTTTCTGAGAATGCTTCTGTCTAGATTTTATATGAAGATATCCCGTGTCCAACGAAATCCTCAAAGGTATCAAAATATCCACTTGCAGATTCTACAAAAAGAGTGCTTCAAAACTGCTCCGTCAAAAGTAAGGTTCAACTCTGTTACTTGAGTACACACATCACAAGGAAGTTTCTGAGAATGCTTCTGTCTGGTTTTTAGGAGAAGATATTTCCTTTTTCAACATAGGCCTCAAAGCGCTGCAAATGTCCACTTCCAAATATTAGAAAAAGAGTGTTTCAAACCTGCTGTATGAAGGGAAGTGTTCAACTCCATGAGTTGAATGCAAACATCACAGAGAAGTTTCTGAGAATGCTTCTGTCTTGATTTCATATGAAGATATTCCCGTTTCCAACGAAAACTTCAAAGCTATCCAAATATCCACTTGCAGATTCTACAAAAAGAGTGTTTCCAAAATGTTGTATCAAAAGAAAGGTTCAACTCTGTTAGTTGAGGACACACATCGCAAATAAGTTTCTGAGAATGCTTCTGTCTAGTTTTTATTTGAAGATATTTCCTTTCTCACCACAGGCCTGAAAGCGCTTAAAACGTCCGCTTGCAGATACTACAGAAAGAGTGTTTCAAACCTGCTCTATGAAAGGGAATGTTCAGTTCTGTGACTTGAATGCAAACATCACAAAGAAGTTCCTGAGAATGCTTCTCCCTAGATTTTATATTTAATCCCGTTTCCAACGAAATCCGCAAAGCTATCCAAATATCCACTTTCAGATTCCACAAAAAGAGTGTTTCAAAACTGCTCTGTAAAAAGAAAGGTTCATCTCTGTTAGTTGAATACACACATCACAAACAAGTTTCTGAGAATGCTTCTGTCTAGTTTTTATGGGAAGATATTTCCTTTTTCATCATAGGCCTCAAAGCGCTGCAAATGTCCACTTCCAAATATTACAAAAAGAGTGTTTCAAACCTGCTGTATGAAGGGAAGTGTTCAACTCTATGAGTTGAATGCAAACATCACAGAGAAGTTTCTGAGAATGCTTCGTCTAGATTTTATATGAAGATATTCCCGTTTCCAACGAAACCTTCAAAGCTATCCGAATATCCACCTGCAGATTCTACAAAAAGAGTGTTTCCAAAATGCCGTATCAAAACAAAGGTTCAACTCTGTTAGTTGAGAACACACATGGCAAATAAGTTTCTGAGAATGCTTCTGTCTAGTTTTTACTTGAAGATATTTCCTTTCTCACCATAGGCCTGAAAGCGCTTGAAACGTCAGCTTGCAGATACTACAGAAAGAGTGTTTCAAACCTGCTCTATGAAAGGGAATGTTCAGTCCTGTGACTTGAATGCAAACATCACAAAGAAGTTCCTGAGAATGCTTCTCCCTAGATTTTATATGTAATCCCGTTTCCAACGAAATCCGCAAAGCTATCCAAATATACACTTTCAGATTCCACAAAAAGAGTGTTTCAAAACTGCTCTGTAAAAAGAAAGGTTCATCTCTGTTAGTTGAATACACACATCACAAACAAGTTTCTGAGAATGCTTCTGTCTAGTTTTTATGGGAAGATATTTCCTTTTTCAACATAGGCCTCAAAGCGCTCCAAATGTCCACTTCCAGGTAGTGCAGAAAGAGTGTTTCAAACCTGCTCTATAAAAGGGAATATTCAACTCTGTGACTTGAATGCAAACATCACAAAGCACTTTCTGAGAATGCTTCCGTCTAGATTTTATATGAAGATATTCCCGTTTCCAAGGAAATCTTCCTAGCTATCTAAATATCAACTTGCAGATTCTACTAAAGGAATGTTTCCAAAATGCTGTATCCACACAAAGGTTCAACTCTGTTAATTGAGGACATACAGCACAAAGAAGTTTCTGAGAATGCTTCTGTCTAGTTTTTACTTGAAGATATTTCCTTTCTCACCATAGGCCTGAAAGCGCTTGAAACGTCAGCTTGCAGATACTACAGAAAGAGTGTTTCAAACCTGCTCTATGAAAGGGAATGTTCAGTTCTGTGACTTGAATGCAAACATCACAAAGAAGTTGCCTGAGAATGCTTCTGTCTAGATTTTATATGAAGATATCCCGTGTCCAACGAAATCCTCAAAGGTATCAAAATATCCACTTGCAGATTCTACAAAAAGAGTGCTTCAAAACTGCTCCGTCAAAAGTAAGGTTCAACTCTGTTACTTGAGTACACACATCACAAGGAAGTTTCTGAGAATGCTTCTGTCTGGTTTTTAGGAGAAGATATTTCCTTTTTCAACATAGGCCTCAAAGCGCTGCAAATGTCCACTTCCAAATATTACAAAAAGAGTGTTTCAAACCTGCTGTATGAAGGGAAGTGTTCAACTCTATGAGTTGAATGCAAACATCACAGAGAAGTTTCTGAGAATGCTTCTGTCTTGATTTCATATGAAGATATTCCCGTTTCCAACGAAACCTTCAAAGCTATCCAAATATCCACTTGCAGATTCTACAAAAAGAGTGTTTCCAAAATGTTGTATCAAAAGAAAGGTTCAACTCTGTTAGTTGAGGACACACATCGCAAATAAGTTTCTGAGAATGCTTCTGTCTAGTTTTTATTTGAAGATATTTCTTTTCTCACCACAGGCCTGAAAGCGCTTAAAACGTCCGCTTGCAGATACTACAGAAAGAGTGTTTCAAACCTGCTCTATGAAAGGGAATGTTCAGTTCTGTGACTTGAATGCAAACATCACAAAGAAGTTCCTGATAATGCTTCTCCCTAGATTTTATATGTAATCCCGTTTCCAACGAAATCCGCAAAGCTATCCAAATATCCACTTTCAGATTACACAAAAAGAGTGTTTCAAAACTGCTCTGTAAAAAGAAAGGTTCATCTCTGTTAGTTGAATACACACATCACAAACAAGTTTCTGAGAATGCTTCTGTCTAGTTTTTATGGGAAGATATTACCTTTTTCATCATAGGCCTCAAAGCGCTGCAAATGTCCACTTCCAAATATTACAAAAAGAGTGTTTCAAACCTGCTGTATGAAGGGAAGTGTTCAACTCTATGAGTTGAATGCAAACATCACAGAGAAGTTTCTGAGAATGCTTCTGTCTTGATTTTATTTGAAGATATTCCCGTTTCCAACGAAACCTTCAAAGCTATTCAAATATCCACTTGCAGATTCTACAAAAAGAGTGTTTCCAAAATGTTGTATCAAAAGAAAGGTTCAACTCTGTTAGTTGAGGACACACATCGCAAATAAGTTTCTGAGAATGCTTCTGTCTAGTTTTTACTTGAAGATATTTCCTTTCTCACAATAGGCCTGAAAGCGTTTGAAATGTCCGTTTGCAGATACTACAGAAAGAGTGTTTCAAACATGCTCTATGAAAGGGAATGTTCAGTTCTGTGACTTGAATGCAAACATCACAAAGAAGTTCCTGAGAGTGCTTCTCCCTAGATTTTATATGTAATCCCGTTTCCAACGAAATCCGCAAAGCTATCCAAATATCCACTTTCAGATTCCACAAAAAGAGTGTTTCAAAACTGCTCTGTAAAAAGAAAGGTTCATCTCTGTTAGTTGAATACACACATCACAAACAAGTTTCTGAGAATGCTTCTGTCTAGTTTTTATGGGAAGATATTACCTTTTTCATCATAGGCCTCAAAGCGCTGCAAAAGTCCACTTACAAATATTACAAAAAGAGTGTTTCAAACCTGCTGTATGAAGGGAAGTGTTCAACTCTATGAGTTGAATGCAAACATCACAGAGAAGTTTCTGAGAATGCTTCTGTCTTGATTTTATATGAAGATATTCCCGTTTCCAACGAAACCTTCAAAGCTATTCAAATATCCACTTGCAGATTCTACAAAAAGAGTGTTTCCAAAATGTTGTATCAAAAGAAAGGTTCAACTCTGTTAGTTGAGGACACACATCGCAAATAAGTTTCTGAGAATGCTTCTGTCTAGTTTTTACTTGAAGACATTTCCTTTCTCACCATAGGCCTGAAAGCGTTTGAAATGTCCGTTTGCAGATACTACAGAAAGAGTGTTTCAAACATGCTCTATGAAAGGGAATGTTCAGTTCTGTGACGTGAATGCAAACATCACAAAGAAGTTCCTGAGAATGCTTCTCTCTAGATTTTATATGTAATCCCGTTTCCAACGAAATCCTCAAAGCTATCCAAATATCCACTTTCAGATTCCACAAAAAGAGTGTTTCAAAACTGCTCTGTAAAAAGAAAGGTTCATCTCTGTTAGTTGAATACACACATCACAAACAAGTTTCTGAGAATGCTTCTGTCTAGTTTTTATGGGAAGATATTTCCTTTTTCAACATAGGCCTCAAAGCGCTCCAAATGTCCACTTCCAGGTAGTGCAGAAAGAGTGTTTCAAACCTGCTCTATAAAAGGGAATATTCAACTCTGTGACTTGAATGCAAACATCACAAAGCACTTTCTGAGAATGCTTCCGTCTAGATTTTATATGAAGATATTCCCGTTTCCAAGGAAATCTTCCTAGCTATCTAAATATCAACTTGCATATCCTACTAAAGGAGTGTTTCCAAAATGCTGTATCCACACAAAGGTTCAACTCTGTTAATTGAGGACATACAGCACAAAGAAGATTCTGAGAATGCTTCTGTCTAGATTTTATATGAAGATATCCCGTTTCCAAAGAAATCCTCAAAGGTGTCCAAATATCTACTTCCAGATTCTACAAAAAGACTGTTTCAAAACGGCTCTGTCAAAAGTAAGGTTCAACTCTGTTACTTGAGTACACACATCACAAGGAAGTTTCTGAGAATGCTTCTGTCTGGTTTTTAGGAGAAGATATTTCCTTTTTCAACATAGGCCTCAAAGCGCTGCAAATGTCCACTTCCAAATATTACAAAAAGAGTGTTTCAAACCTGCTCTATGAAGGGAAGTGTTCACCTCTATGAGTTGAATGCAAACATCACAGAGAAGTTTCTGAGAATGCTTCTGTCTTGATTTTATATGAAGATATTCCCGTTTCCAACGAAACCTTCAAAGCTATCCAAATATCCACTTGCAGATTCTACAAAAAGAGTGTTTCCAAAATGTTGTATCAAAACAAAGGTTCAACTCTGTTAGTTGAGGACACACATCGCAAATAAGTTTCTGAGAATGCTTCTGTCTAGTTTTCATTTGAAGATATTTCCTTTCTTACCATAGGCCTGAAAGCGCTTGAAATGTCCGTTTGCAGATGCTACAGAAAGAGTGTTTCAAACATGCTCTATGAAAGGGAATGTTCAGTTCTGTGACGTGAATGCAAACATCACAAAGAAGTTCCTGAGAATGCTTCTCTCTAGATTTTATATGTAATCCCGTTTCCAACGAAATCCTCAAAGCTATCCAAATATCCACTTTCAGATTCCACAAAAAGAGTGTTTCAAAACTGCTCTGTAAAAAGAAAGGTTCATCTCTGTTAGTTGAATACACACATCACAAACAAGTTTCTGAGAATGCTTCTGTCTAGTTTTTATGGGAAGATATTTCCTTTTTCAACATAGGCCTCAAAGAGCTCCAAATGTCCACTTCCAGGTAGTGCAGAAAGAGTGTTTCAAACCTGCTCTATAAAAGGGAATATTCAACTCTGTGACTTGAATGCAAACATCACAAAGCACTTTCTGAGAATGCTTCCGTCTACATTTTATATGAAGATATTCCCGTTTCCAAGGAAATCTTCCTAGCTATCTAAATATCAACTTGCATATCCTACTAAAGGAGTGTTTCCAAAATGCTGTATCCACACAAAGGTTCAACTCTGTTAATTGAGGACATACAGCACAAAGAAGTTTCTGAGAATGCTTCTGTCTAGATTTTATATGAAGATATCCCGTTTCCAAAGAAATCCTCAAAGGTGTCCAAATATCTACTTCCAGATTCTACAAAAAGACTGTTTCAAAACGGCTCTGTCAAAAGTAAGGTTCAACTCTGTTACTTGAGTACACACATCACAAGGAAGTTTCTGAGAATGCTTCTGTCTGGTTTTTAGGAGAAGATATTTCCTTTTTCAACATAGGCCTCAAAGCGCTGCAAATGTCCACTTCCAAATATTACAAAAAGAGTGTTTCAAACCTGCTCTATGAAGGGAAGTGTTCAACTCTATGAGTTGAATGCAAACATCACAGAGAAGTTTCTGAGAATGCTTCTGTCTTGATTTTATATGAAGATATTCCCGTTTCCAACGAAACCTTCAAAGCTATCCAAATACCCACTTGCAGATTCTACAAAAAGAGTGTTTCCAAAATGTTGTATCAAAACAAAGGTTCAACTCTGTTAGTTGAGGACACACATCGCAAATAAGTTTCTGAGAATGCTTCTGTCTAGTTTTTATTTGAAGATATTTCCTTTCTTACCATAGGCCTGAAAGCGCTTGAAATGTCCGTTTGCAGATACTACAGAAAGAGTGTTTCAAACATGCTCTATGAAAGGGAATGTTCAGATCTGTGACGTGAATGCAAACATCACAAAGAAGTTCCTGAGAATGCTTCTCTCTAGATTTTATATGTAATCCCGTTTCCAACGAAATCCTCAAAGCTATCCAAATATCCACTTTCAGATTCCACAAAAAGAGTGTTTCAAAACTGCTCTGTAAAAAGAAAGGTTCATCTCTGTTAGTTGAATACACACATCACAAACAAGTTTCTGAGAATGCTTCTGTCTAGTTTTTATGGGAGGATATTTCCTTTTTCAACATAGGCCTCAAAGCGCTCCAAATGTCCACTTCCAGGTAGTGCAGAAAGAGTGTTTCAAACCTGCTGTATAAAAGGGAATATTCAACTCTGTGTCTTGAATGCAAACATCACAAAACACTTTCTGAGAATGCTTCCGTCTAGATTTTATATGAAGATATTCCCGTTTCCAACGAAATCTTCCTAGCTATATAAATATCAACTTGCAGATTCTACTAAAGGAATGTTTCCAAAATGCTGTATCCACACAAAGGTTCAACTCTGTTAATTGAGGACATACAGCACAAAGAAGTTTCTGAGAATGCTTCTGTCTAGATTTTATATGAAGATATCCCGTGTCCAACGAAATCCTCAAAGGTATCAAAATATCCACTTGCAGATTCTACAAAAAGAGTGCTTCAAAACTGCTCTGTCAAAAGGAAGGTTCAACTCTGTTACTTGAGTACACACATCACAAGGAAGTTTCTGAGAATGCTTCTGTCTGGTTTTTAGGAGAAGATATTTCCTTTTTCAACATAGGACTCAAAGCGCTGCAAATGTCCACTTCCAAATATTAGAAAAAGAGTGTTTCAAACCTGCTGTATGAAGGGAAGTGTTCAACTCTATGAGTTGAATGCAAACATCACAGAGAAGTTTCTGAGAATGCTTCTGTCTTGATTTTATATGAAGATATTCCCGTTTCCAACGAAACCTTCAAAGCTATCCAAATATCCACCTGCAGATCCTACAAAAAGAGTGTTTCCAAAATGCTGTATCAAAACAAAGGTTCAACTCTGTTAGTTGAGAACACACATCGCAAATAAGTTTCTGAGAATGCTTCTGTCTAGTTTTTATTTGAAGATATTTCCTTTTTCACCACAGGCCTGAAAGCGCTTGAAACGTCCGCTTGCAGATACTACAGAAAGAGTGTTTCAAACCTGCTCTATGAAAGGGAATGTTCAGTTCTGTGACTTGAATGCAAACATCACAAAGAAGTTCCTGAGAATGCTTCTGTCTAGATTTTATATGAAGATATCCCGTGTCTAACGAAATCCTCAAAGGTATCAAAATATCCACTTGCAGATTCTACAAAAAGAGTGCTTCAAAACTGCTCTGTCAAAATGAAGGTTCAACTCTGTTACTTGAGTACACACATCACAAGGAAGTTTCTGAGAATGCTTCTGTCTGGTTTTTAGGAGAAGATATTTCCTTTTTCAACATAGGCCTCAAAGCGCTGCAAATGTCCACTTCCAAATATTACAAAAAGAGTGTTTCAAACCTGCTGTATGAAGGGAAGTGTTCAACTCTATGAGTTGAATGCAAACATCACAGAGAAGTTTCTGAGAATGCTTCTGTCTTGATTTTATATAAAGATATTCCCGTTTCCAACGAAACCTTCAAAGCTATCCAAATATCCACTTGCAGATTCTACAAAAAGAGTGTTTCCAAAATGTTGTATCAAAAGAAAGGTTCAACTCTGTTAGTTGAGGACACACATCGCAAATAAGTTTCTGAGAATGCTTCTGTCTAGTTTTTATTTGAAGATATTTCCTTTCTCACCACAGGCCTGAAAGCGCTTAAAACGTCCGCTTGCAGATACTACAGAAAGAGTGTTTCAAACATGCTCTATGAAAGGGAATGTTCAGTTCTGTGACTTGAATGCAAACATCACAAAGAAGTTCCTGAGAATGCTTCTCCCTAGATTTTATATGTAATCCCGTTTCCAACGAAATCCGCAAAGCTATCCAAATATCCACTTTCAGATTCCACAAAAAGAGTGTTTCAAAACTGCTCTGTAAAAAGAAAGGTTCATCTCTGTTAGTTGAATACACACATCACAAACAAGTTTCTGAGAATGCTTCTGTCTAGTTTTTATGGGAAGATATTTCCTTTTTCATCATAGGCCTCAAAGCGCTGCAAATGTCCACTTCCAAATATTACAAAAAGAGTGTTTCAAACCTGCTGTATGAAGGGAAGTGTTCAACTCTACGAGTTGAATGCAAACATCACAGAGAAGTTTCTGAGAATGCTTCTGTCTTGATTTTATATGAAGATATTCCCGTTTCCAACGAAACCTTCAAAGCTATCCGAATATCCACCTGCAGATTCTACAAAAAGAGTGTTTCCAAAATGCCATATCAAAACAAAGGTTCAACTCTGTTAGTTGAGAACACACATCTCAAATAAGTTTCTGAGAATGCTTCTGTCTAGTTTTTACTTGAAGATATTTCCTTTCTCACCATAGGCCTGAAAGCGCTTGAAACGTCAGCTTGCAGATACTACAGAAAGACTGTTTCAAACCTGCTCTATGAAAGGGAATGTTCAGTTCTGTGACTTGAATGCAAACATCACAAAGAAGTTCCTGAGAATGCTTCTCTCTAGGTTTTATATGTAATCCCGTTTCCAACGAAATCCTCAAAGCTATCCAAATATCCACTTTCAGATTCCACAAAAAGAGTGTTTCAAAACTGCTCTGTAAAAAGAAAGGTTCATCTCTGTTAGTTGAATACACACATCACAAACAAGTTTCTGAGAATGCTTCTGTCTAGTTTTTATGGGAAGATATTTCCTTTTTCCACATAGGCCTCAAAGCGCTCCAAACGTCCACTTCCAGGTAGTGCAGAAAGAGTGTCTCAAACCTGGTATATAACAGGGAACATTCTACTCTGTGACTTGAATGAAAACATCACAAAGCACTTTCTGAGAATGCTTCCGTCTAGATTTTATATGAAGATATTCCCGTTTCCAACGAAACCTTCAAAGCTATCCGAATATCCACCTGCAGATTCTACAAAAAGAGTGTTTCCAAAATGCCGTATCAAAACAAAGGTTCAACTCTGTTAGTTGAGAACACATATGGCAAATAAGTTTCTGAGAATGCTTCTGTCTAGTTTTTACTTGAAGATATTTCCTTTGTCACCATAGGCCTGAAAGCGCTTGAAACGTCAGCTTGCAGATACTACAGAAAGAGTGTTTCAAACCTGCTCTATGAAAGGGAATGTTCAGTCCTGTGACTTGAAGGCAAACATCACAAAGAAGTTCCTGAGAATGCTTCTCTCTAGGTTTTATATGTAATCCCGTTTCCAACGAAATCCTCAAAGCTATCCAAATATCCACTTTCAGATTCCACAAAAAGAGTGTTTCAAAACTGCTCTGTAAAAAGAAAGGTTCATCTCTGTTAGTTGAATACACACATCACAAACAAGTTTCTGAGAATGCTTCTGTCTAGTTTTTATGGGAAGATATTTCCTTTTTCAACATAGGCCTCAAAGCGCTCCAAATGTCCACTTCCAGGTAGTGCAGAAAGAGTGTTTCAAACCTGCTCTATAAAAGGGAATATTCAACTCTGTGACTTGAATGCAAACATCACAAAGCACTTTCTGAGAATGCTTCCGTCTAGATTTTATATGAAGATATTCCCGTTTCCAAGGAAATCTTCCTAGCTATCTAAATATCAACTTGCAGATTCTACTAAAGGAATGTTTCCAAAATGCTGTATCCACACAAAGGTTCAACTCTGTTAATTGAGGACATACAGCACAAAGAAGTTTCTGAGAATGCTTCTGTCTAGATTTTATATGAAGATATCCCGTGTCTAACGAAATCCTCAAAGGTATCAAAATATCCACTTGCAGATTCTACAAAAAGAGTGCTTCAAAACTGCTCTGTCAAAATGAAGGTTCAACTCTGTTACTTGAGTACACACATCACAAGAAAGATTCTGAGAATGCTTCTGTCTGGTTTTTAGGAGAAGATATCTCCTTTTTCACCATAGGCTTCAAAGCGCTGCCAATGTCCACTTCCAAATATTACAAAAAGAGTATTTCAAACCAGCTCTATGAAAGGAAGTGTTCAACTCTATGAGTTGAATGCAAACAGAACAGAGAAGTTTCTGAGAATGCTTCTGTCTTGATTTTATATGAAGATATTCCCGTTTCCAAAGAAACCTTCAAAGCTATCCAAATATCCACCTGCAGATCCTACAAAAAGAGTGTTTCCAAAATGCTGATTCAAAACAAAGGTTCAACTCTGTTAGCTGAGAACACACATCGCAAATAAGTTTCTGAGAATGCTTCTGTCTAGTTTTTATTTGAAGATATTTCCTTTTTCACCACAGGCCTGAAAGCGCTTGAAACGTCCACTTGCAGATACTACAGAAAGAGTGTTTCAAACCTGCTCTATGAAAGGGAATGTTCAGTTCTGTGACTTGAATGCAAACATCACAAAGAAGTTCCTGAGAATGCTTCTCCCTAGATTTTATATGTAATCCCGTTTCCAACGAAATCCTCAAAGCTATCCAAATATCCACTTTCAGATTCCACAAAAAGAGTGTTTCAAAACTGCTCTGTAAAAAGAAAGGTTCATCTCTGTTAGTTGAATACACACATCACAAACAAGTTTCTGAGAATGATTCTGTCTAGTTTTTATGGGAAGATATTTCCTTTTTCAACATAGGCCTCAAAGCGCTCCAAATGTCCACTTCCAGGTAGTGCACAGAGTGTTTCAAACCGGCTCTGTGAAAGGAAGTCTTCAACTCTATGAGTTGAATGCAAACATCACAGAGAAGTTTCTGAGAATGCTTCTGTCTTGATTTTATATGAAGATATTCCCGTTTCCAACGAAACCTTAAAAGCTATCCAAATATCCACCTGCAGATCCTACAAAAAGAGTGTTTCCAAAATGCTGTATCAAAACAAAGGTTCAACTCTGTTAGTTGAGGACACACATCGCAAATAAGTTTCTGAGAATGGTTCCGTCTAGTTTTTATTTGAAGATATTTCCTTTTTCTCCACAGGCCTGAAAGCGCTTGAAACGTCCGCTTGCAGATACTACTGAAAGAGTGTTTCAAACCTGCTCTATGAAAGGGAATGTTCAGTTCTGTGACTTGAATGCAAACATCACAAAGAAGTTCCTGAGAATGCTTCTCTCTAGATTTTATATGTAATCCCGTTTCCAACGAAATCCTCAAAGCTATCCAAATATCCACTTTCAGATTCCACAAAAAGAGTGTTTCAAAACTGCTCTGTAAAAAGAAAGGTTCATCTCTGTTAGTTGAATACACACATCACAAACAAGTTTCTGAGAATGCTTCTGTCTGGTTTTTAGGAGAAGATATTTCCTTTTTCAACATAGGCCTCAAAGCGCTGCAAATGTCCACTTCCAAATATTACAAAAAGAGTGTTTCAAACCTGCTGTATGAAGGGAAGTGTTCAACTCTATGAGTTGAATGCAAACATCACAGAGAAGTTTCTGAAAATGCTTCTGTCTTGATTTTATATGAAGATATTCCCGTTTCCAACGAAACCTTCAAAGCTATCCAAATATCCACTTGCAGATTCTACAAAAAGAGTGTTTCCAAAATGTTGTATCAAAACAAAGGTTCAACTCTGTTAGTTGAGGACACACATCGCAAATAAGTTTCTGAGAATGCTTCTGTCTAGTTTTTATTTGAAGATATTTCCTTTCTCACCATAGGCCTGAAAGCGCTTGAAATGTCCGTTTGCAGATACTACAGAAAGAGTGTTTCAAACATGCTCTATGAAAGGGAATGTTCAGTTCTGTGACGTGAATGCAAACATCACAAAGAAGTTCCTGAGAATGCTTCTCTCCAGATTTTCTATGTAATCCCGTTTCCAACGAAATCCTCAAAGCTCTCCAAATATCCACTTTCAGATTCCACAAAAAGAGTGTTTCAAAACTGCTCTGTAAAAAGAAAGGTTCATCTCTGTTAGTTGAATACACACATCACAAACAAGTTTCTGAGAATGCATCTGTCTAGTTTTTATGGGAAGATATTTCCTTTTTCATCATAGGCCTCAAAGCGCTACAAATGTCCACTTCCAGGTAGTGCAGAAAGAGTGTCTCAAACCTGCTCTATAAAAGGGAACATTCTACTCTGTGACTTGAATGAAAACATCACAAAGCAGTTTCTGAGAATGCTTCCGTCTAGCATTTTATATGAAGATATTCCCGTTTCCAACGAAACCTTCAAAGCTATCCGAATATCCACCTGCAGATTCTACAAAAAGAGTGTTTCCAAAATGCCGTATCAAAACAAAGGTTCAACTCTGTTAGTTGAGAACACACATGGCAAATAAGTTTCTGAGAATGCTTCTGTCTAGTTTTTACTTGAAGATATTTCCTTTCTCACCATAGGCCTGAAAGCGCTTGAAACGTCAGCTTGCAGATACTACAGAAAGAGTGTTTCAAACCTGCTCTATGAAAGGGAATGTTCAGTTCTGTGACTTGAATGCAAACATCACAAAGAAGTTCCTGAGAATGCTTCTCTCTAGGTTTTATATGTAATCCCGTTTCCAACGAAATCCTCAAAGCTATCCAAATATCCACTTTCAGATTCCACAAAAAGAGTGTTTCAAAACTGCTCTGTAAAAAGAAAGGTTCATCTCTGTTAGTTGAATACACACATCACAAACAAGTTTCTGAGAATGCTTCTGTCTAGTTTTTATGGGAAGATATTTCCTTTTTCAACATAGGCCTCAAAGCGCTCCAAACGTCCACTTCCAGGTAGTGCAGAAAGAGTGTCTCAAACCTGGTGTATAACAGGGAACATTCTACTCTGTGACTTGAATGAAAACATCACAAAGCAGTTTCTGAGAATGCTTCCGTCTAGATTTTATATGAAGATATTCCCGTTTCCAACGAAACCTTCAAAGCTATCCGAATATCCACCTGCAGATTCTACAAAAAGAGTGTTTCCAAAATGCCGTATCCACAGAAAGGTTCAACTCTGTTAGTTGAGAACACACATGGCAAATAAGTTTCTGAGAATGCTGCTGTCTAGTTTTTATTTGAAGATATTTCCTTTCTCACCATAGGCCTGAAAGCATTTGAAATGTCCGTTTGCAGATACTACAGAAAGAGTGTTTCAAACATGCTCTATGAAAGGGAATGTTCAGTTCTGTGACGTGAATGCAAACATCACAAAGAAGTTCCTGAGAATGCTTCTCTCTAGATTTTATATGTAATCCCGTTTCCAACGAAATCCTCAAAGCTATCCAAATATCCACTTTCAGATTCCACAAAAAGAGTGTTTCAAAACTGCTCTGTAAAAAGAAAGGTTCATCTCTGTTAGTTGAATACACACATCACAAACAAGTTTCTGAGAATGCTTCTGTCTAGTTTTTATGGGAAGATATTTCCTTTTTCATCATAGGCCTCAAAGCGCTGCAAATGTCCACTTCCAGGTAGTGCAGAAAGAGTGTCTGAAACCTGGTATATAACAGGGAAGATTCTACTCTGTGACTTGAATGAAAACATCACAAAGCAGTTTCTGAGAATGCTTCCGTCTAGATTTTATATGAAGATATTCCCGTTTCCAACGAAACCTTCAAAGCTATCGGAATATCCACCTGCAGATTCTACAAAAAGAGTGTTTCCAAAATGCCGTTTCAAAACAAAGGTTCAACTCTGTTAGTTGAGAACACACATGGCAAATAAGTTTCTGAGAATGCTTCTGTCTAGTTTTTACTTGAAGATATTTCCTTTCTCACCATAGGCCTGAAAGCGCTTGAAACGTCAGCTTGCAGATACTACAGAAAGAGTGTTTCAAACCTGCTCTATGAAAGGGAATGTTCAGTCCTGTGACTTGAAGGCAAACATCACAAAGAAGTTCCTGAGAATGCTTCTCTCTAGGTTTTATATGTAATCCCGTTTCCAACGAAATCCTCAAAGCTATCCAAATATCCACTTTCAGATTCCACAAAAAGAGTGTTTCAAAACTGCTCTGTAAAAAGAAAGGTTCATCTCTGTTAGTTGAATACACACATCACAAACAAGTTTCTGAGAATGCTTCTGTCTAGTTTTTATGGGAAGATATTTCGTTTTTCAACATAGGCCTCAAAGCGCTCCAAATGTCCACTTCCAGGTAGTGCAGAAAGAGTGTTTCAAACCTGCTCTATAAAAGGGAATATTCAACTCTGTGACTTGAATGCAAACATCACAAAGCACTTTCTGAGAATGCTTCCGTCTAGATTTTATATGAAGATATTCCCGTTTCCAAGGAAATCTTCCTAGCTATCTAAATATCAACTTGCAGATTCTACTAAAGGAATGTTTCCAAAATGCTGTATCCACACAAAGGTTCAACTCTGTTAATTGAGGACATACAGCACAAAGAAGTTTCTGAGAATGCTTCTGTCTAGATTTTATATGAAGACATCCCGTTTCCAAAGAAATCCTCAAAGGTGTCCAAATATCTACTTCCAGATTCTACAAAAAGACTGTTTCAAAACGGCTCTGTCAAAAGTAAGGTTCAACTCTGTTACTTGAGTACACACATCACAAGGAAGTTTCTGAGAATGCTTCTGTCTGGTTTTTAGGAGAAGATATTTCCTTTTTCAACATAGGCCTCAAAGCGCTGCAAATGTCCACTTCCAAATATTACAAAAAGAGTGTTTCAAACCTGCTCTATGAAGGGAAGTGTTCAACTCTATGAGTTGAATGCAAACATCACAGAGAAGTTTCTGAGAACGCTTCCGTCTAGATTTTATATGAAGATATTCCCGTTTCCAACGAAACCTTCAAAGCTATCCGAATATCCACCTGCAGATTCTACAAAAAGAGTGTTTCCAAAATGCCATATCAAAACAAAGGTTCAACTCTGTTAGTTGAGAACACACATCTCAAATATGTTTCTGAGAATGCTTCTGTCTAGTTTTTACTTGAAGATATTTCCTTTCTCACCATAGGCCTGAAAGCGCTTGAAACGTCAGCTTGCAGATACTACAGAAAGAGTGTTTCAAACCTGCTCTATGAAAGGGAATGTTCAGTCCTGTGACTTGAAGGCAAACATCACAAAGAAGTTCCTGAGAATGCTTCTCTCTAGGTTTTATATGTAATCCCGTTTCCAACGAAATCCTCAAAGCTATCCAAATATCCACTTTCAGATTCCACAAAAAGAGTGTTTCAAAACTGCTCTGTAAAAAGAAAGGTTCATCTCTGTTAGTTGAATACACACATCACAAACAAGTTTCTGAGAATGTTTCTGTCTAGTTTTTATGAGAAGATATTTCCTTTTTCAACATAGGCCTCAAAGCGCTCCAAATGTCCACTTCCAGGTAGTGCACAGAGTGTTTCAAACATGCTCTATGAAAGGAAGTGTTCAACTCTATGAGTTGAATGCAAACATCACAGAGAAGTTTCTGAGAATGCTTCCATCTAGATTTTATATGAAGATATTCCCGTTTCCAAGGAAATCTTCCTAGCTATCTAAATATCAACTTGCAGATTCTTCTAAAGGAATGTTTCCAAAATGCTGTATCCACACAAAGGTTCAACTCTGTTAATTGAGGACATACAGCACAAAGAAGTTTCTGAGAATGCTTCTGTCTAGATTTTATATGAAGATATCCCGTGTCCAACGAAATCCTCAAAGGTATCAAAATATCCACTTGCAGATTCTACAAAAAGAGTGCTTCAAAACTGCTCTGTCAAAAGGAAGGTTCAACTCTGTTACTTGAGTACACACATCACAAGGAAGTTTCTGAGAATGCTTCTGTCTGGTTTTTAGGAGAAGATATTTCCTTTTTCAACATAGGCCTCAAAGCGCTGCAAATGTCCACTTCCAAATATTACAAAAAGAGTGTTTCAAACCTGCTGTATGAAGGGAAGTGTTCAACTCTATGAGTTGAATGCAAACATCACAGAGAAGTTTCTGAGAATGCTTCTGTCTTGATTTCATATGAAGATATTCCCGTTTCCAACGAAACCTTCAAAGCTATCCAAATATCCACTTGCAGATTCTACAAAAAGAGTGTTTCCAAAATGTTGTATCAAAAGAAAGGTTCAACTCTGTTAGTTGAGGACACACATCGCAAATAAGTTTCTGAGAATGCTTCTGTCTAGTTTTTATTTGAAGATATTTCCTTTCTCACCACAGGCCTGAAAGCGCTTAAAACGTCCGCTTGCAGATACTACAGAAAGAGTGTTTCAAACCTGCTCTATGAAAGGGAATGTTCAGTTCTGTGACTTGAATGCAAACATCACAAAGAAGTTCCTGAGAATGCTTCTGTCTAGATTTTATATGAAGATATCCCGTGTCCAACGAAATCCTCAAAGGTATCAAAATATCCACTTGCAGATTCTACAAAAAGAGTGCTTCAAAACTGCTCTGTCAAAAGGAAGGTTCAACTCTGTTACTGGAGTACACACATCACAAGGAAGTTTCTGAGAATGCTTCTGTCTGGTTTTTAGGAGAAGATATTTCCTTTTTCAACATAGGCCTCAAAGCGCTGCAAATGTCCACTTCCAAATGTTACAAAAAGAGTGTTTCAAACCTGCTGTATGAAGGGAAGTGTTCAACTCTATGAGTTGAATGCAAACATCACAGAGAAGTTTCTGAGAATGCTTCTGTCTTGATTTTATATGAAGATATTCCCGTTTCCAACGAAACCTTCAAAGCTATTCAAATATCCACTTGCAGATTCTACAAAAAGAGTGTTTCCAAAATGTTGTATCAAAAGAAAGGTTCAACTCTGTTAGTTGAGGACACACATCGCAAATAAGTTTCTGAGAATGCTTCTGTCTAGTTTTTATTTGAAGATATTTCCTTTCTCACCATAGGCCTGAAAGCGTTTGAAATGTCCGTTTGTAGATACTACAGAAAGAGTGTTTCAAACATGCTCTATGAAAGGGAATGTTCAGTTCTGTGACGTGAATGCAAACATCACAAAGAAGTTCCTGAGAATGCTTCTCTCTAGATTTTATATGTAATCCCGTTTCCAACGAAATCCTCAAAGCTATCCAAATATCCACTTTCAGATTCCACAAAAAGAGTGTTTCAAAACTGCTCTGTAAAAAGAAAGGTTCATCTCTGTTAGTTGAATACACACATCACAAACAAGTTTCTGAGAATGCTTCTGTCTAGTTTTTATGGGAAGATATTTCCTTTTTCATCATAGGCCTCAAAGCGCTGCAAATGTCCACTTCCAGGTAGTGCAGAAAGAGTGTCTCAAACCTGGTATATAACAGGGAACATTCTACTCTGTGACTTGAATGAAAACATCACAAAGCAGTTTCTGAGAATGCTTCCGTCTAGATTTTATATGAAGATATTCCCGTTTCCAACGAAACCTTCAAAGCTATCCGAATATCCACCTGCAGATTCTACAAAAAGAGTGTTTCCAAAATGCCGTATCAAAACAAAGGTTCAACTCTGTTAGTTGAGAACACACATGGCAAATAAGTTTCTGAGAATGCTTCTGTCTAGTTTTTACTTGAAGATATTTCCTTTCTCACCATAGGCCTGAAAGCGCTTGAAACGTCAGCTTGCAGATACTACAGAAAGAGTGTTTCAAACCTGCTCTATGAAAGGGAATGTTCAGTTCTGTGACTTGAATGCAAACATCACAAAGAAGTTCCTGAGAATGCTTCTCTCTAGGTTTTATATGTAATCCCGTTTCCAACGAAATCCTCAAAGCTATCCAAATATCCACTTTCAGATTCCACAAAAAGAGTGTTTCAAAACTGCTCTGTAAAAAGAAAGGTTCATCTCTGTTAGTTGAATACACACATCACAAACAAGTTTCTGAGAATGCTTCTGTCTAGTTTTTATGGGAAGATATTTCCTTTTTAAACATAGGCCTCAAAGCGCTCCAAACGTCCACTTCCAGGTAGTGCAGAAAGAGTGTCTCAAACCTGGTATATAACAGGGAACATTCTACTCTGTGACTTGAATGAAAACATCACAAAGCAGTTTCTGAGAATGCTTCCGTCTAGATTATATATGAAGATATTCCCGTTTCCAAGGAAATCTTCCTAGCTATCTAAATATCAACTTGCAGATTCTACTAAAGGAATGTTTCCAAAATGCTGTATCCACACAAAGGTTCAACTCTGTTAATTGAGGACATACAGCACAAAGAAGTTTCTGAGAATGCTTCTGTCTAGATTTTATATGAAGATATCCCGTGTCCAACGAAATCCTCAAAGGTATCAAAATATCCACTTGCAGATTCTACAAAAAGAGTGCTTCAAAACTGCTCTGTCAAAAGGAAGGTTCAACTCTGTTACTTGAGTACACACATCACAAGGAAGTTTCTGAGAATGCTTCCTGTCTAGTTTTTATGGGAAGATATTTCCTTTTTCATCATAGGCCTCAAAGCGCTGCAAATGTCCACTTCCAAATATTACAAAAAGAGTGTTTCAAACCTGCTGTATGAAGGGAAGTGTTCAACTCTATGAGTTGAATGCAAACATCACAGAGAAGTTTCTGAGAATGCTTCTGTCTTGATTTTATATGAAGATATTCCCGTTTCCAACGAAACCTTCAAAGCTATCCAAATATCCACTTGCAGATTCTACAAAAAGAGTGTTTGCAAAATGCTGTATCCAAACAAAGGTTCAACTCTTTTAGTTGAGAACACACATCGCAAATAAGTTTCTGAGAATGCTTCTGTCTAGTTTTTATTTGAAGATATTTCCTTTTCACCACAGGCCTGAAAGCGCTTGAAACGTCCGCTTGCAGATACTACAGAAAGAGTGTTTCAAACCTGCTCTATGAAAGGGAATGTTCAGTTCTGTGACTTGAATGCAAACATCACAAAGAAGTTCCTGAGAATGCTTCTCCCTAGATTTTATATGTAATCCCGTTTCCAACGAAATCCGCAAAGCTATCCAAATATCCACTTTCAGATTCCACAAAAAGAGTGTTTCAAAACTGCTCGGTAAAAAGAAAGGTTCATCTCTGTAAGTTGAATACACACATCACAAACAAGTTTCTGAGAATGCTTCTGTCTAGTTTTTATGGGAAGATATTTCCTTTTTCATCATAGGCCTCAAAGCGCTGCAAATGTCCACTTCCAAATATTACAAAAAGAGTGTTTCAAACCTGCTGTATGAAGGGAAGTGTTCAACTCTATGAGTTGAATGCAAACATCACAGAGAAGTTTCTGAGAATGCTTCTGTCTTGATTTTATATGAAGATATTCCCGTTTCCAACGAAACCTTCAAAGCTATCCGAATATCCACCTGCAGATTCTACAAAAAGAGTGTTTCCAAAATGCCATATCAAAACAAAGGTTCAACTCTGTTAGTTGAGAACACACATCTCAAATAAGTTTCTGAGAATGCTTCTGTCTAGTTTTTACTTGAAGATATTTCCTTTCTCACCATAGGCCTGAAAGCGCTTGAAACGTCAGCTTGCAGATACTACAGAAAGAGTGTTTCAAACCTGCTCTATGAAAGGGAATGTTCAGTCCTGTGACTTGAAGGCAAACATCACAAAGAAGTTCCTGAGAATGCTTCTCTCTAGGTTTTATATGTAATCCCGTTTCCAACGAAATCCTCAAAGCTATCCAAATATCCACTTTCAGATTCCACAAAAAGAGTGTTTCAAAACTGCTCTGTAAAAAGAAAGGTTCATCTCTGTTAGTTGAATACACACATCACAAACAAGTTTCTGAGAATGCTTCTGTCTAGTTTTTATGGGAAGATATTTCGTTTTTCAACATAGGCCTCAAAGCGCTCCAAATGTCCACTTCCAGGTAGTGCAGAAAGAGTGTTTCAAACCTGCTCTATAAAAGGGAATATTCAACTCTGTGACTTGAATGCAAACATCACAAAGCACTTTCTGAGAATGCTTCCGTCTAGATTTTATATGAAGATATTCCCGTTTCCAAGGAAATCTTCCTAGCTATCTAAATATCAACTTGCAGATTCTACTAAAGGAATGTTTCCAAAATGCTGTATCCACACAAAGGTTCAACTCTGTTAATTGAGGACATACAGCACAAAGAAGTTTCTGAGAATGCTTCTGTCTAGATTTTATATGAAGATATCCCGTTTCCAAAGAAATCCTCAAAGGTATCCAAATATCTACTTCCAGATTCTACAAAAAGACTGTTTCAAAACGGCTCTGTCAAAAGTAAGGTTCAACTCTGTTTCTTGAGTACACACATCACAAGGAAGTTTCTGAGAATGCTTCTGTCTGGTTTTTAGGAGATGATATTTCCTTTTTCAACATAGGCCTCAAAGCGCTGCAAATGTCCACTTCCAAATATTAGAAAAAGAGTGTTTCAAACCTGCTGTATGAAGGGAAGTGTTCAACTCTATGAGTTGAATGCAAACATCACAGAGAAGTTTCTGAGAATGCTTCTGTCTTGATTTCATATGAAGATATTCCCGTTTCCAACGAAACCTTCAAAGCTATCCAAATATCCACTTGCAGATTCTACAAAAAGAGTGTTTCCAAAATGTTGTATCAAAAGAAAGGTTCAACTCTGTTAGTTGAGGACACACATCGCAAATAAGTTTCTGAGAATGCTTCTGTCTAGTTTTTATTTGAAGATATTTCCTTTCTCACCACAGGCCTGAAAGCGCTTAAAACGTCCGCTTGCAGATACTACAGAAAGAGTGTTTCAAACCTGCTCTATGAAAGGGAATGTTCAGTTCTGTGACTTGAATGCAAACATCACAAAGAAGTTCCTGAGAATGCTTCTCCCTAGATTTTATATGTAATCCCGTTTCCAACGAAATCCGCAAAGCTATCCAAATATCCACTTTCAGATTCCACAAAAAGAGTGTTTCAAAACTGCTCTGTAAAAAGAAAGGTTCATGCTCTGTTAGTTGAATACACACATCACAAACAAGTTTCCTGAGAATGCTTTCCTGTCTAGTTTTTATGGGAAGATATTTCCTTTTTCATCATAGGCCTCAAAGCGCTGCAAATGTCCACTTCCAAATATTACAAAAAGAGTGTTTCAAACCTGCTGTATGAAGGGAAGTGTTCAACTCTATGAGTTGAATGCAAACATCACAGAGAAGTTTCTGAGAATGCTTCTGTCTTGATTTTATATGAAGATATTCCCGTTTCCAACGAAACCTTCAAAGCTATCCAAATATCCACTTGCAGATTCCACAAAAGGAGTGTTTCCAAAATGTTGTATCAAAAGAAAGGTTCAACTCTGTTAGTTGAGGACACACATCGCAAATAAGTTTCTGAGAATGCTTCTGTCTAGTTTTTACTTGAAGATATTTCCTTTCTCACCATAGGCCTGAAAGCGTTTGAAATGTCCGTTTGCAGATACTACAGAAAGAGTGTTTCAAACATGCTCTATGAAAGGGAATGTTCAGTTCTGTGACGTGAATGCAAACATCACAAAGAAGTTCCTGAGAATGCTTCTCTCTAGATTTTATATGTAATCCCGTTTCCAACGAAATCCTCAAAGCTATCCAAATATCCACTTTCAGATTCCACAAAAAGAGTGTTTCAAAACTGCTCTGTAAACAGAAAGGTTCATCTCTGTTAGTTGAATACACACATCACAAACAAGTTTCTGAGAATGCTTCTGTCTAGTTTTTATGGGAAGATATTTCCTTTTTCAACATTGGCCTCAAAGCGCTCCAAACGTCCACTTCCGGGTAGTGCAGAAAGAGTGTCTCAAACCTGGTATATAACAGGGAACATTCAACTCTGTGACTTGAATGAAAACATCACAAAGCAGTTTCTGAGAATGCTTCCGTCTAGATTTTATATGAAGATATTCCCGTTTCCAACGAAACCTTCAAAGCTATCCGAATATCCACCTGCAGATTCTACAAAAAGAGTGTTTCCAAAATGCCGTATCAAAACAAAGGTTCAACTCTGTTAGTTGAGAACACACATGGCAAATAAGTTTCTGAGAATGCTTCTGTCTAGTTTTTACTTGAAGATATTTCCTTTCTCACCATAGGCCTGAAAGCGCTTGAAACGTCAGCTTGCAGATACTACAGAAAGAGTGTTTCAAACCTGCTCTATGAAAGGGAATGTTCAGTTCTGTGACTTGAATGCAAACATCACAAAGAAGTTCCTGAGAATGCTTCTCTCTAGGTTTTATATGTAATCCCGTTTCCAACGAAATCCTCAAAGCTATCCAAATATCCACTTTCAGATTCCACAAAAAGAGTGTTTCAAAACTGCTCTGTAAAAAGAAAGGTTCATCTCTGTTAGTTGAATACACACATCACAAACAAGTTTCTGAGAATGCTTCTGTCTAGTTTTTATGGGAAGATATTTCCTTTTTCAACATAGGCCTCAAAGTGCTCCAAATGTCCACTTCCAGGTAGTGCAGAAAGAGTGTTTCAAACCTGCTCTATAAAAGGGAATATTCAACTCTGTGAATTGAATGCAAACATCACAAAGCACTTTCTGAGAATGCTTCCGTCTAGATTTTATATGAAGATATTCCCGTTTCCAAGGAAATCTTCCTAGCTATCTAAATATCAACTTGCAGATTCTACTAAAGGAATGTTTCCAAAATGCTGTATCCACACAAAGGTTCAACTCTGTTAATTGAGGACATACAGCACAAAGAAGTTTCTGAGAATGCTTCTGTCTAGATTTTATATGAAGATATCCCGTGTCCAACGAAATCCTCAAAGGTATCAAAATATCCACTTGCAGATTCTACAAAAAGAGTGCTTCAAAACTGCTCTGTCAAAAGGAAGGTTCAACTCTGTTACTTGAGTACACACATCACAAGGAAGTTTCTGAGAATGCTTCTGTCTGGTTTTTAGGAGAAGATATTTCCTTTTTCAACATAGGCCTCAAAGCGCTGCAAATGTCCACTTCCAAATATTAGAAAAAGAGTGTTTCAAACCTGCTGTATGAAGGGAAGTGTTCAACTCTATGAGTTGAATGCAAACATCACAGAGAAGTTTCTGAGAATGCTTCTGTCTTGATTTCATATGAAGATATTCCCGTTTCCAACGAAACCTTCAAAGCTATCCAAATATCCACTTGCAGATTCTACAAAAAGAGTGTTTCCAAAATGTTGTATCAAAAGAAAGGTTCAACTCTGTTAGTTGAGGACACACATCGCAAATACGTTTCTGAGAATGCTTCTGTCTAGTTTTTATTTGAAGATATTTCCTTTCTCACCACAGGCCTGAAAGCGCTTAAAACGTCGCCTTGCAGATACTACAGAAAGAGTGTTTCAAACCTGCTCTATGAAAGGGAATGTTCAGTTCTGTGACTTGAATGCAAACATCACAAAGAAGTTCCTGAGAATGCTTCTCCCTAGATTTTATATGTAATCCCGTTTCCAACGAAATCCGCAAAGCTATCCAAATATCCACTTTCAGATTCCACAAAAAGAGTGTTTCAAAACTGCTCTGTAAAAAGAAAGGTTCATCTCTGTTAGTTGAATACACACATCACAAACAAGTTTCTGAGAATGCTTCTGTCTAGTTTTTATGGGAAGATATTTCCTTTTTCAACATAGGCCTCAAAGCGCTCCAAACGTCCACTTCCAGGTAGTGCAGAAAGAGTGTCTTAAACCTGGTATATAACAGGGAACATTCTACTCTGTGACTTGAATGAAAACATCACAAAGCAGTTTCTGAGAATGCTTCCGTCTAGATTTTATATGAAGATATTCCCGTTTCCAACGAAACCTTCAAAGCTATCCGAATATCCACCTGCAGATTCTACAAAAAGAGTGTTTCCAAAATGCCGTATCAAAACAAAGGTTCAACTCTGTTAGTTGAGAACACACATGGCAAATAAGTTTCTGAGAATGCTTCTGTCTAGTTTTTACTTGAAGATATTTCCTTTCTCACCATAGGCCTGAAAGCGCTTGAAACGTCAGCTTGCAGATACTACAGAAAGAGTGTTTCAAACCTGCTCTATGAAAGGGAATGTTCAGTCCTGTGACTTGAAGGCAAACATCACAAAGAAGTTCCTGAGAATGCTTCTCTCTAGGTTTTATATGTAATCCCGTTTCCAACGAAATCCTCAAAGCTATCCAAATATCCACTTTCAGATTCCACAAAAAGAGTGTTTCAAAACTGCTCTGTAAAAAGAAAGGTTCATCTCTGTTAGTTGAATACACACATCACAAACAAGTTTCTGAGAATGCTTCTGTCTAGTTTTTATGGGAAGATATTTCCTTTTTCAACATAGGCCTCAAAGCGCTGCAAATGTCCACTTCCAAATATTACAAAAAGAGTGTTTCAAACCTGCAGTATGAAGGGAAGTGTTCAACTCTATGAGTTGAATGCAAACATCACAGAGAAGTTTCTGAGAATGCTTCTGTCTTGATTTTATATGAGGATATTCCCGTTTCCAACGAAACCATCAAAGCTATCCAAATATCCACCTGCAGATACTACAAAAAGAGTGTTTCCAAAATGCTGTATCAAAACAAAGGTTCAACTCTGTTAGTTGAGAACACACATCGCAAATAAGTTTCTGAGAATGATTCTGTCTGGTTTTTAGGAGAAGATATTTCCTTTCTCAACATAGGCCTCAAAGCGCTGCAAATGTCCACTTCCAAATATTAGAAAAAGAGTGTTTCAAACCTGCTGTATGAAGGGAAGTGTTCAACTCTATGAGTTGAATGCAAACATCACAGAGAAGTTTCTGAGAATGCTTCTGTCTTGATTTCATATGAAGATATTCCCGTTTCCAACGAAACCTTCAAAGCTATCCAAATATCCACTTGCAGATTCTACAAAAAGAGTGTTTCCAAAATGTTGTATCAAAAGAAAGGTTCAACTCTGTTAGTTGAGGACACACATCGCAAATAAGTTTCTGAGAATGCTTCTGTCTAGTTTTTATTTGAAGATATTTCCTTTCTCACCACAGGCCTGAAAGCGCTTAAAACGTCCGCTTGCAGATACTACAGAAAGAGTGTTTCAAACATGCTCTATGAAAGGGAATGTTCAGTTCTGTGACTTGAATGCAAACATCACAAAGAAGTTCCTGAGAATGCTTCTCTCTAGGTTTTATATGTAATCCCGTTTCCAACGAAATCCTCAAAGCTATCCAAATATCCACTTTCAGATTCCACAAAAAGAGTGTTTCAAAACTGCTCTGTAAAAAGAAAGGTTCATCTCTGTTAGTTGAATACACACATCACAAACAAGTTTCTGAGAATGCTTCTGTCTAGTTTTTATGGGAAGATATTTCCTTTTTCAACATAGGCCTCAAAGCGCTCCAAATGTCCACTTCCAGGTAGTGCAGAAAGAGTGTTTCAAACCTGCTCTATAAAAGGGAATATTCAACTCTGTGACTTGAATGCAAACATCACAAAGCACTTTCTGAGAATGCTTCCGTCTAGAATTTATATGAAGATATTCCCGTTTCCAAGGAAATCTTCCTAGCTATCTAAATATCAACTTGCATATCCTACTAAAGGAGTGTTTCCAAAATGCTGTATCCACACAAAGGTTCAACTCTGTTAATTGAGGACATACAGCACAAAGAAGTTTCTGAGAATGCTTCTGTCTAGATTTTATATGAAGATATCCCGTGTCCAACGAAATCCTCAAAGGTATCAAAATATCCACTTGCAGATTCTACAAAAAGAGTGCTTGAAAACTGCTCTGTCAAAAGGAAGGTTCAACTCTGTTACTTGAGTACACACATCACAAGGAAGTTTCTGAGAATGCTTCTGTCTGGTTTTTAGGAGAAGATATTTCCTTTTTCAACATAGGCCTCAAAGCGCTGCAAATGTCCACTTCCAAATATTAGAAAAAGAGTGTTTCAAACCTGCTGTATGAAGGGAAGTGTTCAACTCTATGAGTTGAATGCAAACATCACAGAGAAGTTTCTGAGAATGCTTCTGTCTTGATTTCATATGAAGATATTCCCGTTTCCAACGAAACCTTCAAAGCTATCCAAATATCCACTTGCAGATTCTACAAAAAGAGTGTTTCCAAAATGTTGTATCAAAAGAAAGGTTCAACTCTGTTAGTTGAGGACACACATCGCAAATAAGTTTCTGAGAATGCTTCTGTCTAGTTTTTATTTGAAGATATTTCCTTTCTCACCACAGGCCTGAAAGCGCTTAAAACGTCCGCTTGCAGATACTACAGAAAGAGTGTTTCAAACCTGCTCTATGAAAGGGAATGTTCAGTTCTGTGACTTGAATGCAAACATCACAAAGAAGTTCCTGAGAATGCTTCTCCCTAGATTTTATATGTAATCCCGTTTCCAACGAAATCCGCAAAGCTATCCAAATATCCACTTTCAGATTCCACAAAAAGAGTGTTTCAAAACTGCTCTGTAAAAAGAAAGGTTCATCTCTGTTAGTTGAATACACACATCACAAACAAGTTTCTGAGAATGCTTCTGTCTAGTTTTTATGGGAAGATATTACCTTTTTCATCATAGGCCTCAAAGCGCTGCAAATGTCCACTTCCAAATATTACAAAAAGAGTGTTTCAAACCTGCTGTATGAAGGGAAGTGTTCAACTCTATGAGTTGAATGCAAACATCACAGAGAAGTTTCTGAGAATGCTTCTGTCTTGATTTTATATGAAGATATTCCCGTTTCCAACGAAACCTTCAAAGCTATCCAAATATCCACTTGCAGATTCCACAAAAAGAGTGTTTCCAAAATGTTGTATCAAAAGAAAGGTTCAACTCTGTTAGTTGAGGACACACATCGCAAATAAGTTTCTGAGAATGCTTCTGTCTAGTTTTTATTTGAAGATATTTCCTTTCTCACCATAGGCCTGAAAGCGTTTGAAATGTCCGTTTGCAGATACTACAGAAAGAGTGTTTCAAACATGCTCTATGAAAGGGAATGTTCAGTTCTGTGACGTGAATGCAAACATCACAAAGAAGTTCCTGAGAATGCTTCTCTCTAGATTTTATATGTAATCCCGTTTCCAACGAAATCCTCAAAGCTATCCAAATATCCACTTTCAGATTCCACAAAAAGAGTGTTTCAAAACTGCTCTGTAAAAAGAAAGGTTCATCTCTGTTAGTTGAATACACACATCACAAACAAGTTTCTGAGAATGCTTCTGTCTAGTTTTTATGGGAAGATATTTCCTTTTTCATCATAGGCCTCAAAGCGCTGCAAATGTCCACTTCCAGGTAGTGCAGAAAGAGTGTCTGAAACCTGGTATATAACAGGGAAGATTCTACTGTGTGACTTGAATGAAAACATCACAAAGCAGTTTCTGAGAATGCTTCCGTCTAGATTTTATATGAAGATATTCCCGTTTCCAACGAAACCTTCAAAGCTATCCGAATATCCACCTGCAGATTCTACAAAAAGAGTGTTTCCAAAATGCCGTATCAAAACAAAGGTTCAACTCTGTTAGTTGAGAACACACATGGCAAATAAGTTTCTGAGAATGCTTCTGTCTAGTTTTTACTTGAAGATATTTCCTTTCTCACCATAGGCCTGAAAGCGCTTGAAACGTCAGCTTGCAGATACTACAGAAAGAGTGTTTCAAACCTGCTCTATGAAAGGGAATGTTCAGTCCTGTGACTTGAAGGCAAACATCACAAAGAAGTTCCTGAGAATGCTTCTCTCTAGGTTTTATATGTAATCCCGTTTCCAACGAAATCCTCAAAGCTATCCAAATATCCACTTTCAGATTCCACAAAAAGAGTGTTTCAAAACTGCTCTGTAAAAAGAAAGGTTCATCTCTGTTAGTTGAATACACACATCACAAACAAGTTTCTGAGAATGCTTCTGTCTAGTTTTTATGGGAAGATATTTCCTTTTTCAACATAGGCCTCAAAGTGCTCCAAATGTCCACTTCCAGGTAGTGCAGAAAGAGTGTTTCAAACCTGCTCTATAAAAGGGAATATTCAACTCTGTGACTTGAATGCAAACATCACAAAGCACTTTCTGAGAATGCTTCCGTCTAGATTTTATATGAAGATATTCCCGTTTCCAAGGAAATCTTCCTAGCTATCTAAATATCAACTTGCAGATTCTACTAAAGGAATGTTTCCAAAATGCTGTATCCACACAAAGGTTCAACTCTGTTAATTGAGGACATACAGCACAAAGAAGTTTCTGAGAATGCTTCTGTCTAGATTTTATATGAAGATATCCCGTGTCCAACGAAATCCTCAAAGGTATCAAAATATCCACTTGCAGATTCTACAAAAAGAGTGCTTCAAAACTGCTCTGTCAAAAGGAAGGTTCAACTCTGTTACTTGAGTACACACATCACAAGGAAGTTTCTGAGAATGCTTCTGTCTGGTTTTTAGGAGAAGATATTTCCTTTTTCAACATAGGCCTCAAAGCGCTGCAAATGTCCACTTCCAAATATTAGAAAAAGAGTGTTTCAAACCTGCTGTATGAAGGGAAGTGTTCAACTCTATGAGTTGAATGCAAACATCACAGAGAAGTTTCTGAGAATGCTGCTGTCTTGATTTTATATGAAGATATTCCCGTTTCCAACGAAACCTTCAAAGCTATCCAAATATCCACTTGCAGATTCTACAAAAAGAGTGTTTCCAAAATGTTGTATCAAAAGAAAGGTTCAACTCTGTTAGTTGAGGACACACATCGCAAATAAGTTTCTGAGAATGCTTTTGTCTAGTTTTTACTTGAAGATATTTCCTTTCTCACCATAGGCCTGAAAGCGCTTGAAACGTCAGCTTGCAGATACTACAGAAAGAGTGTTTCAAACCTGCTCTATGAAAGGGAATGTTCAGTTCTGTGACTTGAATGCAAACATCACAAAGCAGTTCCTGAGAATGCTTCTCCCTAGTTTTTATATGTAATCCCGTTTCCAACGAAATCCGCAAAGCTATCCAAATATCCACTTTCAGATTCCACAAAAAGAGTGTTTCAAAACTGCTCTGTAAAAAGAAAGGTTCATCTCTGTTAGTTGAATACACACATCTTAAACAAGTTTCTGAGAATGCTTCTGTCTAGTTTTTATGGGAAGATATTACCTTTTTCATCATAGGCCTCAAAGCGCTGCAAATGTCCACTTCCAAATATTACAAAAAGAGTGTTTCAAACCTGCTGTATGAAGGGAAGTGTTCAACTCTATGAGTTGAATGCAAACATCACAGAGAAGTTTCTGAGAATGCTTCTGTCTTGATTTTATATGAAGATATTCCCGTTTCCAACGAAACCTTCAAAGCTACTCAAATATCCACTTGCAGATTCTACAAAAAGAGTGTTTCCAAAATGTTGTATCAAAAGAAAGGTTCAACTCTGTTAGTTGAGGACACACATCGCAAATAAGTTTCTGAGAATGCTTCTGTCTAGTTTTTACTTGAAGATATTTCCTTTCTCACCATAGGCCTGAAAGCGTTTGAAATGTCCGTTTGCAGATACTACAGAAAGAGTGTTTCAAACATGCTCTATGAAAGGGAATGTTCAGTTCTGTGACGTGAATGCAAACATCACAAAGAAGTTCCTGAGAATGCTTCTCTCTAGATTTTATATGTAATCCCGTTTCCAACGAAATCCTCAAAGCTATCCAAATATCCACTTTCAGATTCCACAAAAAGAGTGTTTCAAAACTGCTCTGTAAAAAGAAAGGTTCATCTCTGTTAGTTGAATACACACATCACAAACAAGTTTCTGAGAATGCTTCTGTCTAGTTTTTATGGGAAGATATTTCGTTTTTCAACATACGCCTCAAAGCGCTCCAAACGTCCACTTCCGGGTAGTGCAGAAAGAGTGTCTCAAACCTGGTATATAACAGGGAACATTCTACTCTGTGACTTGAATGAAAACATCACAAAGCAGTTTCTGAGAATGCTTCTGTCTTGATTTTATATAAAGATATTCCCGTTTCCAAAGAAACCTTCAAAGCTATCCAAATATCCACCTGCAGATCCTACAAAAAGAGTGTTTCCAAAATGCTGTATCAAAACAAAGGTTCAACTCTGTTAGCTGAGAACACACATCGCAAATAAGTTTCTGAGAATGCTTCTGTCTAGTTTTTATTTGAAGATATTTCCTTTTTCACCACAGGCCTGAAAGCGCTTGAAACGTCCACTTGCAGATACTACAGAAAGAGTGTTTCAAACCTGCTCTATGAAAGGGAATGTTCAGTTCTGTGACTTGAATGCAAACATCACAAAGAAGTTCCTGAGAATGCTTCTCCCTAGATTTTATATGTAATCCCGTTTCCAACGAAATCCGCAAAGCTATCCAAATATCCACTTTCAGATTCCACAAAAAGAGTGTTTCAAAACTACTCTGTAAAAAGAAAGGTTCATCTCTGTTAGTTGAATACACACATCAGAAACAAGTTTCTGAGAATGCTTCTGTCTAGTTTTTATGGGAAGATATTTCCTTTTTCAACATAGGCCTCAAAGCGCTCCAAACGTCCACTTCCAGGTAGTGCAGAAAGAGTGTCTCAAACCTGGTATATAACAGGGAACATTCTACACTGTGACTTGAATGAAAACATCACAAAGCAGTTTCTGAGAATGCTTCCGTCTAGATTTTATATGAAGATATTCCCGTTTCCAACGAAACCTTCAAAGCTATCCGAATATCCACCTGCAGATCCTACAAAAAGAGTGTTTCCAAAATGCCGTATCAAAACAAATGTTCAACTCTGTTAGTTGAGAACACACATGGCAAATAAGTTTCTGACAATGCTTCTGTCTAGTTTTTACTTGAAGATATTTCCTTTCTCACCATAGGCCTGAAAGCGCATGAAACGTCAGCTTGCAGATACTACAGAAAGAGTGTTTCAAACCTGCTCTATGAAAGGGAATGTTCAGTCCTGTGACTTGAAGGCAAACATCACAAAGAAGTTCCTGAGAATGCTTCTCTCTAGGTTTTATATGTAATCCCGTTTCCAACGAAATCCTCAAAGCTATCCAAATATCCACTTTCAGATTCCACAAAAAGAGTGTTTCAAAACTGCTCTGTAAAAAGAAAGGTTCATCTCTGTTAGTTGAATACACACATCACAAACAAGTTTCTGAGAATGCTTCTGTCTAGTTTTTATGGGAAGATATTTCCTTTTTCAACATAGGCCTCAAAGCGCTCCAAATGTCCACTTCCAGGTAGTGCAGAAAGAGTGTTTCAAACCTGCTCTATTAAAGGGAATATTCAACTCTGTGACTTGAATGCAAACATCACAAAGCACTTTCTGAGAATGCTTCCGTCTAGATTTTATATGAAGATATTCCCGTTTCCAAGGAAATCTTCCTAGCTATCTAAATATCAACTTGCAGATTCTACTAAAGGAATGTTTCCAAAATGCTGTATCCACACAAAGGTTCAACTCTGTTAATTGAGGACATACAGCACAAAGAAGTTTCTGAGAATGCTTCTGTCTAGATTTTATATGAAGATATACCGTTTCCAAAGAAATCCTCAAAGGTATCCAAATATCTACTTCCAGATTCTACAAAAAGACTGTTTCAAAACGGCTCTGTCCAAAGTAAGGTTCAACTCTGTTACTTGAGTACACACATCACAAGGAAGTTTCTGAGAATGCTTCTGTCTGGTTTTTAGGAGAAGATATTTCCTTTTTCAACATAGGCCTCAAAGCGCTGCAAATGTCCACTTCCAAATATTACAAAAAGAGTGTTTCAAACCTGCTCTATGAAGGGAAGTGTTCAACTCTATGAGTTGAATGCAAACATCACAGAGAAGTTTCTGAGAATGCTTCTGTCTTGATTTTATATGAAGATATTCCCGTTTCCAACGAAACCTTCAAAGCTATCCAAATATCCACTTGCAGATTCTACAAAAAGAGTGTTTCCAAAATGTTGTATCAAAACAAAGGTTCAACGCTGTTAGTTGAGAACACACATCGCAAATAAGTTTCTGAGAATGCTTCTGTCTAGTTTTTATTTGAAGATATTTCCTTTCTTACCATAGGCCTGAAAGTGCTTGAAATGTCCGTTTGCAGATACTACAGAAAGAGTGTTTCAAACATGCTCTATGAAAGGGAATGTTCAGTTCTGTGACGTGAATGCAAACATCACAAAGAAGTTCCTGAGAATGCTTCTCTCTAGGTTTTATATGTAATCCCGTTTCCAACGAAATCCTCAAAGCTATCCAAATATCCACTTTCAGATTCCACAAAAAGAGTGTTTCAAAACTGCTCTGTCAAAAGAAAGGTTCATCCCTGTTAGTTGAATACACACATCACAAACAAGTTTCTGAGAATGCTTCTGTCTAGTTTTTATGGGAAGATATTTCCTTTTTCAACATAGGCCTCAAAGCGCTCCAAACGTCCATTTCCAGGTAGTGCAGAAAGAGTGTCTCAAACCTGGTATATAACAGGGAACATTCTACTCTGTGACTTGAATGAAAACATCACAAAGCAGTTTCTGAGAATGCTTCCGTCTAGATTTTATATGAAGATATTCCCGTTTCCAACGAAACCTTCAAAGCTATCCGAATATCCACCTGCAGATTCTACAAAAAGAGTGTTTCCAAAATGCCGTATCAAAACAAAGGTTCAACTCTGTTAGTTGAGAACACACATGGCAAATAAGTTTCTGAGAATGCTTCTGTCTAGTTTTTACTTGAAGATATTTCCTTTCTCACCATAGGCCTGAAAGCGCTTGAAACGTCCGTTTGCAGATACTACAGAAAGAGTGTTTCAAACCTGCTCTATGAAAGGGAATGTTCAGTCCTGTGACTTGAAGGCAAACATCACAAAGAAGTTCCTGAGAATGCTTCTCTCTAGGTTTTATATGTAATCCCGTTTCCAACGAAATCCTCAAAGCTATCCAAATATCCACTTTCAGATTCCACAAAAAGAGTGTTTCAAAACTGCTCTGTAAAAAGAAAGGTTCATCTCTGTTAGTTGAATACACACATCACAAACAAGTTTCTGAGAATGCTTCTGTCTAGTTTTTATGGGAAGATATTTCCTTTTTCAACATAGGCCTCAAAGCGCTCCAAATGTCCACTTCCAGGTAGTGCAGAAAGAGTGTTTCAAACCTGCTCTATAAAAGGGAATAGTCAACTCTGTGACTTGAATGCAAACATCACAAAGCACTTTCTGAGAATGCTTCCGTCTAGATTTTATATGAAGATATTCCCGTTTCCAAGGAAACTCTTCCTAGCTATCTAAATATCAACTTGCAGATTCTACTAAAGGAATGTTTCCAAAATGCTGTATCCACACAAAGGTTCAACTCTGTTAATTGAGGACATACAGCACAAAGAAGTTTCTGAGAATGCTTCTGTCTAGATTTTATATGAAGATATCCCGTTTCCAAAGAAATCCTCAAATGTATCCAAATATCTACTTCCAGATTCTACAAAAAGACTGTTTCAAAACGGCTCTGTCAAAATTAAGGTTCAACTGTGTTACTTGAGTACACACATCACAAGGAAGTTTCTGAGAATGCTTCCTGTCTGGTTTTTAGGAGAAGATATTTCCTTTTTCAACATAGGCCTCAAAGCGCTGCAAATGTCCACTTCCAAATATTAGAAAAAGAGTGTTTCAAACCTGCTGTATGAAGGGAAGTGTTCAACTCTATGAGTTGAATGCAAACATCACAGAGAAGTTTCTGAGAATGCTTCTGTCTTGATTTCATATGAAGATATTCCCGTTTCCAACGAAACCTTCAAAGCTATCCAAATATCCACTTGCAGATTCTACAAAAAGAGTGTTTCCAAAATGTTGTATCAAAAGAAAGGTTCAACTCTGTTAGTTGAGGACACACATCGCAAATAAGTCTCTGAGAATGCTTCTGTCTAGTTTTTATTTGAAGATATTTCCTTTCTCACCACAGGCCTGAAAGCGCTTAAAACGTCCGCTTGCAGATACTACAGAAAGAGTGTTTCAAACCTGCTCTATGAAAGGGAATGTTCAGTTCTGTGACTTGAATGCAAACATCACAAAGAAGTTCCTGAGAATGCTTCTCCCTAGATTTTATATGTAATCCCGTTTCCAACGAAATCCGCAAAGCTATCCAAATATCCACTTTCAGATTCCACAAAAAGAGTGTTTCAAAACTGCTCTGTAAAAAGAAAGGTTCATCTCTGTTAGTTGAATACACACATCACAAACAAGTTTCTGAGAATGCTTCTGTCTAGTTTTTATGGGAAGATATTACCTTTTTCATCATAGGCTTCAAAGCGCTGCAAAAGTCCACTTCCAAATATTAGAAAAAGAGTGTTTCAAACCTGCTGTATGAAGGGAAGTGTTCAACTCTATGAGTTGAATGCAAACATCACAGAGAAGTTTCTGAGAATGCTTCTGTCTTGATTTTATATGAAGATATTCCCGTTTCCAACGAAACCTTCAAAGCTATCCAAATATCCACTTGCAGATTCCACAAAAAGAGTGTTTCCAAAATGTTGTATCAAAAGAAAGGTTCAACTCTGTTAGTTGAGGACACACATCGCAAATAAGTTTCTGAGAATGCTTCTGTCTAGTTTTTATTTGAAGATATTTCCTTTCTCACCGTAGGCCTGAAAGCGTTTGAAATGTCCGTTTGCAGATACTACAGAAAGAGTGTTTCAAACATGCTCTATGAAAGGGAATGTTCAGTTCTGTGACGTGAATGCAAACATCACAAAGAAGTTCCTGAGAATGCTTCTCTCTAGATTTTATATGTAATCCCGTTTCCAACGAAATCCTCAAAGCTATCCAAATATCCACTTTCAGATTCCACAAAAAGAGTGTTTCAAAACTGCTCTGTAAAAAGAAAGGTTCATCTCTGTTAGTTGAATACACACATCACAAACAAGTTTCTGAGAATGCTTCTGTCTAGTTTTTATGGGAAGATATTTCCTTTTTCATCATAGGCCTCAAAGCGCTGCAAATGTCCACTTCCAGGTAGTGCAGAAAGAGTGTCTGAAACCTGGTATATAACAGGGAAGATTCTACTCTGTGACTTGAATGAAAACATCACAAAGCAGTTTCTGAGAATGCTTCCGTCAAGATTTTATATGAAGATATTCCCGTTTCCAACGAAACCTTCAAAGCTATCCGAATATTCACCTGCAGATTCTACAAAAAGAGTGTTTCCAAAATGCCGTATCAAAACAAAGGTTCAACTCTGTTAGTTGAGAACACACATGGCAAATAAGTTTCTGAGAATGCTTCTGTCTAGTTTTTACTTGAAGATATTTCCTTTCTCACCATAGGCCTGAAAGCGCTTGAAACGTCAGCTTGCAGATACTACAGAAAGAGTGTTTCAAACCTGCTCTATGAAAGGGAATGTTCAGTTCTGTGACTTGAATGCAAACATCACAAAGAAGTTCCTGAGAATGCTTCTCTCTAGGTTTTATATGTAATCCCGTTTCCAACGAAATCCTCAAAGCTATCCAAATATCCACTTTCAGATTCCACAAAAAGAGTGTTTCAAAACTGCTCTGTAAAAAGAAAGGTTCATCTCTGTTAGTTGAATACACACATCACAAACAAGTTTCTGAGAATGCTTCTGTCTAGTTTTTATGGGAAGATATTTCCTTTTTCAACATAGGCCTCAAAGCACTCCAAACGTCCACTTCCAGGTAGTGCAGAAAGAGTGTCTCAAACCTGGTATATAACAGGGAACATTCTACTCTGTGACTTGAATGAAAACATCACAAAGCAGTTTCTGAGAATGCTTCCGTCTAGATTTTATATGAAGATATTCCCGTTTCCAACGAAACCTTCAAAGCTATCCGAATATCCACCTGCAGATTCTACAAAAAGAGTGTTTCCAAAATGCCGTATCAAAACAAAGGTTCAACTCTGTTAGTTGAGAACACACATGGCAAATAAGTTTCTGAGAATGCTTCTGTCTAGTTTTTACTTGAAGATATTTCCTTTCTCACCATAGGCCTGAAAGCGCTTGAAACGTCAGCTTGCAGATACTACAGAAAGAGTGTTTCAAACCTGCTCTATGAAAGGGAATGTTCAGTTCTGTGACTTGAATGCAAACATCACAAAGAAGTTCCTGAGAATGCTTCTCTCTAGGTTTTATATGTAATCCCGTTTCCAACGAAATCCTCAAAGCTATCCAAATATCCACTTTCAGATTCCACAAAAAGAGTGTTTCAAAACTGCTCTGTAAAAAGAAAGGTTCATCTCTGTTAGTTGAATACACACATCAAAAACAAGTTTCTGAGAATGCTTCTGTCTAGTTTTTATGGGAAGATATTTCCTTTTTCAACTTAGGCCTCAAAGCGCTCCAAATGTCCACTTCCAGGTAGTGCAGAAAGAGTGTTTCAAACCTGCTCTATAAAAGGGAATATTCAACTCTGTGACTTGAATGCAAACATCACAAAGCACTTTCTGAGAATGCTTCCGTCTAGATTTTATATGAAGATATTCCCGTTTCCAACGAAACCTTCAAAGCTATCCGAATATCCACCTGCAGATTCTACAAAAAGAGTGTTTCCAAAATGCCATATCAAAACAAAGGTTCAACTCTGTTAGTTGAGAACACACATGGCAAATATGTTTCTGAGAATGCTTCTGTCTAGTTTTTACTTGAAGATATTTCCTTTCTCACCATAGGCCTGAAAGCGCTTGAAACGTCAGCTTGCAGATACTACAGAAAGAGTGTTTCAAACCTGCTCTATGAAAGGGAATGTTCAGTCCTGTGACTTGAAGGCAAACATCAAAAAGAAGTTCCTGAGAATGCTTCTCTCTAGGTTTTATATGTAATCCCGTTTCCAACGAAATCCTCAAAGCTATCCAAATATCCACTTTCAGATTCCACAAAAAGAGTGTTTCAAAACTGCTCTGTAAAAAGAAAGGTTCATCTCTGTTAGTTGAATACACACATCACAAACAAGTTTCTGAGAATGCTTCTGTCTAGTTTTTATGGGAAGATATTTCCTTTTTCAACATAGGCCTAAAAGCGCTCCAAATGTCCACTTCCAGGTAGTGCAGAAAGAGTGTTTCAAACCGGCTCCATAAAAGCGAATATTGTACTCTGTGACTTGAATGCAAACGTCACAAAGCACTTTCTTAGAATGCTTCTGTCTTGATTTCATATGAAGATATTCCCGTTTCCAACGAAACCTTTCAAAGCTATCCAAATATCCACTTGCAGATTCTACAAAAAGAGTGTTTCCAAAATGTTGTATCAAAAGAAAGGTTCAACTCTGTTAGTTGAGGACACACATCGCAAATAAGTTTCTGAGAATGCTTCTGTCTAGTTTTTATTTGAAGATATTTCCTTTCTCACCACAGGCCTGAAAGCGCTTAAAACGTCCGCTTGCAGATACTACAGAAAGAGTGTTTCAAACCTGCTCTATGAAAGGGAATGTTCAGTTCTGTGACTTGAATGCAAACATCACAAAGAAGTTCCTGAGAATGCTTCTCCCTAGATTTTATATGTAATCCCGTTTCCAACGAAATCCGCAAAGCTATCCAAATATCCACTTTCAGATTCCACAAAAAGAGTGTTTCAAAACTGCTCTGTAAAAAGAAAGGTTCATCTCTGTTAGTTGAATACACACATCACAAACAAGTTTCTGAGAATGCTTCTGTCTAGTTTTTATGGGAAGATATTTCCTTTTTCATCATAGGCCTCAAAGCGCTGCAAATGTCCACTTCCAAATATTACAAAAAGAGTGTTTCAAACCTGCTGTATGAAGGGAAGTGATCAACTCTATGAGTTGAATGCAAACATCACAGAGAAGTTTCTGAGAATGCTTCTGTCTTGATTTTATATGAAGATATTCCCGTTTCCAACGAAACCTTCAAAGCTATCCAAATATCCACTTGCAGATTCTACAAAAAGAGTGGTTCCAAAATGTTGTATCAAAAGAAAGGTTCAACTCTGTTAGCTGAGGACACACATCGCAAATAAGTTTCTGAGAATGCTTCTGTCTAGTTTTTATTTGAAGATATTTCCTTTCTCACCATAGGCCTGAAAGCGTTTGAAATGTCCGTTTGCAGATAGTACAGAAAGAGTGTTTCAAACATGCTCTATGAAAGGGAATGTTCAGTTCTGTGACGTGAATGCAAACATAACAAAGAAGTTCCTGAGAATGCTTCTCTCTAGATTTTATATGTAATCCCGTTTCCAACGAAATCCTCAATGCTATCCAAATATCCACTTTCAGATTCCACAAAAAGAGTGTTTCAAAACTGCTCTGTAAAAAGAAAGGTTCATCTCTGTTAGTTGAATACACACATCACAAACAAGTTTCTGAGAATGCTTCTGTCTAGTTTTTATGGGAAGATATTTCGTTTTTCAACATAGGCCTCAAAGCCCTCCAAATGTCCACTTCCAGGTAGTGCAGAAAGAGTGTTTCAAACCTGCTCTATAAAAGGGAATATTCAACTCTGTGACTTGAATGCAAACATCACAAAGCACTTTCTGAGAATGCTTCCGTCTAGATTTTATATGAAGATATTCCCGTTTCCAAGGAAATCTTCCTAGCTATCTAAATATCAACTTGCAGATTCTACTAAAGGAATGTTTCCAAAATGCTGTATCCACACAAAGGTTCAACTCTGTTAATTGAGGACATACAGCACAAAGAAGTTTCTGAGAATGCTTCTGTCTAGATTTTATATGAAGATATCCCGTGTCCAACGAAATCCTCAAAGGTATCAAAATATCCACTTGCAGATTCTACAAAAAGAGTGCTTCAAAACTGCTCTGTCAAAAGGAAGGTTCAACTCTGTTACTTGAGTACACACATCACAAGGAAGTTTCTGAGAATGCTTCTGTCTGGTTTTTAGGAGAAGATATTTCCGTTTTCAACATAGGCCTCAAAGCGCTGCAAATGTCCACTTCCAAATATTAGAAAAAGAGTGTTTCAAACCTGCTGTATGAAGGGAAGTGTTCAACTCTATGAGTTGAATGCAAACATCACAGAGAAGTTTCTGAGAATGCTTCTGTCTTGATTTCATATGAAGATATTCCCGTTTCCAACGAAACCTTCAAAGCTATCCAAATATCCACTTGCAGATTCTACAAAAAGAGTGTTTCCAAAATGTTGTATCAAAAGAAAGGTTCAACTCTGTTAGTTGAGGACACACATCGCAAATAAGTTTCTGAGAATGCTTCTGTCTAGTTTTTATTTGAAGATATTTCCTTTCTCACCACAGGCCTGAAAGCGCTTAAAACGTCCGCTTGCTGATACTACAGAAAGAGTGTTTCAAACCTGCTCTATGAAAGGGAATGTTCAGTTCTGTGACTTGAATGCAAACATCACAAAGAAGTTCCTGAGAATGCTTCTCCCTAGATTTTATATGTAATCCCGTTTCCAACGAAATCCGCAAAGCTATCCAAATATCCACTTTCAGATTCCACAAAAAGAGTGTTTCAAAACTGCTCTGTAAAAAGAAAGGTTCATCTCTGTTAGTTGAATACACACATCACAAACAAGTTTCTGAGAATGCTTCTGTCTAGTTTTTATGGGAAGATATTTCCTTTTTCATGATAGGCCTCAAAGCGCTGCAAATGTCCACTTCCAAATATTACAAAAAGAGTGTTTCAAACCTGCTGTATGAAGGGAAGTGTTCAACTCTATGAGTTGAATGCAAACATCACAGAGAAGTTTCTGAGAATGCTTCTGTCTTGATTTTATATGAAGATATTCCCGTTTCCAACGAAACCTTCAAAGCTATCCGAATATCCACCTGCAGATTCTACAAAAAGAGTGTTTCCAAAATGCCATATCAAAACAAAGGTTCAACTCTGTTAGTTGAGAACACACATCTCAAATAAGTTTCTGAGAATGCTTCTGTCTAGTTTTTACTTGAAGATATTTCCTTTCTCACCATAGGCCTGAAAGCGCTTGAAACGTCAGCTTGCAGATACTACAGAAAGAGTGTTTCAAACCTGCTCTATGAAAGGGAATGTTCAGTCCTGTGACTTGAAGGCAAACATCACAAAGAAGTTCCTGAGAATGCTTCTCTCTAGGTTTTATATGTAATCCCGTTTCCAACGAAATCCTCAAAGCTATCCAAATATCCACTTTCAGATTCCACAAAAAGAGTGTTTCAAAACTGCTCTGTAAAAAGAAAGGTTCATCTCTGTTAGTTGAATACACACATCACAAACAAGTTTCTGAGAATGCTTCTGTCTAGTTTTTATGGGAAGATATTTCGTTTTTCAACATAGGCCTCAAAGCGCTCCAAATGTCCACTTCCAGGTAGTGCAGAAAGAGTGTTTCAAACCTGCTCTATAAAAGGGAATATTCAACTCTGTGACTTGAATGCAAACATCACAAAGCACTTTCTGAGAATGCTTCCGTCTAGATTTTATATGAAGATATTCCCGTTTCCAAGGAAATCTTCCTAGCTATCTAAATATCAACTTGCAGATTCTACTAAAGGAATGTTTCCAAAATGCTGTATCCACACAAAGGTTCAACTCTGTTAATTGAGGACATACAGCACAAAGAAGTTTCTGAGAATGCTTCTGTCTAGATTTTATATGAAGATATCCCGTGTCTAACGAAATCCTCAAATGTATCAAAATATCCACTTGCAGATTCTACAAAAAGAGTGCTTCAAAACTGCTCTGTCAAAATGAAGGTTCAACTCTGTTACTTGAGTACACACATCACAAGAAAGATTCTGAGAATGCCTCTGTCTGGTTTTTAGGAGAAGATATTTCCTTTTTCAACATAGGCCTCAAAGCGCTGCAAATGTCCACTTCCAAATATTACAAAAAGAGTGTTTCAAACCTGCTGTATGAAGGGAAGTGTTCAACTCTATGAGTTGAATGCAAACATCACAGAGAAGTTTCTGAGAATGCTTCTGTCTTGATTTCATATGAAGATATTCCCGTTTCCAACGAAACCTTCAAAGCTATCCAAATATCCACTTGCAGATTCTACAAAAAGAGTGTTTCCAAAATGTTGTATCAAAAGAAAGGTTCAACTCTGTTAGTTGAGGACACACATCGCAAATAAGTTTCTGAGAATGCTTCTGTCTAGTTTTTATTTGAAGATATTTCCTTTCTCACCACAGGCCTGAAAGCGCTTAAAACGTCCGCTTGCAGATACTACAGAAAGAGTGTTTCAAACCTGCTCTATGAAAGGGAATGTTCAGTTCTGTGACTTGAATGCAAACATCACAAAGAAGTTCCTGAGAATGCTTCTCTCTAGGTTTTATATGTAATCCCGTTTCCAACGAAATCCTCAAAGCTATCCAAATATCCACTTTCAGATTCCACAAAAAGAGTGTTTCAAAACTGCTCTGTAAAAAGGAAGGTTCATCTCTGTTAGTTGAATACACACATCACAAACAAGTTTCTGAGAATGCTTCTGTCTGGTTTTTAGGAGAAGAATTTCCTTTTTCAACATAGGCCTCAAAGCGCTGCAAATGTCCACTTCCAAATATTACAAAAAGAGTGTTTCAAACCTGCTCTATGAAGGGAAGTGTTCAACTCTATGAGTTGAATGCAAACATCACAGAGAAGTTTCTGAGAATGCTTCTGTCTTGATTTTATATGAAGATATTCCCGTTTCCAACGAAACCTTCAAAGCTATTCAAATATCCACTTGCAGATTCTACAAAAAGAGTGTTTCCAAAATGTTGTATCAAAAGAAAGGTTCAACTCTGTTAGTTGAGGACACACATCGCAAATAAGTTTCTGAGAATGCTTCTGTCTAGTTTTTATTTGAAGATATTTCCTTTCTCACCATAGGCCTGAAAGCGTTTGAAATGTCCGTTTGTAGATACTACAGAAAGAGTGTTTCAAACATGCTCTATGAAAGGGAATGTTCAGTTCTGTGACGTGAATGCAAACATCACAAAGAAGTTCCTGAGAATGCTTCTCTCTAGGTTTTATATGTAATCCCGTTTCCAACGAAATCCTCAAAGCTATCCAAATATCCACTTTCAGATTCCACAAAAAGAGTGTTTCAAAACTGCTCTGTAAAAAGAAAGGTTCATCTCTGTTAGTTGAATACACACATCACAAACAAGTTTCTGAGAATGCTTCTGTCTAGTTTTTATGGGAAGATATTTCCTTTTTCATCATAGGCCTCAAAGCGCTGCAAATGTCCACTTCCAGGTAGTGCAGAAAGAGTGTCTCAAACCTGGTATATAACAGGGAACATTCTACTCTGTGACTTGAATGAAAACATCACAAAGCAGTTTCTGAGAATGCTTCCGTCTAGATTTTATATGAAGATATTCCCGTTTCCAACGAAACCTTCAAAGCTATCCGAATATCCACCTGCAGATTCTACAAAAAGAGTGTTTCCAAAATGCCATATCAAAACAAAGGTTCAACTCTGTTAGTTGAGAACACACATCGCAAATAAGTTTCTGAGAATGCTTCTGTCTAGTTTTTAGTTGAAGATATTTCCTTTCTCACCATAGGCCTGAAAGCGCTTGAAACGTCAGCTTGCAGATACTACAGAAAGAGTGTTTCAAACCTGCTCTATGAAAGGGAATGTTCAGTGCTGTGACTTGAATGCAAACATCACAAAGAAGTTCCTGAGAATGCTTCTCTCTAGGTTTTATATGTAATCCCGTTTCCAACGAAATCCTCAAAGCTATCCAAATATCCACTTTCAGATTCCACAAAAAGAGTGTTTCAAAACTGCTCTGTAAAAAGAAAGGTTCATCTCTGTTAGTTGAATACACACATCACAAACAAGTTTCTGAGAATGCTTCTGTCTAGTTTTTATGGGAAGATATTTCCTTTTTCAACATAGGCCTCAAAGCGCTCCAAATGTCCACTTCCAGGTAGTGCAGAAAGAGTGTTTCAAACCTGCTCTATAAAAGGGAACATTCAACTCTGTGACTTGAATGCAAACATCACAAAGCACTTTCTGAGAATGCTTCCGTCTAGATTTTATATGAAGATATTCCCGTTTCCAAGGAACTCTTCCTAGCTATCTAAATATCAACTTGCAGATTCTACTAAAGGAATGTTTCCAAAATGCTGTATCCACACAAAGGTTCAACTCTGTTAATTGAGGACATACAGCACAAAGAAGTTTCTGAGAATGCTTCTGTCTAGATTTTATATGAAGATATCCCGTGTCCAACGAAATCCTCAATGGTATCAAAATATCCACTTGCAGATTCTACAAAAAGAGTGCTTCAAAACTGCTCTGTAAAAAGAAAGGTTCATCTCTGTTAGTTGAATACACACATCACAAACAAGTTTCTGAGAATGCTTCTGTCTAGTTTTTATGGGAAGATATTACCTTTTTCATCATAGGCCTCAAAGCGCTGCAAAAGTCCACTTCCAAATATTACAAAAAGAGTGTTTCAAACCTGCTGTATGAAGGGAAGTGTTCAACTCTATGAGTTGAATGCAAACATCACAGAGAAGTTTCTGAGAATGCTTCTGTCTTGATTTTATATGAAGATATTCCCGTTTCCAACGAAACCTTCAAAGCTATCCAAATATCCACTTGCAGATTCCACAAAAAGAGTGTTTCCAAAATGTTGTATCAAAAGAAAGGTTCAACTCTGTTAGTTGAGGACACACATCGCAAATAAGTTTCTGAGAATGCTTCTGTCTAGTTTTTATTTGAAGATATTTCCTTTCTCACCATAGGCCTGAAAGCGTTTGAAATGTCCGTTTGCAGATACTACAGAAAGAGTGTTTCAAACATGCTCTATGAAAGGGAATGTTCAGTTCTGTGACGTGAATGCAAACATCACAAAGAAGTTCCTGAGAATGCTTCTCTCTAGATTTTATATGTAATCCCGTTTCCAACGAAATCCTCAAAGCTATCCAAATATCCACTTTCAGATTCCACAAAAAGAGTGTTTCAAAACTGCTCTGTAAAAAGAAAGGTTCATCTCTGTTAGTTGAATACACACATCACAAACAAGTTTCTGAGAATGCTTCTGTCTAGTTTTTATGGGAAGATATTTCCTTTTTCATCATAGGCCTCAAAGCGCTGCAAATGTCCACTTCCAGGTAGTGCAGAAAGAGTGTCTGAAACCTGGTATATAACAGGGAAGATTCTACTCTGTGACTTGAATGAAAACATCACAAAGCAGTTTCTGAGAATGCTTCCGTCTAGATTTTATATGAAGATATTCCCGTTTCCAACGAAACCTTCAAAGCTATCCGAATATCCACCTGCAGATTCTACAAAAAGAGTGTTTCCAAAATGCCGTATCAAAACAAAGGTTCAACTCTGTTAGTTGAGAACACACATGGCAAATAAGTTTCTGAGAATGCTTCTGTCTAGTTTTTATGGGAAGATATTTCCTTTTTCAACATAGGCCTCAAAGCGCTCCAAACGTCCACTTCCAGGTAGTGCAGAAAGAGTGTCTCAAACCTGTTATATAACAGGGAACATTCTACTCTGTGACTTGAATGAAAACATCACAAAGCAGTTTCTGAGAATGCTTCTCTCTAGGTTTTATATGTAATCCCGTTTCCAACGAAATCCTCAAAGCTATCCAAATATCCACTTTCAGATTCCACAAAAAGAGTGTTTCAAAACTGCTCTGTAAAAAGAAAGGTTCATCTCTGTTAGTTGAATACACACATCACAAACAAGTTTCTGAGAATGCTTCTGTCTAGTTTTTATGGGAAGATATTTCGTTTTTCAACATAGGCCTCAAAGCGCTCCAAATGTCCACTTCCAGGTAGTGCAGAAAGAGTGTTTCAAACCTGCTCTATAAAAGGGAATATTCAACTCTGTGACTTGAATGCAAACATCACAAAGCACTTTCTGAGAATGCTTCCGTCTAGATTTTATATGAAGATATTCCCGTTTCCAAGGAAATCTTCCTAGCTATCTAAATATCAACTTGCAGATTCTACTAAAGGAATGTTTCCAAAATGCTGTATCCACACAAAGGTTCAACTCTGTTAATTGAGGACATACAGCACAAAGAAGTTTCTGAGAATGCTTCTGTCTAGATTTTGTATGAAGATATCCCGTGTCCAACGAAATCCTCAATGGTATCAAAATATCCACTTGCAGATTCTACAAAAAGAGTGCTTCAAAACTGCTCTGTAAAAAGAAAGGTTCATCTCTGTTAGTTGAATACACACATCACAAACAAGTTTCTGAGAATGCTTCTTTCTAGTTTTTATGGGAAGATATTACCTTTTTCATCATAGGCTTCAAAGCGCTGCAAAAGTCCACTTCCAAATATTAGAAAAAGAGTGTTTCAAACCTGCTGTATGAAGGGAAGTGTTCAACTCTATGAGTTGAATGCAAACATCACAGAGAAGTTTCTGAGAATGCTTCTGTCTTGATTTTATATGAAGATATTCCCGTTTCCAACGAAACCTTCAAAGCTATCCAAATATCCACTTGCAGATTCCACAAAAAGAGTGTTTCCAAAATGTTGTATCAAAAGAAAGGTTCAACTCTGTTAGTTGAGGACACACATCGCAAATAAGTTTCTGAGAATGCTTCTGTCTAGTTTTTATTTGAAGATATTTCCTTTCTCACCATAGGCCTGAAAGCGTTTGAAATGTCCGTTTGCAGATACTACAGAAAGAGTGTTTCAAACATGCTCTATGAAAGGGAATGTTCAGTTCTGTGACGTGAATGCAAACATCACAAAGAAGTTCCTGAGAATGCTTCTCTCTAGATTTTATATGTAATCCCGTTTCCAACGAATTCCTCAAAGCTATCCAAATATCCACTTTCAGACTCCACAAAAAGAGTGTTTCAAAACTGCTCTGTAAAAAGAAAGGTTCATCTCTGTTAGTTGAATACACACATCAAAAACAAGTTTCTGAGAATGCTTCTGTCTAGTTTTTATGGGAAGATATTTCCTTTTTCATCATAGGCCTCAAAGCGCTGCAAATGTCCACTTCCAGGTAGTGCAGAAAGAGTGTCTCAAACCTGGTATATAACAGGGAACATTCTACTCTGTGACTTGAATGAAAACATCACAAAGCAGTTTCTGAGAATGCTTCCGTCTAGATTTTATATGAAGATATTCCCGTTTCCAACGAAACCTTCAAAGCTATCCGAATATCCACCTGCAGATTCTACAAAAAGAGTGTTTCCAAAATGCCATATCAAAACAAAGGTTCAACTCTGTTAGTTGAGAACACACATCGCAAATAAGTTTCTGAGAATGCTTCTGTCTAGTTTTTACTTGAAGATATTTCCTTTCTCACCATAGGCCTGAAAGCGCTTGAAACGTCAGCTTGCAGATACTACAGAAAGAGTGTTTCAAACCTGCTCTATGAAAGGGAATGTTCAGTTCTGTGACTTGAATGCAAACATCACAAAGAAGTTCCTGAGAATGCTTCTCTCTAGGTTTTATATGTAATCCCGTTTCCAACGAAATCCTCAAAGCTATCCAAATATCCACTTTCAGATTCCACAAAAAGAGTGTTTCAAAACTGCTCTGTAAAAAGAAAGGTTCATCTCTGTTAGTTGAATACACACATCACAAACAAGTTTCTGAGAATGCTTCTGTCTAGTTTTTATGGGAAGATATTTCCTTTTTCAACATAGGCCTCAAAGCGCTCCAAATGTCCACTTCCAGGTAGTGCAGAAAGAGTGTTTCAAACCTGCTCTATAAAAGGGAACATTCAACTCTGTGACTTGAATGCAAACATCACAAAGCACTTTTTGAGAATGCTTCCGTCTAGATTTTATATGAAGATATTCCCGTTTCCAAGGAACTCTTCCTAGCTATCTAAATATCAACTTGCAGATTCTACTAAAGGAATGTTTCCAAAATGCTGTATCCACACAAAGGTTCAACTCTGTTAATTGAGGACATACAGCACAAAGAAGTTTCTGAGAATGCTTCTGTCTAGATTTTATATGAAGATATCCCGTGTCCAACGAAATCCTCAATGGTATCAAAATATCCACTTGCAGATTCTACAAAAAGAGTGCTTCAAAACTGCTCTGTCAAAAGGAAGGTTCAACTCTGTTACTTGAGTACACACATCACAAGGAAGTTTCTGAGAATGCTTCTGTCTGGTTTTTAGGAGAAGATATTTCCTTTTTCAACATAGGCCTCAAAGCGCTGCAAATGTCCACTTCCAAATATTAGAAAAAGAGTGTTTCAAACCTGCTGTATGAAGGGAAGTGTTCAACTCTATGAGTTGAATGCAAACATCACAGAGAAGTTTCTGAGAATGCTTCTGTCTTGATTTCATATGAAGATATTCCCGTTTCCAACGAAACCTTCAAAGCTATCCAAATATCCACTTGCAGATTCTACAAAAAGAGTGTTTCCAAAATGTTGTATCAAAAGAAAGGTTCAACTCTGTTAGTTGAGGACACACATCGCAAATAAGTTTCTGAGAATGCTTCTGTCTAGTTTTTATTTGAAGATATTTCCTTTCTCACCACAGGCCTGAAAGCGCTTAAAACGTCCGCTTGCAGATACTACAGAAAGAGTGTTTCAAACCTGCTCTATGAAAGGGAATGTTCAGTTCTGTGACTTGAATGCAAACATCACAAAGAAGTTCCTGAGAATGCTTCTCCCTAGATTTTATATGTAATCCCGTTTCCAACGAAATCCGCAAAGCTATCCAAATATCCACTTTCAGATTCCACAAAAAGAGTGTTTCAAAACTGCTCTGTAAAAAGAAAGGTTCATCTCTGTTAGTTGAATACACACATCACAAACAAGTTTCTGAGAACGCTTCTGTCTAGTTTTTATGGGAAGATATTACCTTTTTCATCATAGGCCTCAAAGCGCTGCAAATGTCCACTTCCAAATATTACAAAAAGAGTGTTTCAAACCTGCTGTATGAAGGGAAGTGTTCAACTCTATGAGTTGAATGCAAACATCACAGAGAAGTTTCTGAGAATGCTTCTGTCTTGATTTTATATGAAGATATTCCCGTTTCCAACGAAACCTTCAAAGCTATTCAAATATCCACTTGCAGATTCTACAAAAAGAGTGTTTCCAAAATGTTGTACCAAAAGAAAGGTTTAACTCTGTTAGTTGAGGACACACATCGCAAATAAGTTTCTGAGAATGCTTCTGTCTAGTTTTTATTTGAAGATATTCCCGTTTCCAACGAAACCTTCAAAGCTATTCAAATATCCACTTGCAGATTCTACAAAAAGAGTGTTTCCAAAATGTTGTATCAAAAGAAAGGTTCAACTCTGTTAGTTGAGGACACACATCGCAAATAAGTTTCTGAGAATGCTTCTGTCTAGTTTTTATTTGAAGATATTTCCTTTCTCACCATAGGCCTGAAAGCGTTTGAAATGTCCGTTTGCAGATACTACAGAAAGAGTGTTTCAAACATGCTCTATGAAAGGGAATGTTCAGTTCTGTGACGTGAATGCAAACATCACAAAGGAGTTCCTGAGAATGCTTCTCTCTAGATTTTATATGTAATCCCGTTTCCAACGAAATCCTCAAAGCTATCCAAATATCCACTTTCAGATTCCACAAAAAGAGTGTTTCAAAACTGCTCTGTAAAAAGAAAGGTTCATCTCTGTTAGTTGAATACACACATCACAAACAAGTTTCTGAGAATGCTTCTGTCTAGTTTTTATGGGAAGATATTTCCTTTTTCATCATAGGCCTCAAAGCGCTGCAAATGTCCACTTCCAGGTAGTGCAGAAAGAGTGTCTCAAACCTGGTATATAACAGGGAACATTCTACTCTGTGACTTGAATGAAAACATCACAAAGCAGTTTCTGAGAATGCTTCCGTCTAGATTTTATATGAAGATATTCCCGTTTCCAACGAAACCTTCAAAGCTATCCGAATATCCACCTGCAGATTCTACAAAAAGAGTGTTTCCAAAATGCCATATCAAAACAAAGGTTCAACTCTGTTAGTTGAGAACACACATCGCAAATAAGTTTCTGAGAATGCTTCTGTCTAGTTTTTGCTTGAAGATATTTCCTTTCTCACCATAGGCCTGAAAGCGCTTGAAACGTCAGCTTGCAGATACTACAGAAAGAGTGTTTCAAACCTGCTCTATGAAAGGGAATGTTCAGTCCTGTGACTTGAAGGCAAACATCACAAAGAAGTTCCTGAGAATGCTTCTCTCTAGGTTTTATATGTAATCCCGTTTCCAACGGAATCCTCAAAGCTATCCAAATATCCACTTTCAGATTCCACAAAAAGAGTGTTTCAAAACTGCTCTGTAAAAAGAAAGGTTCATCTCTGTTAGTTGAATACACACATCACAAACAAGTTTCTGAGAATGCTTCTGTCTGGTTTTTAGGAGAAGATATTTCCTTTTTCAACATAGGCCTCAAAGCGCTGCAAATGTCCACTTCCAAATATTACAAAAAGAGTGTTTCAAACCTGCTGTATGAAGGGAAGTGTTCAACTCTATGAGTTGAATGCAAACATCACAGAGAAGTTTCTGAGAATGCTTCTGTCTTGATTTCATATGAAGATATTCCCGTTTCCAACGAAACCTTCAAAGCTATCCAAATATCCACTTGCAGATTCTACAAAAAGAGTGTTTCCAAAATGTTGTATCAAAAGAAAGGTTCAACTCTGTTAGTTGAGGACACACATCGCAAATAAGTTTCTGAGAATGCTTCTGTCTAGTTTTTATTTGAAGATATTTCCTTTCTCACCACAGGCCTGAAAGCGCTTAAAACGTCCGCTTGCAGATACTACAGAAAGAGTGTTTCAAACCTGCTCTATGAAAGGGAATGTTCAGTTCTGTGACTTGAATGCAAACATCACAAAGAAGTTCCTGAGAATGCTTCTCTCTAGGTTTTATATGTAATCCCGTTTCCAACGAAATCCTCAAAGCTATCCAAATATCCACTTTCAGATTCCACAAAAAGAGTGTTTCAAAACTGCTCTGTAAAAAGAAAGGTTCATCTCTGTTAGTTGAATACACACATCACAAACAAGTTTCTGAGAATGCTTCTGTCTGGTTTTTAGGAGAAGATATTTCCTTTTTCAACATAGGCCTCAAAGCGCTGCAAATGTCCACTTCCAAATATTACAAAAAGAGTGTTTCAAACCTGCTGTATGAAGGGAAGTGTTCAACTCTATGAGTTGAATGCAAACATCACAGAGAAGTTTCTGAGAATGCTTCTGTCTTGATTTTATATGAAGATATTCCCGTTTCCAACGAAACCTTCAAAGCTATTCAAATATCCACTTGCTGATTCTACAAAAAGAGTGTTTCCAAAATGTTGTATCAAAAGAAAGGTTCAACTCTGTTAGTTGAGGACACACATCGCAAATAAGTTTCTGAGAATGCTTCTGTCTAGTTTTTACTTGAAGATATTTCCTTTCTCACCATAGGCCTGAAAGCGTTTGAAATGTCCGTTTGCAGATACTACAGAAAGAGTGTTTCAAACATGCTCTATGAAAGGGAATGTTCAGTTCTGTGACGTGAATGCAAACATCACAAAGAAGTTCCTGAGAATGCTTCTCTCTAGATTTTATATGTAATCCCGTTTCCAACGAAATCCTCAAAGCTATCCAAATATCCACTTTCAGATTCCACAAAAAGAGTGTTTCAAAACTGCTCTGTAAAAAGAAAGGTTCATCTCTGTTAGTTGAATACACACATCACAAACAAGTTTCTGAGAATGCTTCTGTCTAGTTTTTATGGGAAGATATTTCCTTTTTCAACATAGGCCTCAAAGCGCTCCAAACGTCCACTTCCGGGTAGTGCAGAAAGAGTGTCTCAAACCTGGTATATAACAGGGAACATTCTACTCTGTGACTTGAATGAAAACATCACAAAGCAGTTTCTGAGAATGCTTCTGTCTTGATTTTATATGAAGATATTCCCGTTTCCAACGAAACCTTCAAAGCTATCCCAATATCCACTTGCAGATTCTACAAAAAGAGTGTTTCCAAAATGTTGTATCAAAAGAAAGGTTCAACTCTGTTAGTTGAGGACACACATCGCAAATAAGTTGCTGAGAATGCTTCTGTCTAGTTTTTATTTGAAGATATTTCCTTTCTCACCATAGGCCTGAAAGCGTTTGAAATGTCCGTTTGCAGATACTACAGAAAGAGTGTTTCAAACATGCTCTATGAAAGGGAATGTTCAGTTCTGTGACGTGAATGCAAACATCACAAAGAAGTTCCTGAGAATGCTTCTCTCTAGATTTTATATGTAATCCCGTTTCCAACGAAATCCTCAAAGCTATCCAAATATCCACTTTCAGATTCCACAAAAAGAGTGTTTCAAAACTGCTCTGTAAAAAGAAAGGTTCATCTCTGTTAGTTGAATACACACATCACAAACAAGTTTCTGAGAATGCTTCTGTCTAGTTTTTATGGGAAGATATTTCCTTTTTCATCATAGGCCTCAAAGCGCTCCAAATGTCCACTTCCTGGTAGTGCAGAAAGCGTGTCTCAAACCTGGTATATAACAGGGAACATTCTACTCTGTGACTTGAATGAAAACATCACAAATCAGTTTCTCAGAATGCTTCCGTCTAGATTTTATATGAAGATATTCCCGTTTCCAACGAAACCTTCAAAGCTATCCGAATATCCACCTGCAGATTCTACAAAAAGAGTGTTTCCAAAATGCCGTATCAATACAAAGGTTCAACTCTGTTAGTTGAGAACACACATGGCAAATAAGTTTCTGAGAATGCTTCTGTCTAGTTTTTACTTGAAGATATTTCCTTTCTCACCATAGGCCTGAAAGCGCTTGAAACGTCAGCTTGCAGATACTACAGAAAGAGTGTTTCAAACCTGCTCTATGAAAGGGAATGTTCAGTTCTGTGACTTGAATGCAAACATCACAAAGAAGTTCCTGAGAATGCTTCTCTCTAGGTTTTATATGTAATCCCGTTTCCAACGAAATCCTCAAAGCTATCCAAATATCCACTTTCAGATTCCACAAAAAGAGTGTTTCAAAACTGCTCTGTAAAAAGAAAGGTTCATCTCTGTTAGTTGAATACACACATCACAAACAAGTTTCTGAGAATGCTTCTGTCTAGTTTTTATGGGAAGATATTTCCTTTTTCAACATAGGCCTCAAAGCGCTCCAAATGTCCACTTCCAGGTAGTGCAGAAAGAGTGTTTCAAACCTGCTCTATAAAAGGGAATATTCAACTCTGTGACTTGAATGCAAACATCACAAAGCACTTTCTGAGAATGCTTCCGTCTAGATTTTATATGAAGATATTCCCGTTTCCAAGGAAATCTTCCTAGCTATCTAAATATCAACTTGCAGATTCTACTAAAGGAATGTTTCCAAAATGCTGTATCCACACAAAGGTTCAACTCTGTTAATTGAGGACATACAGCACAAAGAAGTTTCTGAGAATGCTTCTGTCTAGATTTTATATGAAGATATCCCGTGTCCAACGAAATCCTCAAAGGTATCAAAATATCCACTTGCAGATTCTACAAAAAGAGTGCTTCAAAACTGCTCTGTCAAAAGGAAGGTTCAACTCTGTTACTTGAGTACACACATCACAAGGAAGTTTCTGAGAATGCTTCTGTCTGGTTTTTAGGAGAAGATATTTCCTTTTTCAACATAGGCCTCAAAGCGCTGCAAATGTCCACTTCCAAATATTAGAAAAAGAGTGTTTCAAACCTGCTGTATGAAGGGAAGTGTTCAACTCTATGAGTTGAATGCAAACATCACAGAGAAGTTTCTGAGAATGCTTCTGTCTTGATTTCATATGAAGATATTCCCGTTTCCAACGAAACCTTCAAAGCTATCCAAATATCCACTTGCAGATTCTACAAAAAGAGTGTTTCCAAAATGTTGTATCAAAAGAAAGGTTCAACTCTGTTAGTTGAGGACACACATCGCAAATAAGTTTCTGAGAATGCTTCTGTCTAGTTTTTATTTGAAGATATTTCCTTTCTCACCACAGGCCTGAAAGCGCTTAAAACGTCCGCTTGCAGATACTACAGAAAGAGTGTTTCAAACCTGCTCTATGAAAGGGAATGTTCAGTTCTGTGACTTGAATGCAAACATCACAAAGAAGTTCCTGAGAGTGCTTCTCCCTAGATTTTATATGTAATCCCGTTTCCAACGAAATCCGCAAAGCTATCCAAATATCCACTTTCAGATTCCACAAAAAGAGTGTTTCAAAACTGCTCTGTAAAAAGAAAGGTTCATCTCTGTTAGTTGAATACACACATCACAAACAAGTTTCTGAGAATGCTTCTGTCTAGTTTTTATGGGAAGATATTACCTTTTTCATCATAGGCCTCAAAGCGCTGCAAATGTCCACTTCCAAATATTACAAAAAGAGTGTTTCAAACCTGCTGTATGAAGGGAAGTGTTCAACTCTATGAGTTGAATGCAAATATCACAGAGAAGTTTCTGAGAATGCTTCTGTCTTGATTTTATATGAAGATATTCCCGTTTCCAACGAAACCTTCAAAGCTATCCAAATATCCACTTGCAGATTCCACAAAAAGAGTGTTTCCAAAATGTTGTATCAAAAGAAAGGTTCAACTCTGTTAGTTGAGGACACACATCGCTAATAAGTTTCTGAGAATGCTTCTGTCTAGTTTTTACTTGAAGATATTTCCTTTCTCACCATAGGCCTGAAAGCGTTTGAAATGTCCGTTTGCAGATACTACAGAAAGAGTGTTTCAAACATGCTCTATGAAAGGGAATGTTCAGTTCTGTGACGTGAATGCAAACATCACAAAGAAGTTCCTGAGAATGCTTCTCTCTAGATTTTACATGTAATCCCGTTTCCAACGAAATCCTCAAAGCTATCCAAATATCCACTTTCAGATTCCACAAAAAGAGTGTTTCAAAACTGCTCTGTAAAAAGAAAGGTTCATCTCTGTTAGTTGAATACACACATCACAAACAAGTTTCTGAGAATGCTTCTGTCTAGTTTTTATGGGAAGATATTTCCTTTTTCAACATAGGCCTCAAAGCGCTCCAAACGTCCACTTCCAGGTAGTGCAGAAAGAGTGTCTCAAACCTGGTATATAACAGGGAACATTCTACTCTGTGACTTGAATGAAAACATCACAAAGCAGTTTCTGAGAATGCTTCCGTCTAGATTTTATATGAAGATATTCCCGTTTCCAACGAAACCTTCAAAGCTATCCGAATATCCACCTGCAGATTCTACAAAAAGAGTGTTTCCAAAATGCCGTATCAAAACAAAGGTTCAACTCTGTTAGTTGAGAACACACATGGCAAATAAGTTTCTGAGAATGCTTCTGTCTAGTTTTTACTTGAAGATATTTCCTTTCTCACCATAGGCCTGAAAGCGCTTGAAACGTCAGCTTGCAGATACTACAGAAAGAGTGTTTCAAACCTGCTCTATGAAAGGGAATGTTCAGTTCTGTGACTTGAATGCAAACATCACAAAGAAGTTCCTGAGAATGCTTCTCTCTAGGTTTTATATGTAATCCCGTTTCCAACGAAATCCTCAAAGCTATCCAAATATCCACTTTCAGATTCCACAAAAAGAGTGTTTCAAAACTGCTCTGTAAAAAGAAAGGTTCATCTCTGTTAGTTGAATACACACATCACAAACAAGTTTCTGAGAATGCTTCTGTCTGGTTTTTAGGAGAAGATATTTCCTTTTTCAACATAGGCCTCAAAGCGCTGCAAATGTCCACTTCAAAATATTACAAAAAGAGTGTTTCAAACCTGCTCTATGAAGGGAAGTGTTCAACTCTATGAGTTGAATGCAAACATCACAGAGAAGTTTCTGAGAATGCTTCTGTCTTGATTTTATATGAAGATATTCCCGTTTCCAACGAAACCTTCAAAGCTATCGAAATATCCACTTGCAGATTCTACAACAAGAGTGTTTCCAAAATGTTGTATCAAAACAAAGGTTCAACTCTGTTAGTTGAGGACACACATCGCAAATAAGTTTCTGAGAATGCTTCTGTCTAGTTTTTATTTGAAGATATTTCCTTTCTTACCATAGGCCTGAAAGCGCTTGAAATGTCCGTTTGCAGATACTACAGAAAGAGTGTTTCAAACATGCTCTATGAAAGGGAATGTTCAGTTCTGTGACTTGAATGCAAACATCACAAAGAAGTTCCTGAGAATGCTTCTCTCTAGATTTTATATGTAATCCCGTTTCCAACGAAATCCTCAAAGATATCCAAATATCCACTTTCAGATTCCACAAAAAGAGTGTTTCAAAACTGCTCTGTAAAAAGAAAGGTTCATCACTGTTAGTTGAATACACACATCACAAACAAGTTTCTGAGAATGCTTCTGTCTAGTTTTTATGGGAAGATATTTCCTTTTTCATCATAGGCCTCAAAGCGCTCCAAATGTCCACTTCCAGATAGTGCAGAAAGAGTGTCTCAAACCTGGTATATAAAAGGGAACATTCTACTCTGTGACTTGAATGAAAACATCACAAAGCAGTTTCTGAGAATGCTTCCGTCTAGATTTTATATGAAGATATTCCCGTTTCCAACAAAACCTTCAAAGCTATCCGAATATCCACCTGCAGATTCTACAAAAAGAGTGTTTCCAAAATGCCGTATCAAAACAAAGGTTCAACTCTGTTAGTTGAGAACACACATGGCAAATAAGTTTCTGAGAATGCTTCTGTCTAGTTTTTACTTGAAGATATTTCCTTTCGCACCATAGGCCTGAAAGCGCTTGAAACGTCCGCTTGCAGATACTACAGAAAGAGTGTTTCAAACATGCTCTATGACAGGGAATGTTCAGTTCTGTGACTTGAATGCAAACATCACAAAGAAGTTCCTGAGAATGCTTCTCTCTAGATTTTATATGTAATCCCGTTTCCAACGAAATCCTCAAAGCTATCCAAATATCCACTTTCAGATTCCACAAAAAGAGTGTTTCAAAACTGCTCTGTAAAAAGAAAGGTTCATCTCTGTTAGTTGAATACACACATCACAAACAAGTTTCTGAGAATGCTTCTGTCTAGTTTTTATGGGAAGATATTTCCTTTTTCAACATAGGCCTCAAAGCGCTCCAAACGTCCACTTCAAGGTAGTGCAGAAAGAGTGTCTCAAACCTGGTATATAACAGGGAACATTCTACTCTGTGACTTGAATGAAAACATCACAAAGCAGTTTCTGAGAATGCTTCCGTCTAGATTTTATATGAAGATATTCCCGTTTCCAACGAAACCTTCAAAGCTATCCGAATATCCACCTGCAGATTCTACAAAAAGAGTGTTTCCAAAATGCCGTATCAAAACAAAGGTTCAACTCTGTTAGTTGAGAACACACATGGCAAATAAGTTTCTGAGAATGCTTCTGTCTAGTTTTTACTTGAAGATATTTCCTTTCTCACCATAGGCCTGAAAGCGCTTGAAACGTCAGCTTGCAGATACTACAGAAAGAGTGTTTCAAACCTGCTCTATGAAAGGGAATGTTCAGTCCTGTGACTTGAAGGCAAACATCACAAAGAAGTTCCTGAGAATGCTTCTCTCTAGGTTTTATATGTAATCCCGTTTCCAACGAAATCCTCAAAGCTATCCAAATATCCACTTTCAGATTCCACAAAAAGAGTGTTTCAAAACTGCTCTGTAAAAAGAAAGGTTCATCTCTGTTAGTTGAATACACACATCACAAACAAGTTTCTGAGAATGCTTCTGTCTAGTTTTTATGGGAAGATATTTCCTTTTTCAACATAGGCCTCAAAGCGCTCCAAATGTCCACTTCCAGGTAGTGCAGAAAGAGTGTTTCAAACCTGCTCTATAAAAGGGAATATTCAACTCTGTGACTTGAATGCAAACATCACAAAGCACTTTCTGAGAATGCTTCCGTCTAGATTTTATATGAAGATATTCCCGTTTCCAACGAAACCTTCAAAGCTATCCGAATATCCACCTGCAGATTCTACAAAAAGAGTGTTTCCAAAATGCCATATCAAAACAAAGGTTCAACTCTGTTAGTTGAGAACACACATCGCAAATAAGTTTCTGAGAATGCTTCTGTCTAGTTTTTACTTGAAGATATTTCCTTTCTCACCATAGGCCTGAAAGCGCTTGAAACGTCAGCTTGCAGATACTACAGAAAGAGTGTTTCAAACCTGCTCTATGAAAGGGAATGTTCAGTTCTGTGACTTGAACGCAAACATCACAAAGAAGTTCCTGAGAATGCTTCTCCCTAGATTTTATATGTAATCCCGTTTCCAACGAAATCCGCAAAGCTATCCAAATATCCACTTTCAGATTCCACAAAAAGAGTGTTTCAAAACTGCTCTGTAAAAAGAAAGGTTCATCTCTGTTAGTTGAATACACACATCACAAACAAGTTTCTGAGAATGCTTCTGTCTAGTTTTTATGGGAAGATATTTCCTTTTTCATCATAGGCCTCAAAGCGCTGCAAATGTCCACTTCCAAATATTACAAAAAGAGTGTTTCAAACCTGCTGTATGAAGGGAAGTGTTCAACTCTATGAGTTGAATGCAAACATCACAGAGAAGTTTCTGAGAATGCTTCTGTCTTGATTTCATATGAAGATATTCCCGTTTCCAACGAAACCTTCAAAGCTATCCAAATATCCACTTGCAGATTCTACAGAAAGAGTGTTTCCAAAATGTTGTATCAAAAGAAAGGTTCAACTCCTGTTAGTTGAGGACACACATCGCAAATAAGTTTCTGAGAATGCTTCTGTCTAGTTTTTATTTGAAGATATTTCCTTTCTCACCACAGGCCTGAAAGCGCTTAAAACGTCCGCTTGCAGATACTACAGAAAGAGTGTTTCAAACCTGCTCTATGAAAGGGAATGTTCAGTTCTGTGACTTGAATGCAAACATCACAAAGAAGTTCCTGAGAATGCTTCTCCCTAGATTTTATATGTAATCCCGTTTATAACGAAATCCGCAAAGCTATCCAAATATCCACTTTCACATTCCACAAAAAGAGTGTTTCAAAACTGCTCTGTAAAAAGGAAGGTTCAACTCTGTTACTTGAGTACACACATCACAAGGAAGTTTCTGAGAATGCTTCTGTCTGGTTTTTAGGAGAAGATATTTCCTTTTTCAACATAGGCCTCAAAGCGCTGCAAATGTCCACTTCCAAATATTACAAAAAGAGTGTTTCAAACCTGCTGTATGAAGGGAAGTGTTCAACTCTATGAGTTGAATGCAAACATCACAGAGAAGTTTCTGAGAATGCTTCTGTCTTGATTTTATATGAAGATATTCCCGTTTCCAACGAAACCTTCAAAGCTATTCAAATATCCACTTGCAGATTCTACAAAAAGAGTGTTTCCAAAATGTTGTATCAAAAGAAAGGTTCAACTCTGTTAGTTGAGGACACACATCGCAAATAAGTTTCTGAGAATGCTTCTGTCTAGTTTTTATTTGAAGATATTTCCTTTCTCACCATAGGCCTGAAAGCGTTTGAAATGTCCGTTTGCAGATACTACAGAAAGAGTGTTTCAAACATGCTCTATGAAAGGGAATGTTCAGTTCTGTGACGTGAATGCAAACATCACAAAGAAGTTCCTGAGAATGCTTCTCTCTAGATTTTATATGTAATCCCGTTTCCAACGAAATCCTCAAAGCTATCCAAATATCCACTTTCAGATTCCACAAAAAGAGTGTTTCAAAACTGCTCTGTAAAAAGAAAGGTTCATCTCTGTTAGTTGAATACACACATCACAAACAAGTTTCTGAGAATGCTTCTGTCTAGTTTTTATGGGAAGATATTTCCTTTTTCAACATAGGCCTCAAAGCGCTCCAAACGTCCACTTCCAGGTTGTGCAGAAAGAGTGTCTCAAACCTGGTATATAACAGGGAACATTCTACTCTGTGACTTGAATGAAAACATCACAAAGCAGTTTCTGAGAATGCTTCCGTCTAGATTTTATATGAAGATATTCCCGTTTCCAACGAAACCTTCAAAGCTATCCGAATATCCACCTGCAGATTCTACAAAAAGAGTGTTTCCAAAATGCCGTATCAAAACAAAGGTTCAACTCTGTTAGTTGAGAACACACATGGCAAATAAGTTTCTGAGAATGCTTCTGTCTAGTTTTTACTTGAAGATATTTCCTTTCTCACCGTAGGCCTGAAAGCGCTTGAAACGTCAGCTTGCAGATACTACAGAAAGAGTGTTTCAAACATGCTCTATGAAAGGGAATGTTCAGTCCTGTGACTAGAAGGCAAACATCACAAAGAAGTTCCTGAGAATGCTTCTCCCTAGATTTTATATGTAATCCCGTTTCCAACGAAATCCGCAAAGCTATCCAAATATCCACTTTCAGATTCCACACAAAGAGTGTTTCAAAACTGCTCTGTAAAAAGAAAGGTTCATCTCTGTTAGTTGAATACACACATCACAAACAAGTTTCTGAGAATGCTTCTGTCTAGTTTTTATGGGAAGATATTACCTTTTTCATCATAGGCCTCAAAGCGCTGCAAATGTCCACTTCCAAATATTACAAAAAGAGTGTTTCAAACCTGCTGTATGAAGGGAAGTGTTCAACTCTATGAGTTGAATGCAAACATCACAGAGAAGTTTCTGAGAATGCTTCTGTCTTGATTTTATATGAAGATATTCCCGTTTCCAAAGAAACCTTCAAAGCTATCCAAATATCCACTTGCAGATTCTACAAAAAGAGTGTTTCCAAAATGTTGTATCAAAAGAAAGGTTCAACTCTGTTAGTTGAGGAAACACATCGCAAACAAGTTTCTGAGAATGCTTCTGTCTAGTTTTTATTTGAAGATATTTCCTTTCTCACCATAGGCCTGAAAGCGTTTGAAATGTCCGTTTGCAGATACTACAGAAAGAGTGTTTCAAACATGCTCTATGAAAGGGAATGTTCAGTTCTGTGACTTGAATGCAAACATCACAAAGAAGTTCCTGAGAATGCTTCTCTCTAGGTTTTATATGTAATCCCGTTTCCAACGAAATCCTCAAAGCTATCCAAATATCCACTTTCAGATTCCACAAAAAGAGTGTTTCAAAACTGCTCTGTAATAAGAAAGGTTCATCCCTGTTAGTTGAATACACACATCACAAACAAGTTTCTGAGAATGCTTCTGTCTAGTTTTTATGGGAAGATATTTCCTTTTTCAACATAGGCCTCAAAGCGCTCCAAACGTCCACTTCCAGGTAGTGCAGAAAGAGTGTCTCAAACCTGGTGTATAACAGGGAACATTCTACTCTGTGACTTGAATGAAAACATCACAAAGCAGTTTCTGAGAATGCTTCCGTCTAGATTTTATATGAAGATATTCCCGTTTCCAACGAAACCTTCAAAGCTATCCGAATATCCACCTGCAGATTCTACAAAAAGAGTGTTTCCAAAATGCCGTATCAAAACAAAGGTTCAACTCTGTTAGTTGAGAACACACATGGCAAATAAGTTTCTGAGAATGCTTCTGTCTAGTTTTTACTTGAAGATATTTCCTTTCTCACCATAGGCCTGAAAGCGCTTGAAACGTCAGCTTGCAGATACTACAGAAAGAGTGTTTCAAACCTGCTCTATGAAAGGGAATGTTCAGTTCTGTGACTTGAATGCAAACATCACAAAGAAGTTCCTGAGAATGCTTCTCTCTAGGTTTTATATGTAATCCCGTTTCCAACGAAATCCTCAAAGCTATCCAAATATCCACTTTCAGATTCCACAAAAAGAGTGTTTCAAAACTGCTCTGTAAAAAGAAAGGTTCATCTCTGTTAGTTGAATACACACATCACAAACAAGTTTCTGAGAATGCTTCTGTCTAGTTTTTATGGGAAGATATTTCCTTTTTCAACATAGGCCTCAAAGCGCTCCAAATGTCCACTTCCAGGTAGTGCAGAAAGAGTGTTTCAAACCTGCTCTATAAAAGGGAATATTCAACTCTGTGACTTGAATGCAAACATCACAAAGCACTTTCTGAGAATGCTTCCGTCTAGATTTTATATGAAGATATTCCCGTTTCCAAGGAAATCTTCCTAGCTATCTAAATATCAACTTGCAGATTCTACTAAAGGAATGTTTCCAAAATGCCGTATCCACACAAACGTTCAACTCTGTTAATTGAGGACATACAGCACAAAGAAGTTTCTGAGAATGCTTCTGTCTAGATTTTATATGAAGATATCCCGTGTCCAACGAAATCCTCAAAGGTATCAAAATATCCACTTGCAGATTCTACAAAAAGAGTGCTTCAAAACTGCTCTGTCAAAAGGAAGGTTCAACTCTGTTACTTGAGTACACACATCACAAGGAAGTTTCTGAGAATGCTTCTGTCTGGTTTTTAGGAGAAGATATTTCCTTTTTCAACATCGGCCTCAAAGCGCTGCAAATGTCCACTTCCAAATATTAGAAAAAGAGTGTTTCAAACCTGCTGTATGAAGGGAAGTGTTCAACTCTATGAGTTGAATGCAAACATCACAGAGAAGTTTCTGAGAATGCTTCTGTCTTGATTTCATATGAAGATATTCCCGTTTCCAACGAAACCTTCAAAGCTATCCAAATATCCACTTGCAGATTCTACAAAAAGAGTGTTTCCAAAATGTTGTATCAAAAGAAAGGTTCAACTCTGTTAGTTGAGGACACACATCGCAAATAAGTTTCTGAGAATGCTTCTGTCTAGTTTTTATTTGAAGATATTTCCTTTCTCACCACAGGCCTGAAAGCGCTTAAAACGTCCGCTTGCAGATACTACAGAAAGAGTGTTTCAAACCTGATCTATGAAAGGGAATGTTCAGTTCTGTGACTTGAATGCAAACATCACAAAGAAGTTCCTGAGAATGCTTCTCCCTAGATTTTATATGTAATCCCGTTTCCAACGAAATCCCCAAAGCTATCCAAATATCCACTTTCAGATTCCACAAAAAGAGTGTTTCAAAACTGCTCTGTAAAAAGAAAGGTTCATCTCTGTTAGTTGAATACACACATCTCAAACAAGTTTCTGAGAATGCTTCTGTCTAGTTTTTATGGGAAGATATTACCTTTTTCATCATAGGCCTCAAAGCGCTGCAAATGTCCACTTCCAAATATTACAAAAAGAGTGTTTCAAACCTGCTGTATGAAGGGAAGTGTTCAACTCTATGAGTTGAATGCAAACATCACCGAGAAGTTTCTGAGAATGCTTCTGTCTTGATTTTATATGAAGATATTCCCGTTTCCAACGAAACCTTCAAAGCTATCCAAATATCCACTTGCAGATTCTACAAAAAGAGTGTTTCCAAAATGTTGTATCAAAAGAAAGGTTCAACTCTGTTAGTTGATGACACACATCGCAAATAAGTTGCTGAGAATGCTTCTGTCTAGTTTTTATTTGAAGATATTTCCTTTCTCACCATAGGCCTGAAAGCGTTTGAAATGTCCGTTTGCAGATACTACAGAAAGAGTGTTTCAAACATGCTCTATGAAAGGGAATGTTCAGTTCTGTGACGTGAATGCAAACATCACAAAGAAGTTCCTGAGAATGCTTCTCTCTAGATTTTATATGTAATCCCGTTTCCAACGAAATCCTCAAAGCTATCCAAATATCCACTTTCAGATTCCACAAAAAGAGTGTTTCAAAACTGCTCAGTAAAAAGAAAGGTTCATCTCTGTTAGTTGAATACACACATCACAAACAAGTTTCTGAGAATGCTTCTGTCTAGTTTTTATGGGAAGATATTTCCTTTTTCAACATAGGCCTCAAGCGCTCCAAACGTCCACTTCCAGGTAGTGCAGAAAGAGTGTCTCAAACCTGGTATATAACAGGGAACATTCTACTCTGTGACTTGAATGAAAACATCACAAAGCAGTTTCTGAGAATGCTTCCGTCAAGGTTTTATATGAAGATATTCCCGTTTCCAACGAAACCTTCAAAGCTATCCGAATATCCACCTGCAGATTCTACAAAAAGAGTGTTTCCAAAATGCCGTATCAAAACAAAGGTTCAACTCTGTTAGTTGAGAACACACATGGCAAATAAGTTTCTGAGAATGTTTCTGTCTAGTTTTTACTTGAAGATATTTCCTTTCTCACCATAGGCCTGAAAGCGCTTGAAACGTCAGCTTGCAGATACTACAGAAAGAGTGTTTCAAACCTGCTCTATGAAAGGGAATGTTCAGTCCTGTGACTTGAAGGCAAACATCACAAAGAAGTTCCTGAGAATGCTTCTCTCTAGGTTTTATATGTAATCCCGTTTCCAACGAAATCCTCAAAGCTATCCAAATATCCACTTTCAGATTCCACAAAAAGAGTGTTTCAAAACTGCTCTGTAAAAAGAAAGGTTCATCTCTGTTAGTTGAATACACACATCACAAACAAGTTTCTGAGAATGCTTCTGTCTAGTTTTTATGGGAAGATATTTCGTTTTTCAACATAGGCCTCAAAGCGCTCCAAATGTCCACTTCCAGGTAGTGCAGAAAGAGTGTTTCAAACCTGCTCTATAAAAGGGAATATTCAACTCTGTGACTTGAATGCAAACATCACAAAGCACTTTCTGAGAATGCTTCCGTGTAGATTTTATATGAAGATATTCCCGTTTCCAAGGAAATCTTCCTAGCTATCTAAATATCAACTTGCAGATTCTACTAAAGGAATGTTTCCAAAATGCTGTATCCACACAAAGGTTCAACTCTGTTAATTGAGGACATACAGCACAAAGAAGTTTCTGAGAATGCTTCTGTCTAGATTTTATATGAAGATATCCCGTGTCCAACGAAATCCTCAAAGGTATCAAAATATCCACTTGCAGATTCTACAAAAAGAGTGCTTCAAAACTGCTCTGTCAAAAGGAAGGTTCAACTCTGTTACTTGAGTACACACATCACAAGGAAGTTTCTGAGAATGCTTCTGTCTGGTTTTTAGGAGAAGATATTTCCTTTTTCAACATAGGCCTCAAAGCGCTGCAAATGTCCACTTCCAAATATTACAAAAAGAGTGTTTCAAACCTGCTGTATGAAGGGAAGTGTTCAACTCTATGAGTTGAATGCAAACATCACAGAGAAGTTTCTGAGAATGCTTCTGTCTTGATTTTATATGAAGATATTCCCGTTTCCAACGAAACCTTCAAAGCTATTCAAATATCCACTTGCAGATTCTACAAAAAGAGTGTTTCCAAAATGTTGTATCAAAAGAAAGGTTCAACTCTGTTAGTTGAGGACACACATCGCAAATAAGTTTCTGAGAATGCTTCTGTCTAGTTTTTATTTGAAGATATTTCCTTTCTCACCATAGGCCTGAAAGCGTTTGAAATGTCCGTTTGCAGATACTACAGAAAGAGTGTTTCAAACATGCTCTATGAAAGGGAATGTTCAGTTCTGTGACGTGAATGCAAACATCACAAAGAAGTTCCTGAGAATGCTTCTCTCTAGATTTTATATGTAATCCCGTTTCCAACGAATTCCTCAAAGCTATCCAAATATCCACTTTCAGATTCCACAAAAAGAGTGTTTCAAAACTGCTCTGTAAAAAGAAAGGTTCATCTCTGTTAGTTGAATACACACATCAAAAACAAGTTTCTGAGAATGCTTCTGTCTAGTTTTTATGGGAAGATATTTCCTTTTTCATCATAGGCCTCAAAGCGCTGCAAATGTCCACTTCCAGGTAGTGCAGAAAGAGTGTCTCAAACCTGGTATATAACAGGGAACATTCTACTCTGTGACTTGAATGAAAACATCACAGAGCAGTTTCTGAGAATGCTTCCGTCTAGATTTTATATGAAGATATTCCCGTTTCCAACGAAACCTTCAAAGCTATCCGAATATCCACCTGCAGATTCTACAAAAAGAGTGTTTCCAAAATGCCATATCAAAACAAAGGTTCAACTCTGTTAGTTGAGAACACACATCGCAAATAAGTTTCTGAGAATGCTTCTGTCTAGTTTTTACTTGAAGATATTTCCTTTCTCACCATAGGCCTGAAAGCGCTTGAAACGTCAGCTTGCAGATACTACAGAAAGAGTGTTTCAAACCTGCTCTATGAAAGGGAATGTTCAGTTCTGTGACTTGAATGCAAACATCACAAAGAAGTTCCTGAGAATGCTTCTCTCTAGGTTTTATATGTAATCCCGTTTCCAACGAAATCCTCAAAGCTATCCAAATATCCACTTTCAGATTCCACAAAAAGAGTGTTTCAAAACTGCTCTGTAAAAAGAAAGGTTCATCTCTGTTAGTTGAATACACACATCACAAACAAGTTTCTGAGAATGCTCTGTCTAGTTTTTATGGGAAGATATTTCCTTTTTCATCATAGGCCTCAAAGCGCTGCAAATGTCCACTTCCAGGTAGTGCAGAAAGAGTGTCTCAAACCTGGTATATAACAGGGAACATTCTACTCTGTGACTTGAATGAAAACATCACAAAGCAGTTTCTCAGAATGCTTTCTGTCTTGATTTCATATGAAGATATTCCCGTATCCAACGAAACCTTCAAAGCTATCCAAATATCCACTTGCAGATTCTACAAAAAGAGTGTTTCCAAAATGTTGTATCAAAAGAAAGGTTCAACTCTGTTAGTTGAGGACACACATCGCAAATAAGTTTCTGAGAATGCTTCTGTCTAGTTTTTATTTGAAGATATTTCCTTTCTCACCACAGGCCTGAAAGCGCTTAAAACGTCCGCTTGCAGATACTACAGAAAGAGTGTTTCAAACCTGCTCTATGAAAGGGAATGTTCAGTTCTGTGACTTGAATGCAAACATCACAAAGAAGTTCCTGAGAATGCTTCTCCCTAGATTTTATATGTAATCCCGTTTCCAACGAAATCCGCAAAGCTATCCAAATATCCACTTTCAGATTCCACAAAAAGAGTGTTTCAAAACTGCTCTGTAAAAAGAAAGGTTCATCTCTGTAAGTTGAATACACACATCACAAACAAGTTTCTGAGAATGCTTCTGTCTAGTTTTTATGGGAAGATATTACCTTTTTCATCATAGGCCTCAAAGCGCTGCAAAAGTCCACTTCCAAATATTACAAAAAGAGTGTTTCAAACCTGCTGTATGAAGGGAAGTGTTCAACTCTATGAGTTGAATGCAAACATCACAGAGAAGTTTCTGAGAATGCTTCTGTCTTGATTTTATATGAAGATATTCCCGTTTCCAACGAAACCTTCAAAGCTATTCAAATATCCACTTGCAGATTCTACAAAAAGAGTGTTTCCAAAATGTTGTATCAAAAGAAAGGTTCAACTCTGTTAGTTGAGGAAACACATCGCAAATAAGTTTCTGAGAATGCTTCTGTCTAGTTTTTACTTGAAGATATTTCCTTTCTCACCATAGGCCTGAAAGCGTTTGAAATGTCCGTTTGCAGATACTACAGAAAGAGTGTTTCAAACATGCTCTATGAAAGGGAATGTTCAGTTCTGTGACGTGATTGCAAACATCACAAAGAAGTTCCTGAGAATGCTTCTCTCTAGATTTTATATGTAATCCCGTTTCCAACGAAATCCTCACAGCTATCCAAATATCCACTTTCAGATTCCACAAAAAGAGTGTTTCAAAACTGCTCTGTAAAAAGAAAGGTTCATCTCTGTTAGTTGAATACACACATCACAAACAAGTTTCTGAGAATGCTTCTGTCTAGTTTTTATGGGAAGATATTTCGTTTTTCAACATAGGCCTCAAAGCGCTCCAAACGTCCACTTCCGGGTAGTGCAGAAAGAGTGTCTCAAACCTGGTATATAACAGGGAACATTCTACTCTGTGACTTGAATGAAAACATCACAAAGCAGTTTCTGAGAATGCTTCCGTCTAGATTTTATATGAAGATATTCCCGTTTCCAACGAAACCTTCAAAGCTATCCGAATATCCACCTGCAGATTCTACAAAAAGAGTGTTTCCAAAATGCCGTATCAAAACAAAGGTTCAACTCTGTTAGTTGAGAACACACATGGCAAATAAGTTTCTGAGAATGCTTCTGTCTAGTTTTTACTTGAAGATATTTCCTTTCTCACCATAGGCCTGAAAGCGCTTGAAACGTCAGCTTGCAGATACTACAGAAAGAGTGTTTCAAACCTGCTCTATGAAAGGGAATGTTCAGTCCTGTGACTTGAAGGCAAACATCACAAAGAAGTTCCTGAGAATGCTTCTCCCTAGATTTTATATGTAATCCCGTTTCCAACGAAATCCGCAAAGCTATCCAAATATCCACATTCAGATTCCACAAAAAGAGTGTTTCAAAACTGCTCTGTAAAAAGAAAGGTTCATCTCTGTTAGTTGAATACACACATCACAAACAAGTTTCTGAGAATGCTTCTGTCTAGTTTTTATGGGAAGATATTACCTTTTTCATCATAGGCCTCAAAGCGCTGCAAATGTCCACTTCCAAATATTACAAAAAGAGTGTTTCAAACCTGCTGTATGAAGGGAAGTGTTCAACTCTATGAGTTGAATGCAAACATCACAGAGAAGTTTCTGAGAATGCTTCTGTCTTGATTTTATATGAAGATATTCCCGTTTCCAACGAAACCTTCAAAGCTATTCAAATATCCACTTGCAGATTCTACAAAAAGAGTGTTTCCAAAATGTTGTATCAAAAGAAAGGTTCAACTCTGTTAGTTGAGGACACACATCGCAAATAAGTTTCTGAGAATGCTTCTGTCTAGTTTTTACTTGAAGATATTTCCTTTCTCACCATAGGCCTGAAAGCGTTTGAAATGTCCGTTTGCAGATACTACAGAAAGAGTGTTTCAAACATGCTCTATGAAAGGGAATGTTCAGTTCTGTGACGTGAATGCAAACATCACAAAGAAGTTCCTGAGAATGCTTCTCTCTAGATTTTATATGTAATCCCGTTTCCAACGAAATCCTCAAAGCTATCCAAATATCCACTTTCAGATTCCACAAAAAGAGTGTTTCAAAACTGCTCTGTAAAAAGAAAGGTTCATCTCTGTTAGTTGAATACACACATCACAAACAAGTTTCTGAGAATGCTTCTGTCTAGTTTTTATGGGAAGATATTTCCTTTTTCAACATTGGCCTCAAAGCGCTCCAAACGTCCACTTCCGGGTAGTGCAGAAAGAGTGTCTCAAACCTGGTATATAACAGGGAACATTCAACTCTGTGACTTGAATGAAAACATCACAAAGCAGTTTCTGAGAATGCTTCCGTCTAGACTTTATATGAAGATATTCCCGTTTCCAACGAAACCTTCAAAGCTATCCGTATATCCACCTGCAGATTCTACAAAAAGAGTGTTTCCAAAATGCCGTATCAAAACAAAGGTTCAACTCTGTTAGTTGAGAACACACATGGCAAATAAGTTTCTGAGAATGCTTTCTGTCTAGTTTTTATTTGAAGATATTTCCTTTCTCACCATAGGCCTGAAAGCGTTTGAAATGTCCGTTTGCAGATACTACAGAAAGAGTGTTTCAAACATGCTCTATGAAAGGGAATGTTCAGTTCTGTGACGTGAATGCAAACATCACAAAGAAGTTCCTGAGAATCCTTCTCTCTAGGTTTTATATGTAATCCCGTTTCCAACGAAATCCTCAAAGCTATCCAAATATCCACTTTCAGATTCCACAAAAAGAGTGTTTCAAAACTGCTCTGTAAAAAGAAAGGTTCATCTCTGTTAGTTGAATACACACATCACAAACAAGTTTCTGAGAATGCTTCTGTCTAGTTTTTATGGGAAGATATTTCCTTTTTCAACATAGGCCTCAAAGCGCTCCAAATGTCCACTTCCAGGTAGTGCAGAAAGAGTGTTTCAAACCTGCTCTATAAAAGGGAATATTCAACTCTGTGACTTGAATGCAAACATCACAAAGCACTTTCTGAGAATGCTTCCGTCTAGATTTTATATGAAGATATTCCCGTTTCCAAGGAAATCTTCCTAGCTATCTAAATATCAACTTGCAGATTCTACTAAAGGAATGTTTCCAAAATGCTGTATCCACACAAAGGTTCAACTCTGTTAATTGAGGACATACAGCACAAAGAAGTTTCTGAGAATGCTTCTGTCTAGATTTTATATGAAGATATCCCGTGTCCAACGAAATCCTCAAAGGTATCAAAATATCCACTTGCAGATTCTACAAAAAGAGTGCTTCAAAACTGCTCTGTCAAAAGGAAGGTTCAACTCTGTTACTTGAGTACACACATCACAAGGAAGTTTCTGAGAATGCTTCTGTCTGGTTTTTAGGAGAAGATATTTCCTTTTTCAACATAGGCCTCAAAGCGCTGCAAATGTCCACTTCCAAATATTAGAAAAAGAGTGTTTCAAACCTACTGTATGAAGGGAAGTGTTCAACTCTATGAGTTGAATGCAAACATCACAGAGAAGTTTCTGAGAATGCTTCTGTCTTGATTTCATATGAAGATATTCCCGTTTCCAACGAAACCTTCAAAGCTATCCAAATATCCACTTGCAGATTCTACAAAAAGAGTGTTTCCAAAATGTTGTATCAAAAGAAAGGTTCAACTCTGTTAGTTGAGGACACACATCGCAAATAAGTTTCTGAGAATGCTTCTGTCTAGTTTTTATTTGAAGATATTTCCTTTCTCACCACAGGCCTGAAAGCGCTTAAAACGTCCGCTTGCAGATACTACAGAAAGAGTGTTTCAAACCTGCTCTATGAAAGGGAATGTTCAGTTCTGTGACTTGAATGCAAACATCACAAAGAAGTTCCTGAGAATGCTTCTCCCTAGATTTTATATGTAATCCCGTTTCCAACGAAATCCGCAAAGCTATCCAAATATCCACTTTCAGATTCCACAAAAAGAGTGTTTCAAAACTGCTCTGTAAAAAGAAAGGTTCATCTCTGTTAGTTGAATACACACATCACAAACAAGTTTCTGAGAATGCTTCTGTCTAGTTTTTATGGGAAGATATTTCCTTTTTCATCATAGGCCTCAAAGCGCTGCAAATGTCCACTTCCAAATATTACAAAAAGAGTGTTTCAAACCTGCTGTATGAAGGGAAGTGTTCAACTCTATGAGTTGAATGCAAACATCACAGAGAAGTTTGCTGAGAATGCTTCTGTCTTGATTTTATATGAAGATATTCCCGTTTCCAACGAAACCTTCAAAGCTATTCAAATATCCACTTGCAGATTCTACAAAAAGAGTGTTTCCAAAATGTTGTATCAAAAGAAAGGTTCAACTCTGTTAGTTGAGGACACACATCGCAAATAAGTTTCTGAGAATGCTTCTGTCTAGTTTTTATTTGAAGCATATTTCCTTTCTCACCATAGGCCTGAAAGCGTTTGAAATGTCCGTTTGCAGATACTACAGAAAGAGTGTTTCAAACATGCTCTATGAAAGGGAATGTTCAGTTCTGTGACGTGAATGCAAACATCACAAAGAAGTTCCTGAGAATGCTTCTCTCTAGATTTTATATGTAATCCCGTTTCCAACGAAATCCTCAAAGCTATCCAAATATCCACTTTCAGATTCCACAAAAAGAGTGTTTCAAAACTGCTCTGTAAAAAGAAAGGTTCATCTCTGTTAGTTGAATACACACATCAAAAACAAGTTTCTGAGAATGCTTCTGTCTAGTTTTTATGGGAAGATATTTCCTTTTTCATCATAGGCCTCAAAGCGCTGCAAATGTCCACTTCCAGGTAGTGCAGAAAGAGTGTCTCAAACCTGGTATATAACAGGGAACATTCTACTCTGTGACTTGAATGAAAACATCACAAAGCAGTTTCTGAGAATGCTTCCGTCTAGATTTTATATGAAGATATTCCCGTTTCCAACGAAACCTTCAAAGCTATCCGAATATCCACCTGCAGATTCTACAAAAAGAGTGTTTCCAAAATGCCATATCAAAACAAAGGTTCAACTCTGTTAGTTGAGAACACACATGGCAAATATGTTTCTGAGAATGCTTCTGTCTAGTTTTTACTTGAAGATATTTCCTTTCTCACCATAGGCCTGAAAGCGCTTGAAACGTCAGCTTGCAGATACTACAGAAAGAGTGTTTCAAACCTGCTCTATGAAAGGGAATGTTCAGTCCTGTGACTTGAAGGCAAACATCAAAAAGAAGTTCCTGAGAATGCTTCTCTCTAGGTTTTATATGTAATCCCGTTTCCAACGAAATCCTCAAAGCTATCCAAATATCCACTTTCAGATTCCACAAAAAGAGTGTTTCAAAACTGCTCTGTAAAAAGAAAGGTTCATCTCTGTTAGTTGAATACACACATCACAAACAAGTTTCTGAGAATGCTTCTGTCTAGTTTTTATGGGAAGATATTTCGTTTTTCAACATAGGCCTCAAAGCGCTCCAAATGTCCACTTCCAGGTAGTGCAGAAAGAGTGTTTCAAACCTGCTCTATAAAAGGGAATATTCAACTCTGTGACTTGAATGCAAACATCACAAAACACTTTCTGAGAATGCTTCCGTCTAGATTTTATATGAAGATATTCCCGTTTCCAAGGAAATCTTCCTAGCTATCTAAATATCAACTTGCAGATTCTACTAAAGGAATGTTTCCAAAATGCTGTATCCACACAAAGGTTCAACTCTGTTAATTGAGGACATACAGCACAAAGAAGTTTCTGAGAATGCTTCTGTCTAGATTTTATATGAAGATATCCCGTGTCCAACGAAATCCTCAAAGGTATCAAAATATCCACTTGCAGATTCTACAAAAAGAGTGCTTCAAAACTGCTCTGTCAAAAGGAAGGTTCAACTGTGTTACTTGAGTACACACATCACAAGGAAGTTTCTGAGAATGCTTCTGTCTGGTTTTTAGGAGAAGATATTTCCTTTTTCAACATAGGCCTCAAAGCGCTGCAAATGTCCACTTCCAAATATTACAAAAAGAGTGTTTCAAACCTGCTGTATGAAGGGAAGTGTTCAACTCTATGAGTTGAATGCAAACATCACAGAGAAGTTTCTGAGAATGCTTCTGTCTTGATTTCATATGAAGATATTCCCGTTTCCAACGAAACCTTCAAAGCTATCCAAATATCCACTTGCAGATTCTACAAAAAGAGTGTTTCCAAAATGTTGTATCAAAAGAAAGGTTCAACTCTGTTAGTTGAGGACACACATCGCAAATAAGTTTCTGAGAATGCTTCTGTCTAGTTTTTATTTGAAGATATTTCCTTTCTCACCACAGGCCTGAAAGCGCTTAAAACGTCCGCTTGCAGATACTACAGAAAGAGTGTTTCAAACCTGCTCTATGAAAGGGAATGTTCAGTTCTGTGACTTGAATGCAAACATCACAAAGAAGTTCCTGAGAATGCTTCTCCCTAGATTTTATATGTAATCCCGTTTATAACGAAATCCGCAAAGCTATCCAAATATCCACTTTCAGATTCCACAAAAAGAGTGTTTCAAAACTGCTCTGTAAAAAGGAAGGTTCAACTCTGTTACTTGAGTACACACATCACAAGGAAGTTTCTGAGAATGCTTCTGTCTGGTTTTTAGGAGAAGATATTTCCTTTTTCAACATAGGCCTCAAAGCGCTGCAAATGTCCACTTCCAAATATTACAAAAAGAGTGTTTCAAACCTGCTGTATGAAGGGAAGTGTTCAACTCTATGAGTTGAATGCAAACATCACAGAGAAGTTTCTGAGAATGCTTCTGTCTTGATTTTATATGAAGATATTCCCGTTTCCAACGAAACCTTCAAAGCTATTCAAATATCCACTTGCAGATTCTACAAAAAGAGTGTTTCCAAAATGTTGTATCAAAAGAAAGGTTCAACTCTGTTAGTTGAGGACACACATCGCAAATAAGTTTCTGAGAATGCTTCTGTCTAGTTTTTACTTGAAGATATTTCCTTTCTCACCATAGGCCTGAAAGCGTTTGAAATGTCCGTTTGCAGATACTACAGAAAGAGTGTTTCAAACATGCTCTATGAAAGGGAATGTTCAGTTCTGTGACGTGAATGCAAACATCACAAAGAAGTTCCTGAGAATGCTTCTCTCTAGGTTTTATATGTAATCCCGTTTCCAACGAAATCCGCAAAGCTATCCAAATATCCACTTTCAGATTCCACAAAAAGAGTGATTCAAAACTGCTCTGTAAAAAGAAAGGTTCATCTCTGTTAGTTGAATACACACATCACAAACAAGTTTCTGAGAATGCTTCTGTCTAGTTTTTATGGGAAGATATTACCTTTTTCATCATAGGCCTCAAAGCGCTGCAAATGTCCACTTCCAAATATTACAAAAAGAGTGTTTCAAACCTGCTGTATGAAGGGAAGTGTTCAACTCTATGAGTTGAATGCAAACATCACAGAGAAGTTTCTGAGAATGCTTCTGTCTTGATTTTATATGAAGATATTCCCGTTTCCAACGAAACCTTCAAAGCTATTCAAATATCCACTTGCAGATTCTACAAAAAGAGTGTTTCCAAAATGTTGTATCAAAAGAAAGGTTCAACTCTGTTAGTTGAGGACACACATCGCAAATAAGTTTCTGAGAATGCTTCTGTCTAGTTTTTATTTGAAGATATTTCCTTTTTCACCACAGGCCTGAAAGCGCTTGAAACGTCCGCTTGCAGACACTACAGAAAGAGTGTTTCAAAGCTGCTCTATGAAAGGGAATGTTCAGTTCTGTGACTTGAATGCAAACATCACAAAGAAGTTCCTGAGAATGCTTCTGTCTAGGTTTTATATGAAGATATCCCGTTTCCAAAGAAATTCTCAAATGTATCCAAATATCTACTTCCAGATTCTACAAAAACACTGTTTCAAAACGGCTCTGTCAAAAGTAAGGTTCAACTCTGTTACTTGAGTACACACATCACACGGAAGTTTCTGAGAATGCTTCTGTCTGGTTTTTAGGAGAAGATATTTCCTTTTTCTACATAGGCCTCAAAGCGCTGCAAATGTCCACTTCCAAATATTACAAAAAGAGTGTTTCAAACCTACTGTATGAAGGGAAGTGTTCAACTCCATGAGTTGAATGCAAACATCACAGAGAAGTTTCTGAAAATGCTTCTGTCTTGATTTTATATGAAGATATTCCCGTTTCCAACGAAACCTTCAAAGATATCCAAATATCCACTTGCAGATTCTACAAAAAGAGTGTTTCCAAAATGTTGTATCAAAACAAAGGTTCAACTCTGTTAGTTGAGGACACACATCGCAAATAAGTTTCTGAGAATGCTTCTGTCTAGTTTTTATTTGAAGATATTTCCTTTCTCACCATAGGCCTGAAAGCGCTTGAAATGTCCGTTTGCAGATACTACAGAAAGAGTGTTTCAAACATGCTCTATGAAAGGGAATGTTCAGTTCTGTGACGTGAATGCAAACATCACAAAGAAGTTCCTGAGAATGCTTCTCTCTAGATTTTATATGTAATCCCGTTTCCAACGAAATCCTCAAAGCTATCCAAATATCCACTTTCAGATTCCACAAAAAGAGTGTTTCAAAACTGCTCTGTAAAAAGAAAGGTTCATCTCTGTTAGTTGAATACACACATCACAAACAAGTTTCTGAGAATGCATCTGTCTAGTTTTTATGGGAAGATATTTCCTTTTTCATCATAGGCCTCAAAGCGCTCCAAATGTCCACTTCCAGGTAGTGCAGAAAGAGTGTCTCAAACCTGCTCTATAAAAGGGAACATTCTACTCTGTGACTTGAATGAAAACATCACAAAGCAGTTTCTGAGAATGCTTCCGTCTAGGTTTTATATGAAGATATTCCCGTTTCCAACGAAATCTTCAAAGCTATCCGAATATCCACCTGCAGATTCTACAAAAAGAGTGTTTCCAAAATGCCGTATCAAAACAAAGGTTCAACTCTGTTAGTTGAGAACACACATGGCAAATAAGTTTCTGAGAATTCTTCTGTCTAGTTTTTACTTGAAGATATTTCCTTTCTCACCATAGGCCTGAAAGCGCTTGAAACGTCAGCTTGCAGATACTACAGAAAGAGTGTTTCAAACCTGCTCTATGAAACGGAATGTTCAGTTCTGTGACTTGAATGCAAACATCACAAAGAAGTTCCTGAGAATGCTTCTGTCTAGATGTTATATGAAGATATCCCGTTTCCAAAGAAATCCTCAAAGGTATCCAAATATCTACTTCCAGATTCTACAAAAAGACTGTTTCAAAACGGCTCTGTCAAAAGTAAGGTTCCACTCTGTTACTTGAGTACACACATCACAAGGAAGTTTCTGAGAATTCTTCTGTCTGGTTTTTAGGAGAAGATATTTCCTTTTTCAACATAGGCCTCAAAGCGCTGCAAATGTCCACTTCCAAATATTACAAAAAGAGTGTTTCAAACCTGCTGTATGAAGGGAAGTGTTCAACTCTATGAGTTGAATGCAAACATCACAGAGAAGTTTCAGAGAATGCTTCTGTCTTGATTTTATATGAAGATATTCCCGTTTCCAACGAAACCTTCAAAGCTATCCGAATATCCACCTGCAGATTCTACAAAAAGAGTGTTTCCAAAATGCTGTATCAAAACAAAGGTTCAACTCTGTTAGTTGAGAACACACATGGCAAATATGTTTCTGAGAATGCTTCTGTCTAGTTTTTACTTGAAGATATTTCCTTTCTCACCATAGGCCTGAAAGCTCTTGAAACGTCAGCTTGCAGATACTACAGAAAGAGTGTTTCAAACCTGCTCTATGAAAGGGAATGTTCAGTTCTGTGACTTGAATGCAAACATCACAAAAAGTTCCTGAGAATGCTTCTCTCTAGGTTTTATATGTAATCCCGTTTCCAACGAAATCCTCAAAGCTATCCAAATATCCACTTTCAGATTCCACAAAAAGAGTGTTTCAAAACTGCTCTGTAAAAAGAAAGGTTCATCTCTGTTAGTTGAATACACACATCACAAACAAGTTTCTGAGAATGCTTCTGTCTAGTTTTTATGGGAAGATATTTCCTTTTTCAACATAGGCCTCAAAGCGCTCCAAATGTCCACTTCCAGGTAGTGCAGAAAGAGTGTTTCAAACCTGCTCTATAAAAGGGAACATTCTACTCTGTGACTTGAATGCAAACATCACAAAGCACTTTCTGAGAATGCTTCCGTCTAGATTTTATATGAAGATATTCCCGTTTCCAAGGAAATCTTCCTAGCTATCTAAATATCAACTTGCAGATTCTACTAAAGGAATGTTTCCAAAATGCTGTATCCACACAAAGGTTCAACTCTGTTAATTGAGGACATACAGCACAAAGAAGTTTCTGAGAATGCTTCTGTCTAGATTTTATATGAAGATATCCCGTGTCCAACGAAATCCTCAAAGGTATCAAAATATCCACTTGCAGATTCTACAAAAAGAGTGCTTCAAAACTGCTCTGTCAAAAGGAAGGTTCAACTCTGTTACTTGAGTACACACATCACAAGGAAGTTTCTGAGAATGCTTCTGTCTGGTTTTTAGGAGAAGATATTTCCTTTTTCAACATAGGCCTCAAAGCGCTGCAAATGTCCACTTCCAAATATTAGAAAAAGAGTGTTTCAAACCTGCTGTATGAAGGGAAGTGTTCAACTCTATGAGTTGAATGCAAACATCACAGAGAAGTTTCTGAGAATGCTTCTGTCTTGATTTCATATGAAGATATTCCCGTTTCCAACGAAACCTTCAAAGCTATCCAAATATCCACTTGCAGATTCTACAAAAAGAGTGTTTCCAAAATGTTGTATCAAAAGAAAGGTTCAACTCTGTTAGTTGAGGACACACATCGCAAATAAGTTTCTGAGAATGCTTCTGTCTAGTTTTTATTTGAAGATATTCCCGTTTCCAACGAAACCTTCAAAGCTATTCAAATATCCACTTGCAGATTCTACAAAAAGAGTGTTTCCAAAATGTTGTATCAAAAGAAAGGTTCAACTCTGTTAGTTGAGGACACACATCGCAAATAAGTTTCTGAGAATGCTTCTGTCTAGTTTTTATTTGAAGATATTTCCTTTCTCACCATAGGCCTGAAAGCGTTTGAAATGTCCGTTTGCAGACACTACAGAAAGAGTGTTTCAAACATGCTCTATGAAAGGGAATGTTCAGTTCTGTGACGTGAATGCAAACATCACAAAGAAGTTCCTGAGAATGCTTCTCTCTAGATTTTATATGTAATCCCGTTTCCAACGAAATCCTCAAAGCTATCCAAATATCCACTTTCAGATTCCACAAAAAGAGTGATTCAAAACTGCTCTGTAAAAAGAAAGGTTCATCTCTGTTAGTTGAATACACACATCACAAACAAGTTTCTGAGAATGCTTCTGTCTAGTTTTTATGGGAAGATATTTCCTTTTTCATCATAGGCCTCAAAGCGCTGCAAATGTCCACTTCCAGGTAGTGCAGAAAGAGTGTCTCAAACCTGGTATATAACAGGGAACATTCTACTCTGTGACTTGAATGAAAACATCACAAAGCAGTTTCTGAGAATGCTTCCGTCTAGATTTTATATGAAGATATTCCCGTTTCCAACGAAACCTTCAAACCTATCCGAATATCCACCTGCAGATTCTACAAAAAGATTGTTTCCAAAATGCCGTATCAAAACAAAGGTTCAACTCTGTTAGTTGAGAACACACATGGCAAATAAGTTTCTGAGAATGCTTCTGTCTAGTTTTTACTTGAAGATATTTCCTTTCTCACCATAGGCCTGAAAGCGCTTGAAACGTCAGCTTGCAGATACTACAGAAAGAGTGTTTCAAACCTGCTCTATGAAAGGGAATGTTCAGTCCTGTGACTTGAAGGCAAACATCACAAAGAAGTTCCTGAGAATGCTTCTCTCTAGGTTTTATATGTAATCCCGTTTCCAACGAAATCCTCAAAGCTATCCAAATATCCACTTTCAGATTCCACAAAAAGAGTGTTTCAAAACTGCTCTGTAAAAAGAAAGGTTCATCTCTGTTAGTTGAATACACACATCACAAACAAGTTTCTGAGAATGCTTCTGTCTAGTTTTTATGGGAAGATATTTCCTTTTCCAACATAGGCCTCAAAGCACTCCAAATGTCCACTTCCAGGTAGTGCAGAAAGAGTGTTTCAAACCTGTTCTATAAAAGGGAATATTCAACTCTGTGACTTGAATGCAAACATCACAAAGCACTTTCTGAGAATGCTTCCGTCTAGATTTTATATGAAGATATTCCCGTTTCCAAGGAAATCTTCCTAGCTATCTAAATATCAACTTGCAGATTCTACTAAAGGAATGTTTCCAAAATGCTGTATCCACACAAAGGTTCAACTCTGTTAATTGAGGACATACAGCACAAAGAAGTTTCTGAGAATGCTTCTGTCTAGATTTTATATGAAGATATCCCGTGTCCAACGAAATCCTCAAAGGTATCAAAATATCCACTTGCAGATTCTACAAAAAGAGTGCTTAAAAACTGCTCTGTCAAAAGGAAGGTTCAACTCTGTTACTTGAGTACACACATCACAAGGAAGTTTCTGAGAATGCTTCTGTCTGGTTTTTAGGAGAAGATATTTCCTTTTTCAACATAGGCCTCAAAGCGCTGCAAATGTCCACTTCCAAATATTAGAAAAAGAGTGTTTCAAACCTGCTGTATGAAGGGAAGTGTTCAACTCTATGAGTTGAATGCAAACATCACAGAGAAGTTTCTGAGAATGCTTCTGTCTTGATTTCATATGAAGATATTCCCGTTTCCAACGAAACCTTCAAAGCTATCCAAATATCCACTTGCAGATTCTACAAAAAGAGTGTTTCCAAAATGTTGTATCAAAAGAAAGGTTCAACTCTGTTAGTTGAGGACACACATCGCAAATAAGTTTCTGAGAATGCTTCTGTCTAGTTTTTATTTGAAGATATTTCCTTTCTCACCACAGGCCTGAAAGCGCTTAAAACGTCCGCTTGCAGATACTACAGAAAGAGTGTTTCAAACCTGCTCTATGAAAGGGAATGTTCAGTTCTGTGACTTGAATGCAAACATCACAAAGAAGTTCCTGAGAATGCTTCTCTCTAGGTTTTATATGTAATCCCGTTTCCAACGAAATCCTCAAAGCTATCCAAATATCCACTTTCAGATTCCACAAAAAGAGTGTTTCAAAACTGCTCTGTAAAAAGAAAGGTTCATCTCTGTTAGTTGAATACACACATCACAAACAAGTTTCTGAGAATGCTTCTGTCTGGTTTTTAGGAGAAGATATTTCCTTTTTCAACATAGGCCTCAAAGCGCTGCAAATGTCCACTTCCAAATATTACAAAAAGAGTGTTTCAAACCTGCTGTATGAAGGGAAGTGTTCAACTCTATGAGTTGAATGCAAACATCACAGAGAAGTTTCTGAGAATGCTTCTGTCTTGATTTTATATGAAGATATTCCCGTTTCCAACGAAACCTTCAAAGCTATTCAAATATCCACTTGCAGATTCTACAAAAAGAGTGTTTCCAAAATGTTGTATCAAAAGAAAGGTTCAACTCTGTTAGTTGAGGACACACATCGCAAATAAGTTTCTGAGAATGCTTCTGTCTAGTTTTTACTTGAAGATATTTCCTTTCTCACCATAGGCCTGAAAGCGTTTGAAATGTCCGTTTGCAGATACTACAGAAAGAGTGTTTCAAACATGCTGCTATGAAAGGGAATGTTCAGTTCTGTGACGTGAATGCAAACATCACAAAGAAGTTCCTGAGAATGCTTCTCTCTAGATTTTATATGTAATCCCGTTTCCAACGAAATCCTCAAAGCTATCCAAATATCCACTTTCAGATTCCACAAAAAGAGTGATTCAAAACTGCTCTGTAAAAAGAAAGGTTCATCTCTGTTAGTTGAATACACACATCACAAACAAGTTTCTGAGAATGCTTCTGTCTAGTTTTTATGGGAAGATATTTCCTTTTTCAACATAGGCCTCAAAGCGCTGCAAATGTCCACTTCCAAATATTAGAAAAAGAGGGTTTCAAACCTGCTGTATGAAGGGAAGTGTTCAACTCTATGAGTTGAATGCAAACATCACAGAGAAGTTTCTGAGAATGCTTCTGTCTTGATTTTATATGAAGATATTCCCGTTTCCAACGAAACCTTCAAAGCTATCCAAATATCCACTTGCAGATTCTACAAAAAGAGTGTTTCCAAAATGTTGTATCAAAAGAAAGGTTCAACTCTGTTAGTTGAGGACACACATCGTAAATAAGTTTCTGAGAATGCTTCTGTCTGGTTTTTAGGAGAAGATATTTCCTTTCTCAACATAGGCCTCAAAGCGCTGCAAATGTCCACTTCCAAATATTAGAAAAAGAGTGTTTCAAACCTGCTGTATGAAGGGAAGTGTTCAACTCTATGAGTTGAATGCAAACATCACAGAGAAGTTTCTGAGAATGCTTCTGTCTTGATTTCATATGAAGATATTCCCGTTTCCAACGAAACCTTCAAAGCTATCCAAATATCCACTTGCAGATTCTACAAAAAGAGTGTTTCCAAAATGTTGTATCAAAAGAAAGGTTCAACTCTGTTAGTTGAGGACACACATCGCAAATAAGTTTCTGAGAATGCTTCTGTCTAGTTTTTATTTGAAGATATTTCCTTTCTCACCATAGGCCTGAAAACGTTTGAAATGTCCGTTTGCAGATACTACAGAAAGAGTGTTTCAAACATGCTCTATGAAAGGGAATGTTCAGTTCTGTGACGTGAATGCAAACATCACAAAGTAGTTCCTGAGAATGCTTGCTCTCTAGGTTTTATATGTAATCCCGTTTCCAACGAAATCCTCAAAGCTATCCAAATATCCACTTTCAGATTCCACAAAAAGAGTGTTTCAAAACTGCTCTGTAAAAAGAAAGGTTCATCTCTGTTAGTTGAATACACACATCACAAACAAGTTTCTGAGAATGCTTCTGTCTAGTTTTTATGGGAAGATATTTCCTTTTTCATCATAGGCCTCAAAGCGCTGCAAATGTCCACTTCCAAATATTACAAAAAGAGTGTTTCAAACCTGCTGTATGAAGGGAAGTATTCAACTCTATGAGTTGAATGTAAACATCACAGAGAAGTTTCTGAGAATGCTTCTGTCTTGATTTTATATGAAGATATTCCCGTTTCCAACGAAACCTTCAAAGCTATCCTAATATCCACTTGCAGATTCTACAAAAAGAGTGTTTCCAAAATGTTGTATCAAAAGAAAGGTTCAACTCTGTTAGTTGAGGACACACATCGCAAATAAGTTTCTGAGAATGCTTCTGTCTAGTTTTTATTTGAAGATATTTCCTTTCTCACCATAGGCCTGAAAGCGTTTGAAATGTCCGTTTGCAGATACTACAGAAAGAGTGTTTCAAACATGCTCTATGAAAGGGAATGTTCAGTTCTGTGACGTGAATGCAAACATCACAAAGAAGTTCCTGAGAATGCTTCTCTCTAGATTTTATATGTAATCCCGTTTCCAACGAAATCCTCAAAGCTATCCAAATATCCACTTTCAGATTCCACAAAAAGAGTGTTTCAAAACTGCTCTGTAAAAAGAAAGGTTCATCTCTGTTAGTTGAATACACACATCACAAACAAGTTTCTGAGAATGCTTCTGTCTAGTTTTTATTGGAAGATATTTCCTTTTTCATCATAGGCCTCAAAGCGCTGCAAATGTCCACTTCCAAATATTACAAAAAGAGTGTTTCAAACCTGCTGTATGAAGGGAAGTGTTCAACTCTATGAGTTGAATGCAAACATCACAGAGAAGTTTCTGAGAATGCTTCTGTCTTGATTTTATATGAAGATATTCCCGTTTCCAACGAAACCTTCAAAGCTATTCAAATATCCACTTGCAGATTCTACAAAAAGAGTGGTTCCAAAATGTTGTATCAAAAGAAAGGTTCAACTCTGATAGTTGAGGACACACATCGCAAATAAGTTTCTGAGAATGCTTCTGTCTAGTTTTTATTTGAAGATATTTCCTTTCTCACCATAGGCCTGAAAGCGTTTGAAATGTCCGTTTGCAGATACTACAGAAAGAGTGTTTCAAACATGCTCTATGAAAGGGAATGTTCAGTTCTGTGACGTGAATGCAAACATCACAAAGAAGTTCCTGAGAATGCTTCTCCCTAGATTTTATATGTAATCCCGTTTCCAACGAATTCCTCAAAGCTATCCAAATATCCACTTTAAGATTCCACAAAAAGAGTGTTTCAAAACTACTCTGTAAAAAGAAAGGTTCATCTCTGTTAGTTGAATACACACATCACAAACAAGTTTCTGAGAATGCTTCCGTCTAGATTTTATATGAAGATATTCCCGTTTCCAACGAAACCTTCAAAGCTATCCGAATATCCACCTGCAGATTCTACAAAAAGAGTGTTTCCAAAATGCCGTATCAAAACAAAGGTTCAACTGTGTTAGTTGAGAACACACATGGCAAATAAGTTTCTGAGAATGCTTCTGTCTAGATTTTATATGAAGATATCCCGTGTCCAACGAAATCCTCAAAGGTATCAAAATATCCACTTGCAGATTCTACAAAAAGAGTGCTTCAAAACTGCTCTGTCAAAATGAAGGTTCAACTCTGTTACTTGAGTACACACTTCACAAGAAAGATTCTGAGAATGCTTCTGTCTGGTTTTTAGGAGAAGATATTTCCTTTTTCAACATAGGCCTCAAAGCGCTGCAAATGTCCACTTCCAAATATTAGAAAAAGAGTGTTTCAAACCTGCTGTATGAAGGGAAGTGTTCAACTCTATGAGTTGAATGCAAACATCACAGAGAAGTTTCTGAGAATGCTGCTGTCTTGATTTTATATGAAGATATTCCCGTTTCCAACGAAACCTACAAAGCTATCCAAATATCCACTTGCAGATTCTACAAAAAGAGTGTTTCCAAAATGCTGTATCCAAACAAAGGTTCAACTCTTTTAGTTGAGAACACACATCGCAAGTAAGTTTCTGAGAATGCTTCTGTCTAGTTTTTATTTGAAGATATTTCCTTTCTCACCACAGGCCTGAAAGCGCTTAAAACGTCCGCTTGCAGATACTACAGAAAGAGTGTTTCAAACCTGCTCTATGAAAGGGAATGTTCAGTTCTGTGACTTGAATGCAAACATCACAAAGAAGTTCCTGAGAATGCTTCTCCCTAGATTTTATATGTAATCCCGTTTCCAACGAAATCCGCAAAGCTATCCAAATATCCACTTTCAGATTCCACAAAAAGAGTGTTTCAAAACTGCTCTGTAAAAAGAAAGGTTCATCTCTGTTAGTTGAATACACACATCACAAACAAGTTTCTGAGAATGCTTCTGTCTAGTTTTTATGGGAAGATATTTCCTTCTTCATCATAGGCCTCAAAGCGCTCCAAATGTCCACTTCCAGGTAGTGCAGAAAGAGTGTCTCAAACCTGGTATATAACAGGGAACATTCTACTCTGTGACTTGAATGAAAACATCACAAAGCAGTTTCTGAGAATGCTTCCGTCTAGATTTTATATGAAGATATTCCCGTTTCCAACGAAACGTTCAAAGCTATCCGAATATCCACCTGCAGATTCTACAAAAAGAGTGTTTCCAAAATGCCATATCAAAATAAAGGTTCAACTCTGTTAGTTGAGAACACACATCGCAAATAAGTTTCTGAGAATGCTTCTGTCTAGTTTTTACTTGAAGATATTTCCTTTCTCACCATAGGCCTGAAAGCGCTTGAAACGTCAGCTTGCAGATACTACAGAAAGAGTGTTTCAAACCTGCTCTATGAAAGGGAATGTTCAGTTCTGTGACTTGAATGCAAACATCACAAAGAAGTTCCTGAGAATGCTTCTCTCTAGGTTTTATATGTAATCCCGTTTCCAACAAAATCCTCAAAGCTATCCAAATATCCACTTTCAGAATCCACAAAAAGAGTGTTTCAAAACTGCTCTGTAAAAAGAAAGGTTCATCTCTGTTAGTTGAATACACACATCACAAACAAATTTCTGAGAATGCTTCTGTCTAGTTTTTATGGGAAGATATTTCCTTTTTCAACATAGGCCTCAAAGCGCTCCAAATGTCCACTTCCAGGTAGTGCAGAAAGAGTGTTTCAAACCTGCTCTATAAAAGGGAATATTCAACTCTGTGACTTGAATGCAAACATCACAAAGCACTTTCTGAGAATGCTTCCGTCTAGATTTTATATGAAGATATTCCCGTTTCCAAGGAACTCTTCCTAGCTATCTAAATATCAACTTGCAGATTCTACTAAAGGAATGTTTCCAAAATGCTGTATCCACACAAAGGTTCAACTCTGTTAATTGAGGACATACAGCACAAAGAAGTTTCTGAGAATGCTTCTGTCTAGATTTTATATGAAGATATCCCGTGTCCAACGAAATCCTCAATGGTATCAAAATATCCACTTGCAGATTCTACAAAAAGAGTGCTTCAAAACTGCTCTGTAAAAAGAAAGGTTCATCTCTGTTAGTTGAATACACACATCACAAACAAGTTTCTGAGAATGCTTCTTTCTAGTTTTTATGGGAAGATATTACCTTTTTCATCATAGGCTTCAAAGCGCTGCAAAAGTCCACTTCCAAATATTAGAAAAAGAGTGTTTCAAACCTGCTGTATGAAGGGAAGTGTTCAACTCTATGAGTTGAATGCAAACATCACAGAGAAGTTTCTGAGAATGCTTCTGTCTTGATTTCATATGAAGATATTCCCGTTTCCAACGAAACCTTCAAAGCTATCCAAATATCCACTTGCAGATTCCACAAAAAGAGTGTTTCCAAAATGTTGTATCAAAAGAAAGGTTCAACTCTGTTAGTTGAGGACACACATCGCAAATAAGTTTCTGAGAATGCTTCTGTCTAGTTTTTATTTGAAGATATTTCCTTTCTCACCATAGGCCTGAAAGCGTTTGAAATGTCCGTTTGCAGATACTACAGAAAGAGTGTTTCAAACATGCTCTATGAAAGGGAATGTTCAGTTCTGTGACGTGAATGCAAACATCACAAAGAAGTTCCTGAGAATGCTTCTCTCTAGATTTTATATGTAATCCCGTTTCCAACGAAATCCTCAAAGCTATCCAAATATCCACTTTCAGATTCCACAAAAAGAGTGTTTCAAAACTGCTCTGTAAAAAGAAAGGTTCATCTCTGTTAGTTGAATACACACATCACAAACAAGTTTCTGAGAATGCTTCTGTCTAGTTTTTATGGGAAGATATTTCCTTTTTCATCATAGGCCTCAAAGCGCTCCAAATGTCCACTTCCAGATAGTGCAGAAAGAGTGTCTCAAACCTGGTATATAAAAGAGAACATTCTACTCTGTGACTTGAATGAAAACATCACAAAGCAGTTTCTGAGAATGCTTCCGTCTAGATTTTATATGAAGATATTCCCGTTTCCAACGAAACCTTCAAAGCTATCCGAATATCCACCTGCAGATTCTACAAAAAGAGTGTTTCCAAAATGCCATATCAAAACAAAGGTTCAACTCTGTTAGTTGAGAACACACATCGCAAATAAGTTTCTGAGAATGCTTCTGTCTAGTTTTTACTTGAAGATATTTCCTTTCTCACCATAGGCCTGAAAGCGCTTGAAACGTCAGCTTGCAGATACTACAGAAAGAGTGTTTCAAACCTGCTCTATGAAAGGGAATGTTCAGTTCTGTGACTTGAATGCAAACATCACAAAGAAGTTCCTGAGAATGCTTCTCTCTAGGTTTTATATGTAATCCCGTTTCCAACGAAATCCTCAAAGCTATCCAAATATCCACTTTCAGATTCCACAAAAAGAGTGTTTCAAAACTGCTCTGTAAAAAGAAAGGTTCATCTCTGTTAGTTGAATACACACATCACAAGCAAGTTTCTGAGAATGCTTCTGTCTAGTTTTTATGGGAAGATATTTCCTTTTTCAACATAGGCCTCAAAGCGCTCCAAACGTCTACTTCCAGGTAGTGCAGAAAGAGTGTCTCAAACCTGGTATATAACAGGGAACATTCTACTCTGTGACTTGAATGAAAACATCACAAAGCAGTTTCTGAGAATGCTTCCGTCTAGATTTTATATGAAGATATTCCCGTTTCCAACGAAACCTTCAAAGCTATCCAAATATCCACCTGCAGATCCTACAAAAAGAGTGTTTCCAAAATGCTGTATCAAAACAAAGGTTCAACTCTGTTAGTTGAGAACACACATCGCAAATAAGTTTCTGAGAATGCTTCCTGTCTAGTTTTTACTTGAAGATATTTCCTTTCTCACCATAGGCCTGAAAGCGCTTGAAACGTCAGCTTGCAGATACTACAGAAAGAGTGTTTCAAACCTGCTCTATGAAAGGGAATGTTCAGTCCTGTGACTTGAAGGCAAACATCACAAAGAAGTTCCTGAGAATGCTTCTCTCTAGGTTTTATATGTAATCCCGTTTCCAACGAAATCCTCAAAGCTATCCAAATATCCACTTTCAGATTCCACAAAAAGAGTGTTTCAAAACTGCTCTGTAAAAAGAAAGGTTCATCTCTGTTAGTTGAATACACACATCACAAACAAGGTTCTGAGAATGCTTCTGTCTAGTTTTTATGGGAAGATATTTCCTTTTTCATCATAGGCCTCAAAGCGCTGCAAATGTCCACTTCCAGGTAGTGCAGAAAGAGTGTCTCTAACCTGGTATATAACAGGGAACATTCTACTCTGTGACTTGAATGAAAACATCACAAAGCAGTTTCTGAGAATGCTTCCGTCTAGATTTTATATGAAGATATTCCCGTTTCCAACGAAACCTTCAAAGCTATCCGAATATCCACCTGCAGATTCTACAAAAAGAGTGTTTCCAAAATGCCATATCAAAACAAAGGTTCAACTCTGTTAGTTGAGAACACACATCTCAAATAAGTTTCTGAGAATGCTTCTGTCTAGTTTTTACTTGAAGATATTTCCTTTCTCACCATAGGCCTGAAAGCGCTTGAAACGTCAGCTTGCAGATACTACAGAAAGAGTGTTTCAAACCTGCTCTATGAAAGGGAATGTTCAGTCCTGTGACTTGAAGGCAAACATCACAAAGAAGTTCCTGAGAATGCTTCTCTCTAGGTTTTATATGTAATCCCGTTTCCAACGAAATCCTCAAAGCTATCCAAATATCCACTTTCAGATTCCACAAAAAGAGTGTTTCAAAACTGCTCTGTAAAAAGAAAGGTTCATCTCTGTTAGTTGAATACACACATCACAAACAAGTTTCTGAGAATGCTTCTGTCTAGTTTTTATGGGAAGATATTCCCTTTTTCATCATAGGCCTCAAAGCGCTGCAAATGTCCTCTTCCAGGTAGTGCAGAAAGAGTGTCTCAAACCTGGTATATAACAGGGAACATTCTACTCTGTGACTTGAATGAAAACATCACAAAGCAGTTTCTGAGAATGCTTCTGTCTTGATTTCATATGAAGATATTCCCGTTTCAAACGAAACCTTCAAAGCTATCCAAATATCCACTTGCAGATTCTACAAAAAGAGTGTTTCCAAAATGTTGTATCAAAAGAAATGTTCAACTCTGTTAGTTGAGGACACACATCGCAAATAAGTTTCTGAGAATGCTTCTGTCTAGATTTCATATGAAGATATCCCGTGTCCAACGAAATCCTCAAAGGTATCAAAATATCCACTTGCAGATTCTACAAAAAGAGTGCTTCAAAACTGCTCTGTCAAAAGGAAGGTTCAACTCTGTTACTTGAGTACACACATCACAAGGAAGTTTCTGAGAATGCTTCTGTCTGGTTTTTAGGAGAAGATATTTCCTTTTTCAACATAGGCCTCAAAGCGCTGCAAATGTCCACTTCCAAATATTAGAAAAAGAGTGTTTCAAACCTGCTGTATGAAGGGAAGTGTTCAACTCTATGAGTTGAATGCAAACATCACAGAGAAGTTTCTGAGAATGCTTCTGTCTTGATTTCATATGAAGATATTCCCGTTTCCAACGAAACCTTCAAAGCTATCCAAATATCCACTTGCAGATTCTACAAAAAGAGTGTTTCCAAAATGTTGTATCAAAAGAAAGGTTCAACTCTGTTAGTTGAGGACACACATCGCAAATAAGTTTCTGAGAATGCTTCTGTCTAGTTTTTACTTGAAGATATTTCCGTTCTCACCATAGGCCTGAAAGCGCTTGAAACGTCAGCTTGCAGATACTACAGAAAGAGTGTTTCAAACCTGCTCTATGAAAGGGAATGTTCAGTTCTGTGACTTGAATGCAAACATCACAAAGAAGTTCCTGAGAATGCTTCTCTCTAGGTTTTATATGTAATCCCGTTTCCAACGAAATCCTCAAAGCTATCCAAATATCCACTTTTAGATTCCACAAAAAGAGTGTTTCAAAACTGCTCTGTAAAAAGAAAGGTTCATCTCTGTTAGTTGAATACACACATCACAAACAAGTTTCTGAGAATGCTTCTGTCTAGTTTTTATGGGAAGATATTACCTTTTTCATCATAGGCGTCAAAGCGCTGCAAATGACCACTTCCAAATATTACAAAAAGAGTGTTTCAAACCTGCTGTATGAAGGGAAGTGTTCAACTCTATGAGTTGAATGCAAACATCACAGAGAAGTTTCTGAGAATGCTTCTGTCTTGATTTTATATGAAGATATTCCCGTTTCCAACGAAACCTTCAAAGCTATTCAAATATCCACTTGCTGATTCTACAAAAAGAGTGTTTCCAAAATGTTGTATCAAAAGAAAGGTTCAACTCTGTTAGTTGAGGACACACATCGCAAATAAGTTTCTGAGAATGCTTCTGTCTAATTTTTACTTGAAGATATTTCCTTTCTCACCATAGGCCTGAAAGCGTTTGAAATGTCCGTTTGCAGATACTACAGAAAGAGTGTTTCAAACATGCTCTATGAAAGGGAATGTTCAGTTCTGTGACGTGAATGCAAACATCACAAAGAAGTTCCTGAGAATGCTTCTCTCTAGGTTTTATATGTAATCCCGTTTCCAACGAAATCCTCAAAGCTATCCAAATATCCACTTTCAGATTCCACAAAAAGAGTGTTTCAAAACTGCTCTGTAAAAAGAAAGGTTCATCTCTGTTAGTTGAATACACACATCACAAACAAGTTTCTGAGAATGCTTCTGTCTAGTTTTTATGGGAAGATATTTCCTTTTTCAACATAGGCCTCAAAGCGCTCCAAACGTCCACTTCCAGGTAGTGCAGAAAGAGTGTCTCAAACCTGGTATATAACAGGGAACATTCTACTCTGTGACTTGAATGAAAACATCACAAAGCAGTTTCTGAGAATGCTTCCGTCTAGATTTTATATGAAGATATTCCCGTTTCCAACGAAACCTTCAAATCTATCCGAGTATCCACCTGCAGATTCTACAAAAAGAGTGTTTCCAAAATGCCGTATCAAAACAAAGGTTCAACTCTGTTAGTTGAGAACACACATGGCAAATAAGTTTCTGAGAATGCTTCTGTCTAGTTTTTACTTGAAGATATTTCCTTTCTCACCATAGGCCTGAAAGCGCTTGAAACGTCAGCTTGCAGATACTACAGAAAGAGTGTTTCAAACCTGCTCTATGAAAGGGAATGTTCAGTTCTGTGACTTGAATGCAAACATCACAAAGAAGTTCCTGAGAATGCTTCTCTCTAGGTTTTATATGTAATCCCGTTTCCAACGAAATCCTCAAAGCTATCCAAATATCCACTTTCAGATTCCACAAAAAGAGTGTTTCAAAACTGCTCTGTAAAAAGAAAGGTTCATCTCTGTTAGTTGAATACACACATCACAAACAAGTTTCTGAGAATGCTTCTGTCTAGTTTTTATGGGAAGATATTTCCTTTTTCAACATAGGCCTCAAAGCGCTCCAAATGTGCACTTCCAGGTAGTGCAGAAAGAGTGTTTCAAACCTGCTCTATAAAAGGGAATATTCAACTCTGTGACTTGAATGCAAACATCACAAAGCACTTTCTCAGAATGCTTCCGTCTAGATTTTATATGAAGATATTCCCGTTTCCAACGAAACTTTCAAAGGTATCCGAATATCCACCTGCAGATTCTACAAAAAGAGTGTTTCCAAAATGCCGTATCAAAACAAAGGTTCAACTCTGTTAGTTGAGAACACACATGGCAAATAAGTTTCTGAGAATGCTTCTGTCTAGTTTTTATTGGAAGATATTACCTTTTTCATCATACGCCTCAAAGCGCTGCAAATGTCCACTTCCAAATATTACAAAAAGAGTGTTTCAAACCTGCTGTATGAAGGGAAGTGTTCAACTCTATGAGTTGAATGCAAACATCACAGAGAAGTTTCTGAGAATGCTTCTGTCTTGATTTTATATGAAGATATTCCCGTTTCCAACGAAACCTTCAAAGCTATTCAAATATCCACTTGCAGATTCTACAAAAAGAGTGTTTCCAAAATGTTGTATCAAAAGAAAGGTTCAACTCTGTTAGTTGAGGACACACATCGCAAATAAGTTTCTGAGAATGCTTCTGTCTAGTTTTTATTTGAAGATATTTCCTTTCTCACCATAGGCCTGAAAGCGTTTGAAATGTCCGTTTGCAGATACTACAGAAAGAGTGTTTCAAACATGCTCTATGAAAGGGAATGTTCAGTTCTGTGACGTGAATGCAAACATCACAAAGAAGTTCCTGAGAATGCTTCTCTCTAGATTTTATATGTAATCCCGTTTCCAACGAAATCCTCAAAGCTATCCAAATATCCACTTTCAGATTCCACAAAAAGAGTGTTTCAAAACTGCTCTGTAAAAAGAAAGGTTCATCTCTGTTAGTTGAATACACACATCACAAACAAGTTTCTGAGAATGCTTCTGTCTAGTTTTTATGGGAAGATATTTCCTTTTTCATCATAGGCCTCAAAGCGCTGCAAATGTCCACTTCCAGATAGTGCAGAAAGAGTGTCTCAAACCTGGTATATAACAGGGAACATTCTACTCTGTGACTTGAATGAAAACATCACAAAGCAGTTTCTGAGAATGCTTCCGTCTAGATTTTATATGAAGATATTCCCGTTTCCAACGAAACCTTCAAAGCTATCCGAATATCCACCTGCAGATTCTACAAAAAGAGTGTTTCCAAAATGCCATATCAAAACAAAGGTTCAACTCTGTTAGTTGAGAACACACATCGCAAATAAGTTTCTGAGAATGCTTCTGTCTAGTTTTTACTTGAAGATATTTCCTTTCTCACCATAGGCCTGAAAGCGCTTGAAACGTCAGCTTGCAGATACTACAGAAAGAGTGTTTCAAACCTGCTCTATGAAAGGGAATGTTCAGTCCTGTGACTTGAAGGCAAACATCACAAAGAAGTTCCTGAGAATGCTTCTCTCTAGGTTTTATATGTAATCCCGTTTCCAACGAAATCCTCAAAGCTATCCAAATATCCACTTTCAGATTCCACAAAAAGAGTGTTTCAAAACTGCTCTGTAAAAAGAAAGGTTCATCTCTGTTAGTTGAATACACACATCACAAACAAGTTTCTGAGAATGCTTCTGTCTAGTTTTTATGGGAAGATATTTCCTTTTTCAACATAGGCCTCAAAGCGCTCCAAATGTCCACTTCCAGGTAGTGCAGAAAGAGTGTTTCAAACCTGCTCTATAAAAGGGAATATTCAACTCTGTGACTTGAATGCAAACATCACAAAGCACTTTCTGAGAATGCTTCCGTCTAGATTTTATATGAAGATATTCCCGTTTCCAAGGAACTCTTCCTAGCTATCTAAATATCAACTTGCAGATTCTACTAAAGGAATGTTTCCAAAATGCTGTATCCACACAAAGGTTCAACTCTGTTAATTGAGGACATACAGCACAAAGAAGTTTCTGAGAATGCTTCTGTCTAGATTTTATATGAAGATATCCCGTGTCCAACGAAATCCTCAAAGGTATCAAAATATCCACTTGCAGATTCTACAAAAAGAGTGCTTCAAAACTGCTCTGTCAAAAGGAAGGTTCAACTCTGTTACTTGAGTACACACATCACAAGGAAGTTTCTGAGAATGCTTCTGTCTGGTTTTTAGGAGAAGATATTTCCTTTTTCAACATAGGCCTCAAAGCGCTGCAAATGTCCACTTCCAAATATTACAAAAAGAGTGTTTCAAACCTGCTGTATGAAGGGAAGTGTTCAACTCTATGAGTTGAATGCAAACATCACAGAGAAGTTTCTGAGAATGCTTCTGTCTTGATTTTATATGAAGATATTCCCGTTTCCAAAGAAACCTTCACAGCTATCCAAATATCCACTTGCAGATTCTACAAAAAGAGTGTTTCCAAAATGTTGTATCCAAACAAACGTTCAACTCTTTTAGTTGAGAACACACATCGCAAATAAGTTTCTGAGAATGCTTCTGTCTAGTTTTTATTTGAAGATATTTCCTTTCTCACCATAGGCCTGAAAGCGCTTGAAACGTCCGTTTGCAGATACTACAGAAAGAGTGTTTCAAACATGCTCTATGAAAGGGAATGTTCAGTTCTGTGACTTGAATGCAAACATCACAAAAGAGTTCCTGAGAATGCTTCTCCCTAGATTTTATATGTAATCCCGTTTCCAACGAAATCCGCAAAGCTATCCAAATATCCACTTTCAGATTCCACAAAAAGAGTGTTTCAAAACTGCTCTGTAAAAAGAAAGGTTCATCTCTGTTAGTTGAATACACACATCACAAACAAGTTTCTGAGAATGCTTCTGTCTAGTTTTTATGGGAAGATATTACCTTTTTCATCATAGGCCTCAAAGCGCTGCAAATGTCCACTTCCAAATATTACAAAAAGAGTGTTTCAAACCTGCTGTATGAAGGGAAGTGTTCAACTCTATGAGTTGAATGCAAACATCACAGAGAAGTTTCTGAGAATGCTTCTGTCTTGATTTTATATGAAGATATTCCCGTTTGCAACGAAACCTTCAAAGCTATTCAAATATCCACTTGCAGATTCTACAAAAAGAGTGTTTCCAAAATGTTGTATCAAAAGAAAGGTTCAACTCTGTTAGTTGAGGACACACATCGCAAATAAGTTTCTGAGAATGCTTCTGTCTAGTTTTTATGTGAAGATATTTCCTTTCTCACCATAGGCCTGAAAGCGTTTGAAATGTCCGTTTGCAGATACTACAGAAAGAGTGTTTCAAACATGCTCTATGAAAGGGAATGTTCAGTTCTGTGACGTGAATGCAAACATCACAAAGAAGTTCCTGAGAATGCTTCTCTCTAGATTTTATATGTAATCCTGTTTCCAACGAAATCCTCAAAGCTATCCAAATATCCACTTTCAGATTCCACAAAAAGAGTGTTTCAAAACTGCTCTGTAAAAAGAAAGGTTCATCTCTGTTAGCTGAATACACACATCAAAAACAAGTTTCTGAGAATGCTTCTGTCTAGTTTTTATGGGAAGATATTTCCTTTTTCATCATAGGCCTCAAAGCGCTGCAAATGTCCACTTCCAGGTAGTGCAGAAAGAGTGTCTCAAACCTGGTATATAACAGGGAACATTCTACTCTGTGACTTGAATGAAAACATCACAAAGCAGTTTCTGAGAATGCTTCCGTCTAGATTTTATATGAAGATATTCCCGTTTCCAACGAAACCTTCAAAGCTATCCGAATATCCACCTGCAGATTCTACAAAAAGAGTGTTTCCAAAATGCCATATCAAAACAAAGGTTCAACTCTGTTAGTTGAGAACACACATCGCAAATAAGTTTCTGAGAATGCTTCTGTCTAGTTTTTATTTGAAGATATTTCCTTTCTCACCACAGGCCTGAAAGCGCTTAAAACGTCTGCTTGCAGATACTACAGAAAGAGGGTTTCAAACCTGCTCTATGAAAGGGAATGTTCAGTTCTGTGACTTGAATGCAAACATCACAAAGAAGTTCCTGAGAATGCTTCTCTCTAGGTTTTATATGTAATCCCGTTTCCAACGAAATCCTCAAAGCTATCCAAATATCCACTTTCAGATTCCACAAAAAGAGTGTTTCAAAACTGCTCTGTAAAAAGAAAGGTTCATCTCTGTTAGTTGAATACACACATCACAAACAAGTTTCTGAGAATGCTTCTGTCTAGTTTTTATGGGAAGATATTTCCTTTTCCAACATAGGCCTCAAAGCGCTCCAAATGTCCACTTCCAGGTAGTGCAGAAAGAGTGTTTCAAACCTCCTCTATAAAAGGGAACATTCAACTCTGTGACTTGAATGCAAACATCACAAAGCACTTTCTGAGAATGCTTCCGTCTAGATTTTATATGAAGATATTCCCGTTTCCAAGGAACTCTTCCTAGCTATCTAAATATCAACTTGCAGATTCTACTAAAGGAATGTTTCCAAAATGCTGTATCCACACAAAGGTTCAACTCTGTTAATTGAGGACATACAGCACAAAGAAGTTTCTGAGAATGCTTCTGTCTAGATTTTATATGAAGATATCCCGTGTCCAACGAAATCCTCAATGGTATCAAAATATCCACTTGCAGATTCTACAAAAAGAGTGCTTCAAAACTGCTCTGTAAAAAGAAAGGTTCATCCCTGTTAGTTGAATACACACATCACAAACAAGTTTCTGAGAATGCTTCTTTCTAGTTTTTATGGGAAGATATTACCTTTTTCATCATAGGCTTCAAAGCGCTGCAAAAGTCCACTTCCAAATATTAGAAAAAGAGTGTTTCAAACCTGCTGTATGAAGGGAAGTGTTCAACTCTATGAGTTGAATGCAAACATCACAGAGAAGTTTCTGAGAATGCTTCTGTCTTGATTTTATATGAAGATATTCCCGTTTCCAACGAAACCTTCAAAGCTATCCAAATATCCACTTGCAGATTCCACAAAAAGAGTGTTTCCAAAATGTTGTATCAAAAGAAAGGTTCAACTCTGTTAGTTGAGGACACACATCGCAAATAAGTTTCTGAGAATGCTTCTGTCTAGTTTTTATTTGAAGATATTTCCTTTCTCACCATAGGCCTGAAAGCGTTTGAAATGTCCGTTTGCAGATACTACAGAAAGAGTGTTTCAAACATGCTCTATGAAAGGGAATGTTCAGTTCTGTGACGTGAATGCAAACATCACAAAGAAGTTCCTGAGAATGCTTCTCTCTAGGTTTTATATGTAATCCCGTTTCCAACGAAATCCTCAAAGCTATCCAAATATCCACTTTCAGATTCCACAAAAAGAGTGTTTCAAAACTGCTCTGTAAAAAGAAAGGTTCATCTCTGTTAGTTGAATACACACATCACAAACAAGTTTCTGAGAATGCTTCTGTCTAGTTTTTATGGGAAGATATTTCCTTTTTCAACATAGGCCTCAAAGCACTCCAAATGTCCACTTCCAGGTAGTGCAGAAAGAGTGTTTCAAACCTACTCTATAAAAGGGAATATTCAACTCTGTGACTTGAATGCAAACATCACAAAGCACTTTCTGAGAATGCTTCCGTCTAGATTTTATATGAAGATATTCCCGTTTCCAACGAAACCTTCAAAGCTATCCGAATATCCACCTGCAGATTCTACAAAAAGAGTGTTTCCAAAATGCCATATCAAAACAAAGGTTCAACTCTGTTAGTTGAGAACACACATCGCAAATAAGTTTGTGAGAATGCTTCTGTCTAGTTTTTACTTGAAGATATTTCCTTTCTCACCATAGGCCTGAAAGCGCTTGAAACGTCAGCTTGCAGATACTACAGAAAGAGTGTTTCAAACCTGCTCTATGAAAGGGAATGTTCAGTTCTGTGACTTGAACGCAAACATCACAAAGAAGTTCCTGAGAATGCTTCTCCCTAGATTTTATATGTAATCCCGTTTCCAACGAAATCCGCAAAGCTATCCAAATATCCACTTTCAGATTCCACAAAAAGAGTGTTTCAAAACTGCTCTGTAAAAAGAAAGGTTCATCTCTGTTAGTTGAATACACACATCACAAACAAGTTTCTGAGAATGCTTCTGTCTAGTTTTTGTGGGAAGATATTTCCTTTTTCATCATAGGCCTCAAAGCGCTGCAAATGTCCACTTCCAAATATTACAAAAAGAGTGTTTCAAACCTGCTGTATGAAGGGAAGTGTTCAACTCTATGAGTTGAATGCAAACATCACAGAGAAGTTTCTGAGAATGCTTCTGTCTTGATTTTATATGAAGATATTCCCGTTTCCAACGAAACCTTCAAAGCTATTCAAATATCCACTTGCAGATTCTACAAAAAGAGTGTTTCCAAAATGTTGTATCAAAAGAAAGGTTCAACTCTGTTAGTTGAGGACACACATCGCAAATAAGTTTCTGAGAATGCTTCTGTCTAGTTTTTATTTGAAGATATTCCCGTTTCCAACGAAACCTTCAAAGCTATTCAAATATCCACTTGCAGATTCTACAGAAAGAGTGTTTCCAAAATGTCGTATCAAAAGAAAGGTTCAACTCTGTTAGTTGAGGACACACATCGCAAATAAGTTTCTGAGAATGCTTCTGTCTAGTTTTTATTTGAAGATATTTCCTTTCTCACCATAGGCCTGAAAGCGTTTGAAATGTCCGTTTGCAGATACTACAGAAAGAGTGTTTCAAACATGCTCTATGAAAGGGAATGTTCAGTTCTGTGACGTGAATGCAAACATCACAAAGAAGTTCCTGAGAATGCTTCTCTCTAGATTTTATATGTAATCCCGTTTCCAACGAAATCCTCAAAGCTATCCAAATATCCACTTTCAGATTCCACAAAAAGAGTGTTTCAAAACTGCTCTGTAAAAAGAAAGGTTCATCTCTGTTAGTTGAATACACACATCACAAACAAGTTTCTGAGAATGCTTCTGTCTAGTTTTTATGGGAAGAGATTTCCTTTTTCATCATAGGCCTCAAAGCGCTCCAAATGTCCACTTCCAGGTAGTGCAGAAAGAGTGTCTCAAACCTGGTATATAACAGGGAACATTCTACTCTGTGACTTGAATGAAAACATCACAAAGCAGTTTCTGAGAATGCTTCCGTCTAGATTTTATATGAAGATATTCCCGTTTCCAAAGAAACCTTCAAAGCTATCCGAATATCCACCTGCAGATTCTACAAAAAGAGTGTTTCCAAAATGCCGTATCAAAACAAAGGTTCAACTCTGTTAGTTGAGAACACACATCGCAAATAAGTTTCTGAGAATGTTTCTGTCTGGTTTTTACTTGAAGATATTTCCTTTCTCACCATAGGCCTGAAAGCGCTTGAAACGTCAGCTTGCAGATACTACAGAAAGAGTGTTTCAAACCTGCTCTATGAAAGGGAATGTTCAGTTCTGTGACTTGAATGCAAACATCACAAAGAAGTTCCTGAGAATGCTTCTCTCTAGGTTTTATATGTAATCCCGTTTCCAACGAAATCCTCAAAGCTATGGAAATATCCACTTTCAGATTCCACAAAAAGAGTGTTTCAAAACTGCTCTGTAAAAAGAAAGGTTCATCTCTGTTAGTTGAATACACACATCACAAACAAGTTTCTGAGAATGCTTCTGTCTAGTTTTTATGGGAAGATATTTCCTTTTTCAACATAGGCCTCAAAGCGCTCCAAATGTCCACTTCCAGGTAGTGCAGAAAGAGTGTTTCAAACCTGCTCTATAAAAGGGAATATTCAACTCTGTGACTTGAATGCAAACATCACAAAGCACTTTCTGAGAATGCTTCCGTCTAGATTTTATATGAAGATATTCCCGTTTCCAAGGAAATCTTCCTAGCTATCTAAATATCAACTTGCAGATTCTACTAAAGGAATGTTTCCAAAATGCTGTATCCACACAAAGGTTCAACTCTGTTAATTGAGGACATACAGCACAAAGAAGTTTCTGAGAATGCTTCTGTCTAGATTTTATATGAAGATATCCCGTGTCCAACGAAATCCTCAAAGGTATCAAAATATCCACTTGCAGATTCTACAAAAAGAGTGCTTCAAAACTGCTCTGTCAAAAGGAAGGTTCAACTCTGTTACTTGAGTACACACATCACAAGGAAGTTTCTGAGAATGCTTCTGTCTGGTTTTTAGGAGAAGATATTTCCTTTTTCAACATAGGCCTCAAAGCGCTGCAAATGTCCACTTCCAAATATTACAAAAAGAGTGTTTCAAACCTGCTGTATGAAGGGAAGTGTTCAACTCTATGAGTTGAATGCAAACATCACAGAGAAGTTTCTGAGAATGCTTCTGTCTTGATTTCATATGAAGATATTCCCGTTTCCAACGAAACCTTCAAAGCTATCCAAATATCCACTTGCAGATTCTACAAAAAGAGTGTTTCCAAAATGTTGTATCAAAAGAAAGGTTCAACTCTGTTAGTTGAGGACACACATCGCAAATAAGTTTCTGAGAATGCTTCTGTCTAGTTTTTATTTGAAGATATTTCCTTTCTCACCACAGGCCTGAAAGCGCTTAAAACGTCCGCTTGCAGATACTACAGAAAGAGTGTTTCAAACCTGCTCTATGAAAGGGAATGTTCAGTTCTGTGAGTTGAATGCAAACATCACAAAGAAGTTCCTGAGAGTGCTTCTCCCTAGATTTTATATGTAATCCCGTTTCCAACGAAATCCGCAAAGCTATCCAAATATCCACTTTCAGATTCCACAAAAAGAGTGTTTCAAAACTGCTCTGTAAAAAGAAAGGTTCATCTCTGTTAGTTGAATACACACATCACAAACAAGTTTCTGAGAATGCTTCTGTCTAGTTTTTATGGGAAGATATTTCCTTTCTCACCATAGGCCTGAAAGCGTTTGAAATGTCCGTTTGCAGATACTACAGAAAGAGTGTTTCAAACATGCTCTATGAAAGGGAATGTTCAGTTCTGTGACGTGAATGCAAACATCACAAAGAAGTTCCTGAGAATGCTTCTGTCTTGATTTTATATGAAGATATTCCCGTTTCCAACGAAATCTTCAAAGCTATCCAAATATCCACTTGCAGATTCCACAAAAAGAGTGTTTCCAAAATGTTGTATCAAATGAAAGGTTCAACTCTGTTAGTTGAGGACACACATCGCAAATAAGTTTCTGAGAATGCTTCTGTCTAGTTTTTATTTGAAGATATTTCCTTTCTCACCATAGGCCTGAAAGCGTTTGAAATGTCCGTTTGCAGATACTACAGAAAGAGTGTTTCAAACATGCTCTATGAAAGGGAATGTTCAGTTCTGTGACGTGAATGCAAACATCACAAAGAAGTTCCTGAGAATGCTTCTCTCTAGATTTTATATGTAATCCCGTTTCCAACGAAATCCTCAAAGCTATCCAAATATCCACTTTCAGATTCCACAAAAAGAGTGTTTCAAAACTGCTCTGTAAAAAGAAAGGTTCATCTCTGTTAGTTGAATACACACATCACAAACAAGTTTCTGAGAATGCTTCTGTCTAGTTTTTATGGGAAGATATTTCCTTTTTCATCATAGGCCTCAAAGCGCTGCAAATGTCCACTTCCAGGTAGTGCAGAAAGAGTGTCTGAAACCTGGTATATAACAGGGAAGATTCTACTCTGTGACTTGAATGAAAACATCACAAAGCAGTTTCTGAGAATGCTTCTGTCTTGATTTCATATGAAGATATTCCCGTTTCCAACGAAACCTTCAAAGCAATCCAAATATCCACTTGCAGATTCTACAAAAAGAGTGTTTCCAAAATGTTGTATCAAAAGAAAGGTTCAACTCTGTAAGTTGAGGACACACATCGCAAATAAGTTTCTGAGAATGCTTCTGTCTAGTTTTTACTTGAAGATATTTCCTTTCTCACCATAGGCCTGAAAGCGCTTGAAACGTCAGCTTGCAGATACTACAGAAAGAGTGTTTCAAACCTGCTCTATAAAAGGGAATGTTCAGTCCTGTGACTTGAAGGCAAACATCACAAAGAAGTTCCTGAGAATGCTTCTCTCTAGGTTTTATATGTAATCCCGTTTCCAACGAAATCCTCAAAGCTATCCAAATATCCACTTTCAGATTCCACAAAAAGAGTGTTTCAAAACTGCTCTGTAAAAAGAAAGGTTCATCTCTGTTAGTTGAATACACACATCACAAACAAGTTTCTGAGAATGCTTCTGTCTAGTTTTTATGGGAAGATATTTCCTTTTTCAACATAGGCCTCAAAGCGCTCCAAATGTCCACTTCCAGGTAGTGCAGAAAGAGTGTTTCAAACCTGCTCTATAAAAGGGAATATTCAACTCTGTGACTTGAATGCAAACATCACAAAGCACTTTCTGAGAATGCTTCCGTCTAGATTTTATATGAAGATATTCCCGTTTCCAAGGAAATCTTCCTAGCTATCTAAATATCAACTTGCAGATTCTACTAAAGGAATGTTTCCAAAATGCTGTATCCACACAAAGGTTCAACTCTGTTAATTGAGGACATACAGCACAAAGAAGTTTTTGAGAATGCTTCTGTCTAGATTTTATATGAAGATATCCCGTGTCCAACGAAATCCTCAAAGGTATCAAAATATCCACTTGCAGATTCTACAAAAAGAGTGCTTCAAAACTGCTCTGTCAAAAGGAAGGTTCAACTCTGTTACTTGAGTACACACATCACAAGGAAGTTTCTGAGAATGCTTCTGTCTGGTTTTTAGGAGAAGATATTTCCTTTTTCAACATAGGCCTCAAAGCGCTGCAAATGTCCACTTCCAAATATTAGAAAAAGAGTGTTTCAAACCTGCTGTATGAAGGGAAGTGTTCAACTCTATGAGTTGAATGCAAACATCACAGAGAAGTTTCTGAGAATGCTTCTGTCTTGATTTCATATGAAGATATTCCCGTTTCCAACGAAACCTTCAAAGCTATCCAAATATCCACTTGCAGATTCTACAAAAAGAGTGTTTCCAAAATGTTGTATCAAAAGAAAGGTTCAACTCTGTTAGTTGAGGACACACATCGCAAATAAGTTTCTGAGAATGCTTCTGTCTAGTTTTTATTTGAAGATATTTCCTTTCTCACCACAGGCCTGAAAGCGCTTAAAACGTCCGCTTGCAGATACTACAGAAAGAGTGTTTCAAACCTGCTCTATGAAAGGGAATGTTCAGTTTTGTGACTTGAATGCAAACATCACAAAGAAGTTCCTGAGAATGCTTCTCCCTAGATTTTATATGTAATCCCGTTTCCAACGAAATCCGCAAAGCTATCCAAATATCCACTTTCAGATTCCACAAAAAGAGTGTTTCAAAACTGCTCTGTAAAAAGAAAGGTTCATCTCTGTTAGTTGAATACACACATCACAAACAAGTTTCTGAGAATGCTTCTGTCTAGTTTTTATGGGAAGATATTACCTTTTTCATCATAGGCCTCAAAGCGCTGCAAATGTCCACTTCCAAATATTACAAAAAGAGTGTTTCAAACCTGCTGTATGAAGGGAAGTGTTCAACTCTATGAGTTGAATGCAAACATCGCAGAGAAGTTTCTGAGAATGCTTCTGTCTTGATTTTATATGAAGATATTCCCGTTTCCAACGAAACCTTCAAAGCTATCCAAATATCCACTTGCAGATTCTACAAAAAGAGTGTTTCCAAAATGTTGTATCAAAAGAAAGGTTCAACTCTGTTAGTTGAGGACACACATCGCAAATAAGTTTCTGAGAATGCTTCTGTCTAGTTTTTATTTGAAGATATTTCCTTTCTCACCATAGGCCTGAAAGCGTTTGAAATGTCCGTTTGCAGATACTACAGAAAGAGTGTTTCAAACATGCTCTATGAAAGGGAATGTTCAGTTCTGTGACGTGAATGCAAACATCACAAAGAAGTTCCTGAGAATGCTTCTCTCTAGATTTTATATGTAATCCCGTTTCCAACGAAATCCTCAAAGCTATCCAAATATCCACTTTCAGATTCCACAAAAAGAGTGTTTCAAAACTGCTCTGTAAAAAGAAAGGTTCATCTCTGTTAGTTGAATACACACATCACAAACAAGTTTCTGAGAATGCTTCTGTCTAGTTTTTATGGGAAGATATTTCCTTTTTCATCATAGGCCTCAAAGCGCTGCAAATGTCCACTTCCAGGTAGTGCAGAAAGAGTGTCTCAAACCTGGTATATAACAGGGAACATTCTACTCTGTGACTTGAATGAAAACATCACAAAGCAGTTTCTGAGAATGCTTCCGTCTAGATTTTATATGAAGATATTCCCGTTTCCAACGAAACCTTCAAAGCTATCCGAATATCCACCTGCAGATTCTACAAAAAGAGTGTTTCCAAAATGCCATATCAAAACAAAGGTTCAACTCTGTTAGTTGAGAACACACATCGCAAATAAGTTTGTGAGAATGCTTCTGTCTAGTTTTTACTTGAAGATATTTCCTTTCTCACCATAGGCCTGAAAGCGCTTGAAACGTCAGCTTGCAGATACTACAGAAAGAGTGTTTCAAACCTGCTCTATGAAAGGGAATGTTCAGTTCTGTGACTTGAATGCAAACATCACAAAGAAGTTCCTGAGAATGCTTCTGTCTAGATTTTATATGAAGATATCCCGTGTCCAACGAAATCCTCAAAGGTATCAAAATATCCACTTGCAGATTCTACAAAAAGAGTGCTTCAAAACTGCTCCGTCAAAAGGAAGGTTCAACTCTGTTACTTGAGTACACACATCACAAGGAAGTTTCTGAGAATGCTTCTGTCTGGTTTTTAGGAGAAGATATTTCCTTTTTCAACATAGGCCTCAAAGCGCTGCAAATGTCCACTTCCAAATATTACAAAAAGAGTGTTTCAAACCTGCTGTATGAAGGGAAGTGTTCAACTCTATGAGTTGAATGCAAACATCACAGAGAAGTTTCTGAGAATGCTTCTGTCTTGATTTCATATGAAGATATTCCCGTTTCCAACGAAACCTTCAAAGCTATCCAAATATCCACTTGCAGATTCTACAAAAAGAGTGTTTCCAAAATGTTGTATCAAAAGAAAGGTTCAACTCTGTTAGTTGAGGACACACATCGCAAATAAGTTTCTGAGAATGCTTCTGTCTAGTTTTTATTTGAAGATATTTCCTTTCTCACCACAGGCCTGAAAGCGCTTAAAACGTCCGCTTGCAGATACTACAGAAAGAGTGTTTCAAACATGCTCTATGAAAGGGAATGTTCAGTTCTGTGACTTGAATGCAAACATCACAAAGAAGTTCCTGAGAATGCTTCTCTCTAGGTTTTATATGTAATCCCGTTTCCAACGAAATCCTCAAAGCTATCCAAATATCCACTTTCAGATTCCACAAAAAGAGTGTTTCAAAACTGCTCTGTAAAAAGAAAGGTTCATCTCTGTTAGTTGAATACACACATCACAAACAAGTTTCTGAGAATGCTTCTGTCTAGTTTTTATGGGAAGATATTTCCTTTTTCATCATAGGCCTCAAAGCGCTCCAAATGTCCACTTCCAGATAGTGCAGAAAGAGTGTCTCAAACCTGGTATATAAAAGGGAACATTCTACTCTGTGACTTGAATGAAAACATCACAAAGCAGTTTCTGAGAATGCTTCCTTCTAGATTTTATATGAAGATATTCCCGTTTCCAAGGAAATCTTCCTAGCTATCTAAATATCAACATGCAGATTCTACTAAAGGAATGTTTCCAAAATGCTGTATCCACACAAAGGTTCAACTCTGTTAATTGAGGACATACAGCACAAAGAAGTTTCTGAGAATGCTTCTGTCTAGTTTTTATTTGAAGATATTTCCTTTCTCACCAAAGTCCTGAAAGCCCTTAAAACGTCCGCTTGCAGATACTACAGAAAGAGTGTTTCAAACCTGCTCTATGAAAGGGAATGTTCAGTTCTGTGACTTGAATGCAAACATCACAAAGAAGTTCCTGAGAATGCTTCTCCCTAGATTTTATATGTAATCCCGTTTCCAACGAAATCCGCAAAGCTATCCAAATATCCACTTTCAGATTCCACAAAAAGAGTGTTTCAAAACTGCTCTGTAAAAAGAAAGGTTCATCTCTGTTAGTTGAATACACACATCACAAACAAGTTTCTGAGAATGCTTCTGTCTAGTTTTTATGGGAAGATATTACCTTTTTCATCATAGGCCTCAAAGCGCTGCAAATGTCCACTTCCAAATATTACAAAAAGAGTGTTTCAAACCTGCTGTATGAAGGGAAGTGTTCAACTCTATGAGTTGAATGCAAACATCACAGAGAAGTTTCTGAGAATGCTTCTGTCTTGATTTTATATGAAGATATTCCCGTTTCCAAAGAAACCTTCAAAGCTATCCAAATATCCACTTGCAGATTCTACAAAAAGAGTGTTTCCAAAATGTTGTATCAAAAGAAAGGTTCAACTCTGTTAGTTGAGGAAACACATCGCAAACAAGTTTCTGAGAATGCTTCTGTCTAGTTTTTATTTGAAGATATTTCCTATCTCACCATAGGCCTGAAAGCGTTTGAAATGTCCGTTTGCAGATACTACAGAAAGAGTGTTTCAAACATGCTCTATGATAGGGAATGTTCAGTTCTGTCACTTGAATGCAAACATCACAAAGAAGTTCCTGAGAATGCTTCTCTCTAGGTTTTATATGTAATCCCGTTTCCAACGAAATCCTCAAAGCTATCCAAATATCCACTTTCAGATTCCACAAAAAGAGTGTTTCAAAACTGCTCTGTAAAAAGAAAGGTTCATCTCTGTTAGTTGAATACACACATCACAAACAAGTTTCTGAGAATGCTTCTGTCTAGTTTTTATGGGAAGATATTTCCTTTTTCAACATAGGCCTCAAAGCGCTGCAAATGTCCACTTCCAGGTAGTGCAGAAACAGTGTCTCAAACCTGGTATATAACAGGGAAGATTCTACTCTGTGACTTGAATGAAAACATCACAAAGCAGTTTCTGAGAATGCTTCCGTCTAGTATTTTCTATGAAGATATTCCCGTTTCCAACGAAACCTTCAAAGCTATCCGAATATCCACCTGCAGATTCTACAAAAAGAGTGTTTCCAAAATGCCGTATCAAAACAAAGGTTCAACTCTGTTAGTTGAGGACACACATGGCAAATAAGTTTCTGAGAATGCTTCTGTCTAGTTTTTATTTGAAGATATTTCCTTTCTCACCACAGGCCTGAAAGCGCTTAAAACGTCCGCTTGCAGATACTACAGAAAGAGTGTTTCAAACATGCTCTATGAAAGGGAATGTTCAGTTCTGTGACTTGAATGCAAACATCACAAAGAAGTTCCTGAGAATGCTTCTCTCTAGGTTTTATATGTAATCCCGTTTCCAACGAAATCCTCAAAGCTATCCAAATATCCACTTTCAGATTCCACAAAAAGAGTGTTTCAAAACTGCTCTGTAAAAAGAAAGGTTCATCTCTGTTAGTTGAATACACACATCACAAACAAGTTTCTGAGAATGCTTCTGTCTAGTTTTTATGGGAAGATATTTCCTTTTTCAACATAGGCCTCAAAGCGCTCCAAACGTCCACTTCCAGGTAGTGCAGAAAGAGTGTCTCAAACCTGGTATATAACAGGGAACATTCTACTCTGTGACTTGAATGAAAACATCACAAAGCAGTTTCTGAGAATGCTTCCGTCTAGATTTTATATGAAGATATTCCCGTTTCCAACGAAACCCTCAAAGCTATCCGAATATCCACCTGCAGATTCTACAAAAAGAGTGTTTCCAAAATGCCGTATCAAAACAAAGGTTCAACTCTGTTAGTTGAGAACACACATGGCAAATAAGTTTCTGAGAATGCTTCTGTCTAGTTTTTACTTGAAGATATTTCCTTTCTCACCATAGGCCTGAAAGCGCTTGAAACGTCAGCTTGCAGATACTACAGAAAGAGTGTTTCAAACCTGCTCTATGAAAGGGAATGTTCAGTCCTGTGACTTGAAGGCAAACATCACAAAGAAGTTCCTGAGAATGCTTCTCTCTAGATTTTATATGTAATCCCGTTTCCAACGAAATCCTCAAAGATATCCAAATATCCACTTTCAGATTCCACAAAAAGAGTGTTTCAAAACTGTTCTGTAAAAAGAAAGGTTCATGTCTGTTAGTTGAATACACACATCACAAACAAATTTCTGAGAATGCTTCTGTCTAGTTTTTATGGGAAGATATTTCCTTTTTCAACATAGGCCTCAAAGCGCTCCAAATGTCCACTTCCAGGTAGTGCAGAAAGAGTGTTTCAAACCTGCTCTATAAAAGGGAATATTCAACTCTGTGACTTGAATGCAAACATCACAAAGCACTTTCTGAGAATGCTTCCGTCTAGATTTTATATGAAGATATTCCCGTTTCCAAGGAAATCTTCCTAGCTATCTAAATATCAACTTGCAGATTCTACTAAAGGAATGTTTCCAAAATGCTGTATCCACACAAAGGTTCAACTCTGTTAATTGAGGACATACAGCACAAAGAAGTTTCTGAGAATGCTTCTGTCTAGATTTTATATGAAGATATCCCGTGTCCAACGAAATCCTCAAAGGTATCAAAATATCCACTTGCAGATTCTACAAAAAGAGTGCTTCAAAACTGCTCTGTCAAAAGGAAGGTTCAACTCTGTTACTTGAGTACACACATCACAAGGAAGTTTCTGAGAATGCTTCTGTCTGGTTTTTAGGAGAAGATATTTCCTTTTTCAACATAGGCCTCAAAGCGCTGCAAATGTCCACTTCCAAATGTTACAAAAAGAGTGTTTCAAACCTGCTGTATGAAGGGAAGTGTTCAACTCTATGAGTTGAATGCAAACATCACAGAGAAGTTTCTGAGAATGCTTCTGTCTTGATTTTATATGAAGATATTCCCGTTTCCAACGAAACCTTCAAAGCTATTCAAATATCCACTTGCAGATTCTACAAAAAGAGTGTTTCCAAAATGTTGTATCAAAAGAAAGGTTCAACTCTGTTAGTTGAGGACACACATCGCAAATAAGTTTCTGAGAATGCTTCTGTCTAGTTTTTATTTGAAGATATTTCCTTTCTCACCATAGGCCTGAAAGCGTTTGAAATGTCCGTTTGTAGATACTACAGAAAGAGTGTTTCAAACATGCTCTATGAAAGGGAATGTTCAGTTCTGTGACGTGAATGCAAACATCACAAAGAAGTTCCTGAGAATGCTTCTGTCTAGATTTTATATGAAGATATCCCGTGTCCAACGAAATCCTCAAAGGTATCAAAATATCCACTTGCAGATTCCACAAAAAGACTGCTTCAAAACTGCTCTGTCAAAAGGAAGGTTCAACTCTGTTACTTGAGTACACACATCACAAGGAAGTTTCTGAGAATGCTTCTGTCTGGTTTTTAGGAGAAGATATTTCCTTTTTCAACATAGGCCTCAAAGCGCTGCAAATGTCCACTTCCAAATATTACAAAAAGAGTGTTTCAAACCTGCTGTATGAAGGGAAGTGTTCAACTCTATGAGTTGAATGCAAACATCACAGAGAAGTTTCTGAGAATGCTTCTGTCTTGATTTCATATGAAGATATTCCCGTTTCCAACGAAACCTTCAAAGCTATCCAAATATCCACTTGCAGATTCTACAAAAAGAGTGTTTCCAAAATGTTGTATCAAAAGAAAGGTTCAACTCTGTTAGTTGAGGACACACATCGCAAATAAGTTTCTGAGAATGCTTCTGTCTAGTTTTTATTTGAAGATATTTCCTTTCTTACCATAGGCCTGAAAGCGCTTGAAATGTCCGTTTGCAGATACTACAGAAAGAGTGTTTCAAACATGCTCTATGAAAGGGAATGTTAAGTTCTGTGACGTGAATGCAAACATCACAAAGAAGTTCCTGAGAATGCTTCTCCCTAGATTTTATATGTAATCCCGTTTCCAACGAAATCCGCAAAGCTATCCAAATATCCACTTTCAGATTCCAGAAAAAGAGTGTTTCAAAACTGCTCTGTAAAAAGAAAGGTTCATCTCTGTTAGTTGAATACACACATCACAAACAAGTTTCTGAGAATGCTTCTGTCTAGTTTTTATGGGAAGATATTACCTTTTTCATCATAGGCCTCAAAGCGCTGCAAATGTCCACTTCCAAATATTACAAAAAGAGTGTTTCAAACCTGCTGTATGAAGGGAAGTGTTCAACTCTATGAGTTGAATGCAAACATCACAGAGAAGTTTCTGAGAATGCTTCTGTCTTGATTTTATATGAAGATATTCCCGTTTCCAACGAAACCTTCAAAGCTATTCAAATATCCACTTGCAGATTCTACAAAAAGAGTGTTTCCAAAATGTTGTATCAAAAGAAAGGTTCAACTCTGTTAGTTGAGGACACACATCGCAAATAAGTTTCTGAGAATGCTTCTGTCTAGTTTTTATTTGAAGATATTTCCTTTCTCACCATAGGCCTGAAAGCGTTTGAAATGTCCGTTTGCAGATACTACAGAAAGAGTGTTTCAAACCTGCTCTATGAAAGGGAATGTTCAGTTCTGTGACGTGAATGCAAACATCACAAAGAAGTTCCTGAGAATGCTTCTCTCTAGATTTTATATTTAATCCCGTTTCCAACGAAATCCTCAAAGCTATCCAAATATCCACTTTCAGATTCCACAAAAAGAGTGTTTCAAAACTGCTCTGTAAAAAGAAAGGTTCATCTCTGTTAGTTGAATACACACATCAAAAACAAGTTTCTGAGAATGCTTCTGTCTAGTTTTTATGGGAAGATATTTCCTTTTTCATCATAGGCCTCAAAGCGCTGCAAATGTCCACTTCCAGGTAGTGCAGAAAGAGTGTCTCAAACCTGGTATATAACAGGGAACATTCTACTGTGTGACTTGAATGAAAACATCACAAAGCAGTTTCTGAGAATGCTTCCGTCTAGATTTTATATGAAGATATTCACGTTTCCAAGGAAATCTTCCTAGCTATCTAAATATCAACTTGCATATCCTACTAAAGGAGTGTTTCCAAAATGCTGTATCCACACAAAGGTTCAACTCTGTTAATTGAGGACAAACAGCACAAAGAAGTTTGTGAGAATGCTTCTGTCTAGATTTTATATGAAGATATCCCGTTTCCAAAGAAATCCTCAAAGGTATCCAAATATCTACTTCCAGATTCTACAAAAACACTGTTTCAAAACGGCTCTGTCAAAAGTAAGGTTCAACTCTGTTACTTGAGTACACACATCACAAGGAAGTTTCTGAGAATGCTTCTCTCTAGGTTTTATATGTAATCCCGTTTCCAACGAAATCCTCAAAGCTATCCAAATATCCACTTTCAGATTCCACAAAAAGAGTGTTTCAAAACTGCTCTGTAAAAAGAAAGGTTCATCTCTGTTAGTTGAATACACACATCACAAACAAGTTTCTGAGAATGCTTCTGTCTAGTTTTTATGGGAAGATATTTCCTTTTTCAACATAGGTCTCAAAGCGCTCCAAATGTCCACTTCCAGGTAGTGCAGAAAGAGTGTTTCAAACCTGCTCTATAAAAGGGAACATTCTACTCTGTGACTTGAATGAAGACATCACAAAGCACTTTCTGAGAATGCTTCCGTCTAGATTTTATATGAAGATATTCCCGTTTCCAAGGAAATCTTCCTAGCTATCTAAATATCAACTTGCAGATTCTACTAAAGGAATGTTTCCAAAATGCTGTATCCACACAAAGGTTCAACTCTGTTAATTGAGGACATACAGCACAAAGAAGTTTCTGAGAATGCTTCTGTCTAGATTTTATATGAAGATATCCCGTGTCCAACGAAATCCTCAAAGGTATCAAAATATCCACTTGCAGATTCTACAAAAAGAGTGCTTCAAAACTGCTCTGTCAAAAGGAAGGTTCAACTCTGTTACTTGAGTACACACATCACAAGGAAGTTTCTGAGAATGCTTCTGTCTGGTTTTTAGGAGAAGATATTTCCTTTTTCAACATAGGCCTCAAAGCGCTGCAAATGTCCACTTCCAAATATTAGAAAAAGAGTGTTTCAAACCTGCTGTATGAAGGGAAGTGTTCAACTCTATGAGTTGAATGCAAACATCACAGAGAAGTTTCTGAGAATGCTTCTGTCTTGATTTCATATGAAGATATTCCCGTTTCCAACGAAACCTTCAAAGCTATCCAAATATCCACTTGCAGATTCTACAAAAAGAGTGTTTCCAAAATGTTGTATCAAAAGAAAGGTTCAACTCTGTTAGTTGAGGACACACATCGCAAATAAGTTTCTGAGAATGCTTCTGTCTAGTTTTCATTTGAAGATACTTCCTTTTTCACCACAGGCCTGAAAGCGCTTCAAACGTCCGCTTGCAGATACTACAGAAAGAGTGTTTCAAACATGCTCTATGAAAGGGAATGTTCAGTTCTGTGACTTGAATGCAAACATCACAAAGAAGTTCCTGAGAATGCTTCTCCCTAGATTTTATATGTAATCCCGTTTCCAACGAAATCCGCAAAGCTATCCAAATATCCACTTTCAGATTCCACAAAAAGAGTGTTTCAAAACTGCTCTGTAAAAAGAAAGGTTCATCTCTGTTAGTTGAATACACACATCACAAACAAGTTTCTGAGAATGCTTCTGTCTAGTTTTTATGGGAAGATATTTCCTTTTTCATCATAGGCCTCAAAGCGCTGCAAATGTCCACTTCCAAATATTACAAAAAGAGTGTTTCAAACCTGCTGTATGAAGGGAAGTGTTCAACTCTACGAGTTGAATGCAAACATCACAGAGAAGTTTCTGAGAATGCTTCCGTCTAGATTTTATATGAAGATATTCCCGTTTCCAACGAAACCTTCAAAGCTATCCGAATATCCACCTGCAGATTCTACAAAAAGATTGTTTCCAAAATGCCGTATCAAAACAAAGGTTCAACTCTGTTAGTTGAGAACACACATGGCAAATAAGTTTCTGAGAATGCTTGTGTCTAGTTTTTACTTGAAGATATTTCCTTTCTCACCGTAGGCCTGAAAGCGCATGAAACGTCAGCTTGCAGATACTACAGAAAGAGTGTTTCAAACCTGCTCTATGAAAGGGAATGTTCAGTCCTGTGACTTGAATGCAGACATCACAAAGAAGTTCCTGAGAATGCTTCTCTCTAGGTTTTATATGTAATCCCGTTTCCAACGAAATCCTCAAAGCTATCCAAATATCCACTTTCAGATTCCACAAAAAGAGTGTTTCAAAACTGCTCTGTAAAAAGAAAGGTTCATCTCTGTTAGTTGAATACACACATCACAAACAAGTTTCTGAGAATGCTTCTGTCTAGTTTTTATGGGAAGATATTTCCTTTTTCAACATAGGCCTCAAAGCGCTCCAAATGTCCACTTCCAGGTAGTGCAGAAAGAGTGTTTCAAACCTGCTCTATAAAAGGGAATATTCAACTCTGTGACTTGAATGCAAACATCACAAAGCACTTTCTGAGAATGCTTCCGTCTAGATTTTATATGAAGATATTCCCGTTTCCAAGGAAATCTTCCTAGCTATCTAAATATCAACTTGCAGATTCTACTAAAGGAATGTTTCCAAAATGCTGTATCCACACAAAGGTTCAACTCTGTTAATTGAGGACATACAGCACAAAGAAGTTTCTGAGAATGCTTCTGTCTAGATTTTATATGAAGATATCCCGTGTCCAACGAAATCCTCAAAGGTATCAAAATATCCACTTGCAGATTCTACAAAAAGAGTGCTTCAAAACTGCTCTGTCAAAAGGAAGGTTCAACTCTGTTACTTGAGTACACACATCACAAGGAAGTTTCTGAGAATGCTTCTGTCTGGTTTTTAGGAGAAGATATTTCCTTTTTCAACATAGGCCTCAAAGCGCTGCAAATGTCCACTTCCAAATATTAGAAAAAGAGTGTTTCAAACCTGCTGTATGAAGGGAAGTGTTCAACTCTATGAGTTGAATGCAAACATCACAGAGAAGTTTCTGAGAATGCTTCTGTCTTGATTTCATATGAAGATATTCCCGTTTCCAACGAAACCTTCAAAGCTATCCAAATATCCACTTGCAGATTCTACAAAAAGAGTGTTTCCAAAATGTTGTATCAAAAGAAAAGTTCAACTCTGTTAGTTGAGGACACACATCGCAAATAAGTTTCTGAGAATGCTTCTGTCTAGTTTTTACTTGAAGATATTTCCTTTCACACCATAGGCCTGAAAGCGCTTGAAACGTCCGCTTGCAGATACTACAGAAAGAGTGTTTCAAACATGCTCTATGAAAGGGAATGTTCAGTTCTGTGACTTGAATGCAAACATCACAAAGAAGTTCCTGAGAATGCTTCTCCCCTAGATTTTATATGTAATCCCGTTTCCAACGAAATCCGCAAAGCTATCCAAATATCCACTTTCAGATTCCACAAAAAGAGTGTTTCAAAACTGCTCTGTAAAAAGAAAGGTTCATCTCTGTTAGTTGAATACACACGTCACAAACAAGTTTCTGAGAACGCTTCTGTCTAGTTTTTATGGGAAGATATTACCTTTTTCATCATAGGCCTCAAAGCGCTGCAAATGTCCACTTCCAAATATTACAAAAAGAGTGTTTCAAACCTGCTGTATGAGGGGAAGTGTTCAACTCTATGAGTTGAATGCAAACATCACAGAGAAGTTTCTGAGAATGCTTCTGTCTTGATTTTATATGAAGATATTCCCGTTTCCAACGAAACCTTCAAAGCTATTCAAATATCCACTTGCAGATTCTACAAAAAGAGTGTTTCCAAAATGTTGTATCAAAAGAAAGGTTCAACTCTGTTAGTTGAGGACACACATCGCAAATAAGTTTCTGAGAATGCTTCTGTCTAGTTTTTATTTGAAGATATTCCCGTTTCCAACGAAACCTTCAAAGCTATTCAAATATCCACTTGCAGATTCTACAAAAAGAGTGTTTCCAAAATGTTGTATCAAAAGAAAGGTTCAACTCTGTTAGTTGAGGACACACATCGCAAATAAGTTTCTGAGAATGCTTCTGTCTAGTTTTTATTTGAAGATATTTCCTTTCTCACCATAGGCCTGAAAGCGTTTGAAATGTCCGTTTGCAGATACTACAGAAAGAGTGCTTCAAACATGCTCTATGAAAGGGAATGTTCAGTTCTGTGACGTGAATGCAAACATCACAAAGAAGTTCCTGAGAATGCTTCTCTCTAGATTTTATATGTAATCCCGTTTCCAACGAAATCCTCAAAGCTATCCAAATATCCACTTTCAGATTCCACAAAAAGAGTGATTCAAAACTGCTCTGTAAAAAGAAAGGTTCATCTCTGTTAGTTGAATACACACATCACAAACAAGTTTCTGAGAATGCTTCTGTCTAGTTTTTATGGGAAGATATTTCCTTTTTCATCATAGGCCTCAAAGCGCTGCAAATGTCCACTTCCAGGTAGTGCAGAAAGAGTGTCTCAAACCTGGTATATAACAGGGAACATTCTACTCTGTGACTTGAATGAAAACATCACAAAGCAGTTTCTGAGAATGCTTCCGTCTAGATTTTATATGAAGATATTCCCGTTTCCAACGAAACCTTCAAAGCTATCCGAATATCCACCTGCAGATTCTACAAAAAGAGTGTTTCCAAAATGCCATATCAAAACAAAGGTTCAACTCTGTTAGTTGAGAACACACATCGCAAATAAGTTTCTGAGAATGCTTCTGTCTAGTTTTTACTTGAAGATATTTCCTTTCTCACCATAGGCCTGAAAGCGCTTGAAACGTCAGCTTGCAGATACTACAGAAAGAGTGTTTCAAACCTGCTCTATGAAAGGGAATGTTCAGTTCTGTGACTTGAATGCAAACATCACAAAGAAGTTCCTGAGAATGCTTCTCTCTAGATTTTATATGTAATCCCGTTTCCAACGAAATCCTCAAACCTATCCAAATATCCACTTTCAGATTCCACAAAAAGAGTGTTTCAAAACTGCTCTGTAAAAAGAAAGGTTCATCTCTGTTAGTTGAATACACACATCACAAACAAGTTTCTGAGAATGCTTCTGTCTAGTTTTTATGGGAAGATATTTCCTTTTTCATCATAGGCCTCAAAGCGCTGCAAATGTCCACTTCCAGGTAGTGCAGAAAGAGTGTCTGAAACCTGGTATATAACAGGGAAGATTCTACTCTGTGACTTGAATGAAAACATCACAAAGCAGTTTCTGAGAATGCTTCTGTGTTGATTTTATATGAAGATATTCCCGTTTCCAACGAAACCTTCAAAGCTATCCAAATATCCACCTGCAGATTCTACAAAAAGAGTGTTTCCAAAATGCTGTATCAAAACAAAGGTTCAACTCTGTTAGTTGAGAACACACATCGCAAATAAGTTTCTGATAATGCTTCTGTCTAGTTTTTACTTGAAGATATTTCCTTTCTCACCATAGGCCTGAAAGCGCTTGAAACGTCAGCTTGCAGATACTACAGAAAGAGTGTTTCAAACCTGCTCTATGAAAGGGAATGTTCAGTCCTGTGACTTGAAGGCAAACATCACAAAGAAGTTCCTGAGAATGCTTCTCTCTAGGTTTTATATGTAATCCCGTTTCCAACGAAATCCTCAAAGCTATCCAAATATCCACTTTCAGATTCCACAAAAAGAGTGTTTCAAAACTGCTCTGTAAAAAGAAAGGTTCATCTCTGTTAGTTGAATACACACATCACAAACAAGTTTCTGAGAATGCTTCTGTCTAGTTTTTATGGGAAGATATTTCCTTTTTCAACATAGGCCTCTAAGCGCTCCAAATGTCCACTTCCAGGTAGTGCAGAAAGAGTGTTTCAAACCTGCTCTATAAAAGGGAATATTCAACTCTGTGACTTGAATGCAAACATCACAAAGCACTTTCTGAGAATGCTTCCGTCTAGATTTTATATGAAGATATTCCCGTTTCCAAGGAAATCTTCCTAGCTATCTAAATATCAACTTGCAGATTCTACTAAAGGAATGTTTCCAAAATGCTGTATCCACACAAAGGTTCAACTCTGTTAATTGAGGACATACAGCACAAAGAAGTTTCTGAGAATGCTTCTGTCTAGATTTTATATGAAGATATCCCGTGTCCAACGAAATCCTCAAAGGTATCAAAATATCCACTTGCAGATTCTACAAAAAGAGTGCTTCAAAACTGCTCTGTCAAAAGGAAGGTTCAACTCTGTTACTTGAGTACACACATCACAAGGAAGTTTCTGAGAATGCTTCTGTCTGGTTTTTAGGAGAAGATATTTCCTTTTTCAACATAGGCCTCAAAGCGCTGCAAATGTCCACTTCCAAATATTAGAAAAAGAGTGTTTCAAACCTGCTGAATGAAGGGAAGTGTTCAACTCTATGAGTTGAATGCAAACATCACAGAGAAGTTTCTGAGAATGCTTCTGTCTTGATTTCATATGAAGATATTCCCGTTTCCAACGAAACCTTCAAAGCTATCCAAATATCCACTTGCAGATTCTACAAAAAGAGTGTTTCCAAAATGTTGTATCAAAAGAAAGGTTCAACTCTGTTAGTTGAGGACACACATCGCAAATAAGTTTCTGAGAATGCTTCTGTCTAGTTTTTATTTGAAGATATTTCCTTTCTCACCACAGGCCTGAAAGCGCTTAAAACGTCCGCTTGCAGATACTACAGAAAGAGTGTTTCAAACCTGATCTATGAAAGGGAATGTTCAGTTCTGTGACTTGAATGCAAACATCACAAAGAAGTTCCTGAGAATGCTTCTCCCTAGATTTTATATGTAATCACGTTTCCAACGAAATCCGCAAAGCTATCCAAATATCCACTTTCAGATTCCACAAAAAGAGTGTTTCAAAACTGCTCTGTAAAAAGAAAGGTTCATCTCTGTTAGTTGAATACACACATCTCAAACAAGTTTCTGAGAATGCTTCTGTCTAGTTTTTATGGGAAGATATTACCTTTTTCATCATAGGCCTCAAAGCGCTGCAAATGTCCACTTCCAAATATTACAAAAAGAGTGTTTCAAACCTGCTGTATGAAGGGAAGTGTTCAACTCTATGAGTTGAATGCAAACATCACAGAGAAGTTTCTGAGAATGCTTCTGTCTTGATTTTATATGAAGATATTCCCGTTTCCAACGAAACCTTCAAAGCTATTCAAATATCCACTTGCTGATTCTACAAAAAGAGTGTTTCCAAAATGTTGTATCAAAAGAAAGGTTCAACTCTGTTAGTTGAGGACACACATCGCAAATAAGTTTCTGAGAATGCTTCTGTCTAGTTTTTACTTGAAGATATTTCCTTTCTCACCATAGGCCTGAAAGCGTTTGAAATGTCCGTTTGCAGATACTACAGAAAGAGTGTTTCAAACATGCTCTATGCAAGGGAATGTTCAGTTCTGTGACGTGAATGCAAACATCACAAAGAAGTTCCTGAGAATGCTTCTCTCTAGGTTTTATATGTAATCCCGTTTCCAACGAAATCCTCAAAGCTATCCAAATATCCACTTTCAGATTCCAGAAAAAGAGTGTTTCAAAACTGCTCTGTAAAAAGAAAGGTTCATCTCTGTTAGTTGAATACACACATCACAAACAAGTTTCTGAGAATGCTTCTGTCTAGTTTTTATGGGAAGATATTTCCTTTTTCATCATAGGCCTCAAAGCGCTCCAAATGTCCACTTCCAGATAGTGCAGAAAGAGTGTCTCAAACCTGGTATATAAAAGGGAACATTCTACTCTGTGACTTGAATGAAAACATCACAAAGCAGTTTCTGAGAATGCTTCCGTCTAGATTTTATATGAAGATATTCCCGTTTCCAACGAAACCTTCAAAGGTATCCGAATATCCACCTGCAGATTCTACAAAAAGAGTGTTTCCAAAATGCCGTATCAAAACAAAGGTTCAACTCTGTTAGTTGAGAACACACATGGCAAATAAGTTTCTGAGAATGCTTCTGTCTAGATTTTATATGAAGATATCCCGTGTCCAACGAAATCCTCAAAGGTATCAAAATATCCACTTGCAGATTCTACAAAAAGAGTGCTTCAAAACTGCTCTGTCAAAAAGAAGGTTCAACTCTGTTACTTGAGTACACACATCACAAGAAAGATTCTGAGAATGCATCTCTCTAGGTTTTATATGTAATCCCGTTTCCAACGAAATCCTCCAAGCTATCCAAATATCCACTTTCAGATTCCACAAAAAGAGTGTTTCAAAACTGCTCTGTAAAAAGAAAGGTTCATCTCTGTTAGTTGAATACACACATCACAAACAAGTTTCTGAGAATGCTTCTGTCTAGTTTTTATGGGAAGATATTTCCTTTTTCAACATAGGGCTCAAAGCGCTCCAAACGTCCACTTCCAGGTAGTGCAGAAAGAGTGTCTCAGACCTGGTATATAACAGCGAACATTCTACTCTGTGACTTGAATTAAAACATCACAAAGCAGTTTCTGAGAATGCTTCCGTCTAGACTTTATATGAAGATATTCCCGTTTCCAACGAAACCTTCAAAGCTATCCGTATATCCACCTGCAGATTCTACAAAAAGAGTGTTTCCAAAATGCCGTATCAAAACAAAGGTTCAACTCTGTTAGTTGAGAACACACATGGCAAATAAGTTTCTGAGAATGCTTCTGTCTAGTTTTTACTTGAAGATATTTCCTTTCTCACCATAGGCCTGAAAGCGCTTGAAACGTCAGCTTGCAGATACTACAGAAAGAGTGTTTCAAACCTGCTCTATGAAAGGGAATGTTCAGTCCTGTGACTTGAAGGCAAACATCACAAAGGAGTTCCTGAGAATGCTTCTCTCTAGGTTTTATATGTAATCCCGTTTCCAACGAAATCCTCAAAGCTATCCAAATATCCACTTTCAGATTCCACAAAAAGAGTGTTTCAAAACTGCTCTGTAAAAAGAAAGGTTCATCTCTGTTAGTTGAATACACACATCACAAACAAGTTTCTGAGAATGCTTCTGTCTAGTTTTTATGGGAAGATATTTCCTTTTTCAACATAGGCCTCAAAGCGCTCCAAATGTCCACTTCCAGGTAGTGCAGAAAGAGTGTTTCAAACCTGCTCTATAAAAGGGAATATTCAACTCTGTGACTTGAATGCAAACATCACAAAGCACTTTGCTGAGAATGCTTCCGTCTAGATTTTATATGAAGATATTCCCGTTTCCAACGAAACCTTCAAAGCTATCCGAATATCCACCTGCAGATTCTACAAAAAGAGTTTTTCCAAAATGCCATATCAAAACAAAGGTTCAACTCTGTTAGTTGAGAACACACATGGCAAATAAGTTTCTGAGAATGCTTCTGTCTAGTTTTTACTTGAAGATATTTCCTTTCTCACCATAGGCCTGAAAGCGCTTGAAACGTCAGCTTGCAGATACTACAGAAAGAGTGTTTCAAACCTGCTCTATGAAAGGGAATGTTCAGTTCTGTGACTTGAATGCAAACATCACAAAGAAGTTCCTGAGAATGCTTCTCTCTAGGTTTTATCTGTAATCCCGTTTCCAACGAAATCCTCAAAGCTATCCAAATATCCACTTTCAGATTCCACAAAAAGAGTGTTTCAAAACTGCTCTGTAAAAAGAAAGGTTCATCTCTGTTAGTTGAATACACACATCACAAACAAGTTTCTGAGAATGCTTCTGTCTAGTTTTTATGGGAAGATATTTCCTTTTTCAACAAAGGCCTCAAAGCGCTCCAAACGTCCACTTCCAGGTAGTGCAGAAAGAGTGTCTCAAACCTGGTATATAACAGGGAACATTCTACTCTGTGACTTGAATGAAAACATCACAAAGCAGTTTCTGAGAATGCTTCCGTCTAGATTTTATATGAAGATGTTCCCTTTTCCAAGGAAATCTTATTAGCTATTTAAATATCAACTTGCAGATTCTACTAAAGGAATGTTTCCAAAATGCTGTATCCACACAAAGGTTCAACTCTGTTAATTGAGGACATACAGCACAAAGAAGTTCCTGAGAATGCTTCTGTCTAGTTTTTATTTGAAGATATTTCCTTTCTCACCATAGGCCTGAAAGCGTTTGAAATGTCCGTTTGCAGATACTACAGAAAGAGTGTTTCAAACATGCTCTATGAAAGGCAATGTTCAGTTCTGTGACGTGAATGCAAACATCACAAAGAAGTTCCTGAGAATGCTTCTCTCTAGGTTTTATATGTAATCCCGTTTCCAACGAAATCCTCAAAGCTATCCAAATATCCACTTTCAGATTCCACAAAAAGAGTGTTTCAAAACTGCTCTGTAAAAAGAAAGGTTCATCTCTGTTAGTTGAATACACACATCACAAACAAGTTTCTGAGAATGCTTCTGTCTAGTTTTTATGGGAAGATATTTCCTTTTTCAACATAGGCCTCAAAGCGCTCCAAATGTCCACTTCCAGGTAGTGCAGAAAGAGTGTTTCAAACCTGCTCTATAAAAGGGAATATTCAACTCTGTGACTTGAATGAAAACATCACAAAGCACTTTCTGAGAATGCTTCCGTCTAGATTTTATATGAAGATATTCCCGTTTCCAAGGAAATCTTCCTAGCTATCTAAATATCAACTTGCAGATTCTACTAAAGGAATGTTTCCAAAATGCTGTATCCACACAAAGGTTCAACTCTGTTAATTGAGGACATACAGCACAAAGAAGTTTCTGAGAATGCTTCTGTCTAGATTTTATATGAAGATATCCCGTGTCCAACGAAATCCTCAAAGGTATCAAAATATCCACTTGCAGATTCTACAAAAAGAGTGCTTCAAAACTGCTCTTTCAAAAGGAAGGTTCAACTCTGTTACTTGAGTACACACATCACAAGGAAGTTTCTGAGAATGCTTCTGTCTGGTTTTTAGGAGAAGATATTTCCTTTTTCAACATAGGCCTCAAAGCGCTGCAAATGTCCACTTCCAAATATTAGAAAAAGAGTGTTTCAAACCTGCTGTATGAAGGGAAGTGTTCAACTCTATGAGTTGAATGCAAACATCACAGAGAAGTTTCTGAGAATGCTTCTGTCTTGATTTCATATGAAGATATTCCCGTTTCCAACGAAACCTTCAAAGCTATCCAAATATCCACTTGCAGATTCTACAAAAAGAGTGTTTCCAAAATGTTGTATCAAAAGAAAGGTTCAACTCTGTTAGTTGAGGACACACATCGCAAATACGTTTCTTAGAATGGTTCTGTCTACTTTTTATTTGAAGATATTTCCTTTTTCACCACAGGCCTGAAAGCGCTTGAAACGTCCGCTTGTAGATACTACAGAAAGAGTGTTTCAAACCTGCTCTATGAAACGGAATGTTCAGTTCTGTGACTTGAATACAAACATCACAAAGAAGTTCCTGAGAATGCTTCTCCCTATATTTTATAAGTAATCCCGTTTCCAACGAAATCCTCAAAGCTATCCAAATATCCACTTTCAGATTCCACAAAAAGAGTGTTTCAAAACTGCTCTGTAAAAAGAAAGGTTCATCTCTGTTAGTTGAATACACACATCACAAACAAGTTTCTGAGAATGTTTCTGTCTAGTTTTTAGGAGAAGATATTTCCTTTTTCATCATAGGCCTCAAAGCGCTGCAAATGTCCACTTCCAAATATTACAAAAAGAGTGTTTCAAACCTGCTGTATGAAGGGAAGTGTTCAACTCTATGAGTTGAATGCAAACATCACAGAGAAGTTTCTGAGAATGCTTCTGTCTTGATTTTATATGAAGATATTCCCGTTTCCAACGAAACCTTCAAAGCTATTCAAATATCCACTTGCAGATACTACAAAAAGAGTGTTTCCAAAATGTTGTATCAAAAGAAAGGTTCAACTCTGTTAGTTGAGGACACACATCGCAAATAAGTTTCTGAGAATGCTTCTGTCTAGTTTGTATTTGAAGATATTTCCTTTCTCACCATAGGCCTGAAAGCGTTTGAAATGTCCGTTTGCAGATACTACAGAAAGAGTGTTTCAAACATGCTCTATGAAAGGGAATGTTCAGTTCTGTGACGTGAATGCAAACATCACAAAGAAGTTCCTGAGAATGCTTCTCTCTAGATTTTATATGTAATCCCGTTTCCAACGAAATCCTCAAAGCTATCCAAATATCCACTTTCAGATTCCACAAAAAGAGTGTTTCAAAACTGCTCTGTAAAAAGAAAGGTTCATCTCTGTTAGTTGAATACACACATCACAAACAAGTTTCTGAGAATGCTTCTGTCTAGTTTTTATGGGAAGATATTTCCTTTTTCAGCATAGGCCTCAAAGCGCTACAAATGTCCACTTCCAGGTAGTGCAGAAAGAGTGTTTCAAACCTGCTCTATAAAAGGGAATATTCAACTCTGTGACTTGAATGCAAACATCACAAAGCACTTTCTGAGAATGCTTCCGTCTAGATTTTATATGAAGATATTCCCGTTTCCAAGGAAATCTTCCTAGCTATCTAAATATCAACTTGCAGATTCTACTAAAGGAATGTTTCCAAAATGCTGTATCCACACAAAGGTTCAACTCTATTAATTGAGGACACACAGCACAAAGAAGTTTCTGAGAATGCTTCTGTCTAGTTTTTACTTGAAGATATTTCCTTTCTCACCATAGGCCTGAAAGCGCTTGAAACGTCAGCTTGCAGATACTACAGAAAGAGTGTTTCAAACCTGCTCTATGAAAGGGAATGTTCAGTCCTGTGACTTGAAGGCAAACATCACAAAGAAGTTCCTGAGAATGCTTCTCTCTAGGTTTTATATGTAATCCCGTTTCCAACGAAATCCTCAAAGCTATCCAAATATCCACTTTCAGATTCCACAAAAAGAGTGTTTCAAAACTGCTCTGTAAAAAGAAAGGTTCATCTCTTAGTTGAATACACACATCACAAACAAGTTTCTGAGAATGCTTCTGTCTAGTTTTTATGGGAAGATATTTCGTTTTTCAACATAGGCCTCAAAGCGCTCCAAATGTCCACTTCCAGGTAGTGCAGAAAGAGTGTTTCAAACCTGCTCTATAAAAGGGAATATTCAACTCTGTGACTTGAATGCAAACATCACAAAGCACTTTCTGAGAATGCTTCCGTCTAGATTTTATATGAAGATATTCCCGTTTCCAAGGAAATCTTCCTAGCTATCTAAATATCAACTTGCAGATTCTACTAAAGGAATGTTTCCAAAATGCTGTATCCACACAAAGGTTCAACTCTGTTAATTGAGGACATACAGCACAAAGAAGTTTCTGAGAATGCTTCTGTCTAGATTTTATATGAAGATATCCCGTGTCCAACGAAATCCTCAAAGGTATCAAAATATCCACTTGCAGATTCTACAAAAAGAGTGCTTCAAAACTGCTCTGTCAAAAGGAAGGTTCAACTCTGTTACTTGAGTACACACATCACAAGGAAGTTTCTGAGAATGCTTCTGTCTGGTTTTTAGGAGAAGATATTTCCTTTTTCAACATAGGCCTCAAAGCGCTGCAAATGTCCACTTCCAAATATTACAAAAAGAGTGTTTCAAACCTGCTGTATGAAGGGAAGTGTTCAACTCTATGAGTTGAATGCAAACATCACAGAGAAGTTTCTGAGAATGCTTCTGTCTTGATTTCATATGAAGATATTCCCGTTTCCAACGAAACCTTCAAAGCTATCCAAATATCCACTTGCAGATTCTACAAAAAGAGTGTTTCCAAAATGTTGTATCAAAAGAAAGGTTCAACTCTGTTAGTTGAGGACACACATCGCAAATAAGTTTCTGAGAATGCTTCTGTCTAGTTTTTATTTGAAGATATTTCCTTTCTCACCATAGGCCTGAAAGCGTTTGAAATGTCCGTTTGCAGATACTACAGAAAGAGTGTTTCAAACATGCTCTATGAAAGGGAATGTTCAGTTCTGTGACGTGAATGCAAACATCACAAAGAAGTTCCTGAGAATGCTTCTCTCTAGATTTTATATGTAATCCCGTTTCCAACGAAATCCTCAAAGCTATCCAAATATCCACTTTCAGATTCCACAAAAAGAGTGTTTCAAAACTGCTCTGTAAAAAGAAAGGTTCATCTCTGTTAGTTGAATACACACATCACAAACAAGTTTCTGAGAATGCTTCTGTCTAGTTTTTATGGGAAGATATTTCCTTTTTCATCATAGGCCTCAAAGCGCTGCAAATGTCCACTTCCAGGTAGTGCAGAAAGAGTGTCTCAAACCTGGTATATAACAGGGAACATTCTACTGTGTGACTTGAATGAAAACATCACAAAGCAGTTTCTGAGAATGCTTCCGTCTAGATTTTATATGAAGATATTCCCGTTTCCAACGAAACCTTCAAAGCTATCCGAATATCCACCTGCAGATTCTACAAAAAGAGTGTTTCCAAAATGCCATATCAAAACAAAGGTTCAACTCTGTTAGTTGAGAACACACATCGCAAATAAGTTTCTGAGAATGCTTCTGTCTAGTTTTTACTTGAAGAAATTTCCTTTCTCACCATAGGCCTGAAAGCGCTTGAAACGTCAGCTTGCAGATACTACAGAAAGAGTGTTTCAAACCTGCTCTATGAAAGGGAATGTTGAGTTCTGTGACTTGAATGCAAACATCACAAAGAAGTTCCTGAGAATGCTTCTCTCTAGGTTTTATATGTAATCCCGTTTCCAACGAAATCCTCAAAGCTATCCAAATATCCACTTTCAGATTCCACAAAAAGAGTGTTTCAAAACTGCTCTGTAAAAAGAAAGGTTCATCTCTGTTAGTTGAATACACACATCACAAACAAGTTTCTGAGAATGCTTCTGTCTAGTTTTTATGGGAAGATATTTCCTTTTTCAACATAGGCCTCAAAGCGCTCCAAACGTCCACTTCCAGGTAGTGCAGAAAGAGTGTCTCAAACCTGGTATATAACAGGGAACATTCTACTCTGTGACTTGAATGAAAACATCACAAAGCAGTTTCTGAGAATGCTTCCGTCTAGATTTTATATGAAGATATTCCCGTTTCCAACGAAACCTTCAAAGCTATCCGAATATCCACCTGCAGATTCTACAAAAAGAGTGTTTCCAAAATGCCATATCAAAACAAAGGTTCAACTCTGTTAGTTGAGAACACAGATCGCAAATAAGTTTCTGAGAATGCTTCTGTCTAGTTTTTATTTGAAGATATTTCCTTTCTTACCATAGGCCTGAGAGCCCTTGAAATGTCCGTTTGCAGATACTACAGAAAGAGTTTTTCAAACATGCTCTATGAAAGGGAATGTTCAGTTCTGTGACGTGAATGCAAACATCACAAAGAAGTTCCTGAGAATGCTTCTCTCTAGGTTTTATATGTAATCCCGTTTCCAACGAAATCCTCAAAGCTATCCAAATATCCACTTTCAGATTCCACAAAAAGAGTGTTTCAAAACTGCTCTGTAAAAAGAAAGGTTCATCTCTGTTAGTTGAATACACACATCACAAACAAGTTTCTGAGAATGCTTCTGTCTAGTTTTTATGGGAAGATATTTCCTTTTTCATCATAGGCCTCAAAGCGCTGCAAATGTCCACTTCCAGGTAGTGCAGAAAGAGTGTCTCAAACCTGGTATATAACAGGGAACATTCTACTCTGTGACTTGAATGAAAACATCACAAAGCAGTTTCTGAGAATGCTTCTGTCTTGATTTCATATGAAGATATTCCCGTTTCCAACGAAACCTTCAAAGCTATCCAAATATCCACTTGCAGATTCTACAAAAAGAGTGTTTCCAAAATGTTGTATCAAAAGAAAGGTTCAACTCTGTTAGTTGAGGACACACATCGCAAATAAGTTTCTGAGAATGCTTCTGTCTAGTTTTTATTTGAAGATATTTCCTTTCTCACCACAGGCCTGAAAGCGCTTAAAACGTCCGCTTGCAGATACTACAGAAAGAGTGTTTCAAACATGCTCTATGAAAGGGAATGTTCAGTTCTGTGACGTGAATGCAAACATCACAAAGAAGTTCCTGAGAATGCTTCTCTCTAGATTTTATATGTAATCCCGTTTCCAACGAAATCCTCAAAGCTATCCAAATATCCACTTTCAGATTCCACAAAAAGAGTGTTTCAAAACTGCTCTGTAAAAAGAAAGGTTCATCTCTGTTAGTTGAATACACACATCAAAAACAAGTTTCTGAGAATGCTTCTGTCTAGTTTTTATGGGAAGATATTTCCTTTTTCATCATAGGCCTCAAAGCGCTGCAAATGTCCACTTCCAGGTAGTGCAGAAAGAGTGTCTCAAACCTGGTATATAACAGGGAACATTCTACTCTGTGACTTGAATGAAAACATCACAAAGCAGTTTCTGAGAATGCTTCCGTCTAGATTTTATATGAAGATATTCCCGTTTCCAACGACACCTTCAAAGCTATCCGAATATCCACCTGCAGATTCTACAAAAAGAATGTTTCCAAAATGCCATATCAAAACAAAGGTTCAACTCTGTTAGTTGAGAACACACATCGCAAATAAGTTTCTGAGAATGCTTCTGTCTAGTTTTTACTTGAAGATATTTCCTTTCTCACCATAGGCCTGAAAGCGCTTGAAACGTCAGCTTGCAGATACTACAGAAAGAGTGTTTCAAACCTGCTCTATGAAAGGGAATGTTCAGTTCTGTGACTTGAATGCAAACATCACAAAGAAGTTCCTGAGAATGCTTCTCTCTAGGTTTTATATGTAATCCCGTTTCCAAAGAAATCCTCAAAGCTATCCAAATATCCACTTTCAGATTCCAGAAAAAGAGTGTTTCAAAACTGCTCTGTAAAAAGAAAGGTTCATCTCTGTTAGTTGAATACACACATCACAAACAAGTTTCTGAGAATGCTTCTGTCTAGTTTTTATGGGAAGATATTTCCTTTTTCAACATAGGCCTCAAAGCGCTCCAAATGTCCACTTCCAGGTAGTGCAGAAAGAGTGTTTCAAACCTGCTCTATAAAAGGGAATATTCAACTCTGTGACTTGAATGCAAACATCACAAAGCACTTTCTGAGAATGCTTCCGTCTAGATTTTATATGAAGATATTCCCGTTTCCAAGGAAATCTTCCTAGCTATCTAAATATCAACTTGCAGATTCTACTAAAGGAATGTTTCCAAAATGCTGTATCCACACAATGGTTCAACTCTGTTAATTGAGGACATACAGCACAAAGAAGTTTCTGAGAATGCTTCTGTCTAGATTTTATATGAAGATATCCCGTGTCCAACGAAATCCTCAAAGGTATCAAAATATCCACTTGCAGATTCTACAAAAAGAGTGCTTCAAAACTGCTCTGTCAAAAGGAAGGTTCAACTCTGTTACTTGAGTACACACATCACAAGGAAGTTTCTGAGAATGCTTCTGTCTGGTTTTTAGGAGAAGATATTTCCTTTTTCAACATAGGCCTCAAAGCGCTGCAAATGTCCACTTCCAAATATTAGAAAAAGAGTGTTTCAAACCTGCTGTATGAAGGGAAGTGTTCAACTCTATGAGTTGAATGCAAACATCACAGAGAAGTTTCTGAGAATGCTTCTGTCTTGATTTCATATGAAGATATTCCCGTTTCCAACGAAACCTTCAAAGCTATCCAAATATCCACTTGCAGATTCTACAAAAAGAGTGTTTCCAAAATGTTGTATCAAAAGAAAGGTTCAACTCTGTTAGTTGAGGACACACATCGCAAATAAGTTTCTGAGAATGCTTCTGTCTAGTTTTTATTTGAAGATATTTCCTTTCTCACCACAGGCCTGAAAGCGCTTAAAACGTCCGCTTGCAGATACTACAGAAAGAGTGTTTCAAACCTGCTCTATGAAAGGGAATATTCAGTTCTGTGACTTGAATGCAAACATCACAAAGAAGTTCCTGAGAATGCTTCTCCCTAGATTTTATATGTAATCCCGTTTCCAACGAAATCCGCAAAGCTATCCAAATATCCACTTTCAGATTCCACAAAAAGAGTGTTTCAAAACTGCTCTGTAAAAAGAAAGGTTCATCTCTGTTAGTTGAATACACACATCACAAACAAGTTTCTGAGAATGCTTCTGTCTAGTTTTTGTGGGAAGATATTTCCTTTTTCATCATAGGCCTCAAAGCGCTGCAAATGTCCACTTCCAAATATTACAAAAAGAGTGTTTCAAACCTGCTGTATGAAGGGAAGTGTTCAACTCTATGAGTTGAATGCAAACATCACAGAGAAGTTTCTGAGAATGCTTCCGTCTAGATTTTATATGAAGATATTCCCGTTTCCAACGAAACCTTCAAAGCTATCCGAATATCCACCTGCAGATTCTACAAAAAGAGTGTTTCCAAAATGCCATATCAAAACAAAGGTTCAACTCTGTTAGTTGAGAACACACATCTCAAATATGTTTCTGAGAATGCTTCTGTCTAGTTTTTACTTGAAGATATTTCCTTTCTCACCATAGGCCTGAAAGCGCTTGAAACGTCAGCTTGCAGATACTACAGAAAGAGTGTTTCAAACCTGCTCTATGAAAGGGAATGTTCAGTCCTGTGACTTGAAGGCAAACATCACAAAGAAGTTCCTGAGAATGCTTCTCTCTAGGTTTTATATGTAATCCCGTTTCCAACGAAATCCTCAAAGCTATCCAAATATCCACTTTCAGATTCCACAAAAAGAGTGTTTCAAAACTGCTCTGTAAAAAGAAAGGTTCATCTCTGTTAGTTGAATACACACATCACAAACAAGTTTCTGAGAATGCTTCTGTCTAGTTTTTATGGGAAGATATTTCCTTTTTCAACATAGGCCTCAAAGCGCTCCAAATGTCCACTTCCAGGTAGTGCAGAAAGAGTGTTTCAAACCTGCTCTATAAAAGGGAATATTCAACTCTGTGACTTGAATGGAAACATCACAAAGCACTTTCTGAGAATGCTTCCGTCTAGATTTTATATGAAGATATTCCCGTTTCCAAGGAAATCTTCCTAGCTATCTAAATATCAACTTGCAGATTCTACTAAAGGAATGTTTCCAAAATGCTGTATCCACACAAAGGTTCAACTCTGTTAATTGAGGACATACTGCACAAAGAAGTTTCTGAGAATGCTTCTGTCTAGATTTTATATGAAGATATCCCGTGTCCAACGAAATCCTCAAAGGTATCAAAATATCCACTTGCAGATTCTACAAAAAGAGTGCTTCAAAACTGCTCTGTCAAAAGGAAGGTTCAACTCTGTTACTTGAGTACACACATCACAAGGAAGTTTCTGAGAATGCTTCTGTCTGGTTTTTAGGAGAAGATATTTCCTTTTTCAACATAGGCCTCAAAGCGCTGCAAATGTCCACTTCCAAATATTAGAAAAAGAGTGTTTCAAACCTGCTGTATGAAGGGAAGTGTTCAACTCTATGAGTTGAATGCAAACATCACAGAGAAGTTTCTGAGAATGCTTCTGTCTTGATTTCATATGAAGATATTCCCGTTTCCAACGAAACCTTCAAAGCTATCCAAATATCCACTTGCAGATTCTACAAAAAGAGTGTTTCCAAAATGTTGTATCAAAAGAAAGGTTCAACTCTGTTAGTTGAGGACACACATCGCAAATAAGTTTCTGAGAATGCTTCTGTCTAATTTTTATTTGAAGATATTTCCTTTTTCACCACAGGCCTGAAAGCGCTTGAAACGTCCACTTGCAGATACTACAGAAAGAGTGTTTCAAACCTGCTCTATGAAAGGGAATGTTCAGTTCTGTGACTTGAATGCAAACATCACAAAGTAGTTCCTGAGAATGCTTCTCCCTAGATTTTATATGTAATCCCGTTTCCAACGAAATCCGCAAAGCTATCCAAATATCCACTTTCAGATTCCACAAAAAGAGTGTTTCAAAACTGCTCTGTAAAAAGAAAGGTTCATCTGTTAGTTGAATACACACATCACAAACAAGTTTCTGAGAATGCTTCTGTCTAGTTTTTATGGGAAGATATTTCCTTTTTCATCATAGGCCTCAAAGCGCTGCAAATGTCCACTTCCAAATATTACAAAAAGAGTGTTTCAAACCTGCTGTATGAAGGGAAGTGTTCAACTCTATGAGTTGAATGCAAACATCACAGAGAAGTTTCTGAGAATGCTTCTGTCTTGATTTTATATGAAGATATTCCCGTTTCCAACGAAACCTTCAAAGCTATTCAAATATCCACTTGCAGATTCTACAAAAAGAGTGGTTCCAAAATGTTGTATCAAAAGAAAGGTTCAACTCTGATAGTTGAGGACACACATCGCAAATAAGTTTCTGAGAATGCTTCTGTCTAGTTTTTATTTGAAGATATTTCCTTTCTCACCATAGGCCTGAAAGCGTTTGAAATGTCCGTTTGCAGATACTACAGAAAGAGTGTTTCAAACATGCTCTATGAAAGGGAATGTTCAGTTCTGTGACGTGAATGCAAACATCACAAAGAAGTTCCTGAGAATGCTTCTCTCTAGATTTTATATTTAATCCCGTTTCCAACGAAATCCTCAAAGCTATCCAAATATCCACTTTCAGATTCCACAAAAAGAGTGTTTCAAAACTGCTCTGTAAAAAGAAAGGTTCATCTCTGTTAGTTGAATACACACATCACAAACAAGTTTCTGAGAATGCTTCTGTCTAGTTTTTATGGGAAGATATTTCCTTTTTCATCATAGGCCTCAAAGCGCTGCAAATGTCCACTTCCAGGTAGTGCAGAAAGAGTGTCTCAAACCTGGTATATAACAGGGAACATTCTACTCTGTGACTTGAATGCAAACATCACAAAGCAGTTTCTGAGAATGCTTCCGTCTAGATTTTATATGAAGATATTCCCGTTTCCAACGAAACCTTCAAAGCTATCCGAATATCCACCTGCAGATTCTACAAAAAGAGTGTTTCCAAAATGCCATATCGAAACAAAGGTTCAACTCTGTTAGTTGAGAACACACATCTCAAATAAGTTTCTGAGAATGCTTCTGTCTAGTTTTTACTTGAAGATATTTCCTTTCTCACCATAGGCCTGAAAGCGCTTGAAACGTCAGCTTGCAGATACTACAGAAAGAGTGTTTCAAACCTGCTCTATGAAAGGGAATGTTCAGTCCTGTGACTTGAATGCAAACATCACAAAGAAGTTCCTGAGAATGCTTCTCTCTAGGTTTTATATGTAATCCCGTTTCCAACGAAATCCTCAAAGCTATCCAAATATCCACTTTCAGATTCCACAAAAAGAGTGTTTCAAAACTGCTCTGTAAAAAGAAAGGTTCATCTCTGTTAGTTGAATACACACATCACAAACAAGTTTCTGAGAATGCTTCTGTCTAGTTTTTATGGGAAGATATTTCCTTTTTCAACATAGGCCTCAAAGCGCTCCAAACGTCCACTTCCAGGTAGTGCAGAAAGAGTGTTTCAAACCTGCTCTATAAAAGGGAACATTCAACTCTGTGACTTGAATGCAAACATCACAAAGCACTTTCTGAGAATGCTTCCGTCTAGATTTTATATGAAGATATTCCCGTTTCCAACGACACCTTCAAAGCTATCCGAATATCCACCTGCAGATTCTACAAAAAGAGTGTTTCCAAAATGCCATATCAAAACAAAGGTTCAACTCTGTTAGTTGAGAACACACATCGCAAATAAGTTTCTGAGAATGCTTCTGTCTAGTTTTTACTTGAAGATATTTCCTTTCTCACCATAGGCCTGAAAGCGCTTGAAACGTCAGCTTGCAGATACTACAGAAAGAGTGTTTCAAACCTGCTCTATGAAAGGGAATGTTCAGTTCTGTGACTTGAATGCAAACATCACAAAGAAGTTCCTGAGAATGCTTCTCTCTAGGTTTTATATGTAATCCCGTTTCCAACAAAATCCTCAAAGCTATCCAAATATCCACTTTCAGAATCCACAAAAAGAGTGTTTCAAAACTGCTCTGTAAAAAGAAAGGTTCATCTCTGTTAGTTGAATACACACATCACAAACAAATTTCTGAGAATGTTTCTGTCTAGTTTTTATGGGAAGATATTTCCTTTTTCAACATAGGCCTCAAAGCGCTCCAAATGTCCACTTCCAGGTAGTGCAGAAAGAGTGTTTCAAACCTGCTCTATAAAAGGGAATATTCAACTCTGTGACTTGAATGCAAACATCACAAAGCACTTTCTGAGAATGCTTCCGTCTAGATTTTATATGAAGATATTCCCGTTTCCAAGGAAATCTTCCTAGCTATCTAAATATCAACTTGCAGATTCTACTAAAGGAATGTTTCCAAAATGCTGTATCCACACAAAGGTTCAACTCTGTTAATTGAGGACATACAGCACAAAGAAGTTTCTGAGAATGCTTCTGTCTAGATTTTATATGAAGATATCCCGTGTCCAACGAAATCCTCAAAGGTATCAAAATATCCACTTGCAGATTCTACAAAAAGAGTGCTTCAAAACTGCTCTGTCAAAAGGAAGGTTCAACTCTGTTACTTGAGTACACACATCACAAGGAAGTTTCTGAGAATGCTTCTGTCTGGTTTTTAGGAGAAGATATTTCCTTTTTCAACATAGGCCTCAAAGCGCTGCAAATGTCCACTTCCAAATATTACAAAAAGAGTGTTTCAAACCTGCTGTATGAAGGGAAGTGTTCAACTCTATGAGTTGAATGCAAACATCACAGAGAAGTTTCTGAGAATGCTTCTGTCTTGATTTCATATGAAGATATTCCCGTTTCCAACGAAACCTTCAAAGCTATCCAAATATCCACTTGCAGATTCTACAAAAAGAGTGTTTCCAAAATGTTGTATCAAAAGAAAGGTTCAACTCTGTTAGTTGAGGACACACATCGCAAATAAGTTTCTGAGAATGCTTCTGTCTAGTTTTTATTTGAAGATATTTCCTTTCTCACCATAGGCCTGAAAGCGCTTGAAACGTCGGCTTGCAGATACTACAGAAAGAGTGCTTGAAACCTGCTCTATGAAAGGGAATGTTCAGTTCTGTGACTTGAATGCATACATCACAAAGAAGTTCCTGAGAATGCTTCTCCCTAGATTTTATATGTAGTCCCTATTCCAACGAAATCCCCAAAGCTATCCAAATATCCAATTTCAGATTCCACAAAAAGAGTGTTTTAAAACTGCTCTGTAAAAACAAACGTTCATCTCTGTTAGTTGAATACACACATCACAAACAAGTTTCTGAGAATGCTTCTGTCTAGTTTTTATGGGAAGATATTTCCATTTTCAACATATGCCTCAAAGCGCTCCAAATGTCTACTTCCAGGTAGTGCAGAAAGAGTGTTTCAAACCTGCTCTATAAAAGGGAACATTCTACCCTGTGACTTGAATGAAAACATCACAAAGCAGTTTCTGAGAATGCTTCTGTCTTGATTTTATATGAAGATATTCCCGTTTCCAACGAAACCTTCAAAGCTATTCAAATATCCACTTGCAGATTCTACAAAAAGAGTGTTTCCAAAATGTTGTATCAAAAGAAAGGTTCAACTCTGTTAGTTGAGGACACACATCGCAAATAAGTTTCTGAGAATGCTTCTGTCTAGTTTTTATTTGAAGATATTTCCTTTCTCACCATAGGCCTGAAAGCGTTTGAAATGTCCGTTTGCAGATACTACAGAAAGAGTGTTTCAAACCTGCTCTATGAAAGGGAATGTTCAGTTCTGTGACGTGAATGCAAACATCACAAAGAAGTTCCTGAGAATGCTTCTGTCTAGATTTTATATGAAGATATCCCGTTTCCAAAGAAATCCTCAAAGGTATCCAAATATCTACTTCCAGATTCTACAAAAAGACTGTTTCAAAACGGCTCTGTCAAAAGTAAGGTTCAACTCTGTTACTTGAGTACACACATCACAAGGAAGTTTCTGAGAATGCTTCTGTCTGGTTTTTAGGAGAAGATATTTCCTTTTTCAACATAGGCCTCAAAGCGCTGCAAATGTCCACTTCCAAATATTACAAAAAGAGTGTTTCAAACCTGCTCTATGAAGGGAAGTGTTCAACTCTATGAGTTGAATGCAAACATCACAGAGAAGTTTCTGAGAATGCTTCTGTCTTGATTTTATATGAAGATATTCCCGTTTCCAACGAAACCTTCAAAGCTATCCAAATATCCACTTGCAGATTCTACAAAAAGAGTGTTTCCAAAATGTTGTATCAAAACAAAGGTTCAACTCTGTCAGTTGAGGACACACATCGCAAATAAGTTTCTGAGAATGCTTCTGTCTAGTTTTTATTTGAAGATATTTCCTTTCTTACCATAGGCCTGAAAGCGCTTGAAATGTCCGTTTGCAGATACTACAGAAAGAGTGTTTCAAACATGATCTATGAAAGGGAATGTTCAGTTCTGTGACGTGAATGCAAACATCACAAAGAAGTTCCTGAGAATGCTTCTCTCTAGATTTTATATGTAATCCCGTTTCCAACGAAATCCTCAAAGCTATCCAAATATCCACTTTCAGATTCCACAAAAAGAGTGTTTCAAAACTGCTCTGTAAAAAGAAAGGTTCATCTCTGTTAGTTGAATACACACATCACAAACAAGTTTCTGAGAATGCTTCTGTCTAGTTTTTATGGGAAGATATTTCCTTTTTCATCATAGGCCTCAAAGCGCTCCAAATGTCCACTTCCAGATAGCGCAGAAAGAGTGTCTCAAACGTGGTATATAAAAGGGAACATTCTACTCTCTGACTTCAATGGAAACATCACAAAGCAGTTTCTGAGAATGCTTCCGTCTAGATTTTATATGAAGATATTCCCGTTTGCAAGGAAATCTTCCTAGCTATCTAAATATCAACTTGCAGATTCTACTAAAGGAATGTTTCCAAAATGCTGTATCCACACAAAGGTTCAACTCTGTTAATTGAGGACATACAGCACAAAGAAGTTTCTGAGAATGCTTCTGTCTAGATTTTATATGAAGATATCCCGTGTCCAACGAAATCCTCAAAGGTATCAAAATATCCTCTTGTAGATTCTACAAAAAGAGTGCTTCAAAACTGCTCTGTCAAAATGAAGGTTCAACTCTGTTACTTGAGTACACACATCACAAGAAAGATTCTGAGAATGCTTCTGTCTGGTTTTTAGGAGAAGATATCTCCTTTTTCACCATAGGCTTCAAAGCGCTGCCAATGTCCACTTCCAAATATTACAAAAAGAGTATTTCAAACCAGCTCTATGAAAGGAAGTGTTCAACTCTATGAGTTGAATGCAAACATCACAGAGAAGTTTCTGAGAATGCTTCTGTCTTGATTTTATATGAAGATATTCCCGTTTCCAAAGAAACCTTCAAAGCTATCCAAATATCCACCTGCAGATCCTACAAAAAGAGTGTTTCCAAAATGCTGTATCAAAACAAAGGTTCAACTCTGTTAGCTGAGAACACACATCGCAAATAAGTTTCTGAGAATGCTTCTGTCTAGTTTTTATTTGAAGATATTTCCTTTTTCACCACAGGCCTGAAAGCGCTTGAAACGTCCACTTGCAGATACTACAGAAAGAGTGTTTCAAACCTGCTCTATGAAAGGGAATGTTCAGTTCTGTGACTTGAATGCAAACATCACAAAGAAGTTCCTGAGAATGCTTCTCCCTAGATTTTATATGTAATCCCGTTTCCAACGAAATCCGCAAAGCTATCCAAATATCCACTTTCAGATTCCACAAAAAGAGTGTTTCAAAACTACTCTGTAAAAAGAAAGGTTCATCTCTGTTAGTTGAATACACACATCAGAAACAAGTTTCTGAGAATGCTTCTGTCTAGTTTTTATGGGAAGATATTTCCTTTTTCAACATAGGCCTCAAAGCGCTCCAAACGTCCACTTCCAGGTAGTGCAGAAAGAGTGTCTCAAACCTGGTATATAACAGGGAACATTCTACTCTGTGACTTGAATGAAAACATCACAAAGCAGTTTCTGAGAATGCTTCCGTCTAGATTTTATATGAAGATATTCCCGTTTCCAACGAAACCTTCAAAGCTATCCGAATATCCACCTGCAGATTCTACAAAAAGAGTGTTTCCAAAATGCCGTATCAAAACAAAGGTTCAACTCTGTTAGTTGAGAACACACATGGCAAATAAGTTTCTGACAATGCTTCTGTCTAGTTTTTACTTGAAGATATTTCCTTTCTCACCATAGGCCTGAAAGCGCTTGAAACGTCAGCTTGCAGATACTACAGAAAGAGTGTTTCAAACCTGCTCTATGAAAGGGAATGTTCAGTTCTGTGACTTGAATGCAAACATCACAAAGAAGTTCCTGAGAATTCTTCTCTCTAGGTTTTATATGTAATCCCGTTTCCAACGAAATCCTCAAAGCTATCCAAATATCCACTTTCAGATTCCACAAAAAGAGTGTTTCAAAACTGCTCTGTAAAAAGAAAGGTTCATCTCTGTTAGTTGAATACACACATCACAAACAAGTTTCTGAGAATGCTTCTGTCTAGTTTTTATGGGAAGATATTTCGTTTTTCAACATAGGCCTCAAAGCGCTCCAAATGTCCACTTCCAGGTAGTGCAGAAAGAGTGTTTCAAACCTGCTCTATAAAAGGGAATATTCAACTCTGTGACTTGAATGCAAACATCACAAAGCACTTTCTGAGAATGCTTCCGTGTAGATTTTATATGAAGATATTCCCGTTTCCAAGGAAATCTTCCTAGCTATCTAAATATCAACTTGCAGATTCTACTAAAGGAATGTTTCCAAAATGCTGTATCCACACAAAGGTTCAACTCTGTTAATTGAGGACATACAGCACAAAGAAGTTTCTGAGAATGCTTCTGTCTAGATTTTATATGAAGATATCCCGTGTCCAACGAAATCCTCAAAGGTATCAAAATATCCACTTGCAGATTCTACAAAAAGAGTGCTTCAAAACTGCTCTGTCAAAAGGAAGGTTCAACTCTGTTACTTGAGTACACACATCACAAGGAAGTTTCTGAGAATGCTTCTGTCTGGTTTTTAGGAGAAGATATTTCCTTTTTCAACATAGGCCTCAAAGCGCTGCAAATGTCCACTTCCAAATATTAGAAAAAGAGTGTTTCAAACCTGCTGTATGAAGGGAAGTGTTCAACTCTATGAGTTGAATGCAAACATCACAGAGAAGTTTCTGAGAATGCTTCTGTCTTGATTTCATATGAAGATATTCCCGTTTCCAACGAAACCTTCAAAGCTATCCAAATATCCACTTGCAGATTCTACAAAAAGAGTGTTTCCAAAATGTTGTATCAAAAGAAAGGTTCAACTCTGTTAGTTGAGGACACACATCGCAAATAAGTTTCTGAGAATGCTTCTGTCTAGTTTTTATTTGAAGATATTTCCTTTTTCACCACAGGCCTGAAAGCGCTTGAAACGTCCGCTTGCAGATACTACAGAAAGAGTGTTTCAAACCTGCTCTATGAAAGGGAATGTTCAGTTCTGTGACTTGAATGCAAACATCACAAAGATGTTCCTGAGAATGCTTCTCCCTAGATTTTATATGTCATCCCGTTTCCAACGAAATCCTCAAAGCTATCCAAATATCCACTTTCAGATTCCACAAAAAGAGTGTTTCAAAACTGCTCTGTAAAAAGAAAGGTTCATCTCTGTTAGTTGAATACACACATCACAAACAAGTTTCTGAGAATGCTTCTGTCTAGTTTTTATGGGAAGATATTTCCTTTTTCATCATAGGCCTCAAAGCGCTGCAAATGTCCACTTCCAAATATTACAAAAAGAGTGTTTCAAACCTGCTGTATGAAGGGAAGTGTTCAACTCTATGAGTTGAATGCAAACATCACAGAGAAGTTTCTGAGAATGCTTCCGTCTAGACTTTATATGAAGATATTCCCGTTTCCAACGAAACCTTCAAAGCTATCCGTACATCCACCTGCAGATTCTACAAAAAGAGTGTTTCCAAAATGCCGTATCAAAACAAAGGTTCAACTCTGTTAGTTGAGAACACACATGGCAAATAAGTTTCTGAGAATGCTTTCTGTCTAGTTTTTATTTGAAGAATGTCCTTTCTCACCACAGGCCTGAAAGCGCTTAAAACGTCCGCTTGCAGATACTACAGAAAGAGTGTTTCAAACCTGCTCTATGAAAGGGAATGTTCAGTTCTGTGACTTGAATGCAAACATCACAAAGAAGTTCCTGAGAATGCTTCTCCCTAGATTTTATATGTAATCCCGTTTCCAACGAAATCCGCAAAGCTATCCAAATATCCACTTTCAGATTCCACAAAAAGAGTGTTTCAAAACTGCTCTGTAAAAAGAAAGGTTCATCTCTGTTAGTTGAATACACACATCACAAACAAGTTTCTGAGAATGCTTCTGTCTAGTTTTTATGGGAAGATATTACCTTTTTCATCATAGGCCTCAAAGCGCTGCAAATGTCCACTTCCAAATATTACAAAAAGAGTGTTTCAAACCTGCTGTATGAAGGGAAGTGTTCAACTCTATGAGTTGAATGCAAACATCACAGAGAAGTTTCTGAGAATGCTTCCGTCTTGATTTTATATGAAGATATTCCCGTTTCCAATGAAACCTTCAAAGCTATTCAAATATCCACTTGCAGATTCTACAAAAAGAGTGTTTCCAAAATGTTGTATCAAAAGAAAGGTTCAACTCTGTTAGTTGAGGACACACATCGCAAATAAGTTTCTGAGAATGCTTCTGTCTAGTTTTTACTTGAAGATATTTCCTTTCTCACCATAGGCCTGAAAGCGTTTGAAATGTCCGTTTGCAGATACTACAGAAAGAGTGTTTCAAACATGCTCTATGAAAGGGAATGTTCAGTTCTGTGACGTGAATGCAAACATCACAAAGAAGTTCCTGAGAATGCTTCTCTCTAGATTTTATATGTAATCCCGTTTCCAACGAAATCCTCAAAGCTATCCAAATATCCACTTTCAGATTCCACAAAAAGAGTGTTTCAAAACTGCTCTGTAAAAAGAAAGGTTCATCTCTGTTAGTTGAATACACACATCACAAACAAGTTTCTGAGAATGCTTCTGTCTAGTTTTTATGGGAAGATATTTCCTTTTTCATCATAGGCCTCAAAGCGCTCCAAATGTCCACTTCCAGGTAGTGCAGAAAGAGTGTCTCAAACCTGCTCTATAAAAGGGAACATTCTACTCTGTGACTTGAATGAAAACATCACAAAGCAGTTTCTGAGAATGCTTCCGTCTAGGTTTTATATGAAGATATTCCCGTTTCCAACGAAATCTTCAAAGCTATCCGAATATCCACCTGCAGATTCTACAAAAAGAGTGTTTCCAAAATACCGTATCAAAACAAAGGTTCAACTCTGTTAGTTGAGAACACACATGGCAAATAAGTTTCTGAGAATGCTTCTGTCTAGTTTTTACTTGAAGATATTTCCTTTCTCACCATAGGCCTGAAAGCGCTTGAAACGTCAGCTTGCAGATACTACAGAAAGAGTGTTTCAAACCTGCTCTATGAAAGGGAATGTTCAGTTCTGTGACTTGAATGCAAACATCACAAAGAAGTTCCTGAGAATGCTTCTCTCTAGGTTTTATATGTAATCCCGTTTCCAACGAAATCCTCAAAGCTATCCAAATATCCACTTTCAGATTCCACAAAAAGAGTGTTTCAAAACTGCTCTGTAAAAAGAAAGGTTCATCTCTGTTAGTTGAATACACACATCACAAACAAGTTTCTGAGAATGCTTCTCTCTAGTTTTTATGGGAAGATATTTCCTTTTTCAACATAGGCCTCAAAGCGCTCCAAATGTCCACTTCCAGGTAGTGCAGAAAGAGTGTTTCAAACCTGCTCTATAAAAGGGAATATTCAACTCTGTGACTTGAATGCAAACATCACAAAGCACTTTCTGAGAATGCTTCCGTCTAGATTTTATATGAAGATATTCCCGTTTCCAAGGATATCTTCCTAGCTATCTAAATATCAACTTGCAGATTCTACTAAAGGAATGTTTCCAAAATGCTGTATCGAAACAAAGGCTCAACTCTGTTAATTGAGGACATACAGGACAAAGAAGTTTCTGAGAATGCTTCTGTCTAGATTTTATATGAAGATATCCCGTGTCCAACGAAATCCTCAAAGGTATCAAAATATCCACTTGCAAATTCTACAAAAAGAGTGCTTCAAAACTGCTCTGTCAAAAGTAAGGTTCAACTCTGTTACTTGAGTACACACATCACAAGGAAGATTCTGAGAATGCTTCTGTCTGGTTTTTAGGAGAAGATATTTCCTTTTTCAACATAGGCCTCAAAGCGCTGCAAATGTCCACTTCCAAATATTAGAAAAAGAGTGTTTCAAACCTGCTGTATGAAGGGAAGTGTTCAACTCTATGAGTTGAATGCAAACATCACAGAGAAGTTTCTGAGAATGCTTCTGTCTTGATTTCATATGAAGATATTCCCGTTTCCAACGAAACCTTCAAAGCTATCCAAATATCCACTTGCAGATTCTACAAAAAGAGTGTTTCCAAAATGTTGTATCAAAAGAAAGGTTCAACTCTGTTAGTTGAGGACACACATCGCAAATAAGTTTCTGAGAATGCTTCTGTCTAGTTTTTATTTGAAGATATTTCCTTTCTCACCACAGGCCTGAAAGCGCTTAAAACGTCCGCTTGCAGATACTACAGAAAGAGTGTTTCAAACCTGCTCTATGAAAGGGAATGTTCAGTTCTGTGACTTGAATGCAAACATCACAAAGAAGTTCCTGAGAGTGCTTCTCCCTAGATTTTATATGTAATCCCGTTTCCAACGAAATCCGCAAAGCTATCCAAATATCCACTTTCAGATTCCACAAAAAGAGTGTTTCAAAACTGCTCTGTAAAAAGAAAGGTTCATCTCTGTTAGTTGAATACACACATCACAAACAAGTTTCTGAGAATGCTTCTGTCTAGTTTTTATGGGAAGATATTACCTTTTTCATCATAGGCCTCAAAGCGCTGCAAAAGTCCACTTCCAAATATTACAAAAAGAGTGTTTCAAACCTGCTGTATGAAGGGAAGTGTTCAACTCTATGAGTTGAATGCAAACATCACAGAGAAGTTTCTGAGAATGCTTCTGTCTTGATTTTATATGAAGATATTCCCGTTTCCAACGAAACCTTCAAAGCTATTCAAATATCCACTTGCAGATTCTACAAAAAGAGTGTTTCCAAAATGTTGTATCAAAAGAAAGGTTCAACTCTGTTAGTTGAGGACACACATCGCAAATAAGTTTCTGAGAATGCTTCTGTCTAGTTTTTACTTGAAGATATTTCCTTTCTCACCATAGGCCTGAAAGCGTTTGAAATGTCCGTTTGCAGATACTACAGAAAGAGTGTTTCAAACATGCTCTATGAAAGGGAATGTTCAGTTCTGTGACGTGAATGCAAACATCACAAAGAAGTTCCTGAGAATGCTTCTCTCTAGATTTTATATGTAATCCCGTTTCCAACGAAATCCTCAAACCTATCCAAATATCCACTTTCAGATTCCACAAAAAGAGTGTTTCAAAACTGCTCTGTAAAAAGAAAGGTTCATCTCTGTTAGTTGAATACACACATCACAAACAAGTTTCTGAGAATGCTTCTGTCTAGTTTTTATGGGAAGATATTTCCTTTTTCAACATACGCCTCAAAGCGCTCCAAAAGTCCACTTCCAGGTAGTGCAGAAAGAGTGTCTCAAACCTGGTATATAACAGGGAACATTCTACTCTGTGACTTGAATGAAAACATCACAAAGCAGTTTCTGAGAATGCTTCCGTCTAGATTTTATGTGAAGATATTCCCGTTTCCAAGGAAATCTTCCTAGCTATCTAAATATCAACTTGCAGATTCTACTAAAGGAACGTTTCCAAAATGCTGTTTCCAAACAAAGGTTCAACTCTGTTAATTGAAGACATACAGCACAAAGAGGTTTCTGAGAATGCTTCTGTCTAGTTTTTACTTGAAGATATTTCCTTTCTCACCATAGGCCTGAAAGCGCTTGAAACGTCAGCTTGCAGATACTACAGAAAGAGTGTTTCAAACCTGCTCTATGAAAGGGAATGTTCAGTCCTGTGACTTGAAGGCAAACATCACAAAGAAGTTCCTGAGAATGCTTCTCTCTAGGTTTTATATGTAATCCCGTTTCCAACGAAATCCTCAAAGCTATCCAAATATCCACTTTCAGATTCCACAAAAAGAGTGTTTCAAAACTGCTCTGTAAAAAGAAAGGTTCATCTCTGTTAGTTGAATACACACATCACAAACAAGTTTCTGAGAATGCTTCTGTCTAGTTTTTATGGGAAGATATTACCTTTTTCATCATAGGCCTCAAAGCGCTGCAAATGTCCACTTCCAAATATTACAAAAAGAGTGTTTCAAGCCTGCTGTATGAAGGGAAGTGTTCAACTCTATGAGTTGAATGCAAACATCACAGAGAAGTTTCTGAGAATGCTTCTGTCTTGATTTTATATGAAGATATTCCCGTTTCCAACGAAACCTTCAAAGCTATTCAAATATCCACTTGCAGATTCTACAAAAAGAGTGTTTCCAAAATGTTGTATCAAAAGAAAGGTTCAACTCTGTTAGTTGAGGACACACATCGCAAATAAGTTTCTGAGAATGCTTTCTGTCTAGTTTTTATTTGAAGATATTCCCGTTTCCAACGAAACCTTCAAAGCTATTCAAATATCCACTTGCAGATTCTACAAAAAGAGTGTTTCCAAAATGTTGTATCAAAAGAAAGGTTCAACTCTGTTAGTTGAGGACACACATCGCAAATAAGTTTCTGAGAATGCTTCTGTCTAGTTTTTATTTGAAGATATTTCCTTTCTCACCATACGCCTGAAAGCGTTTGAAATGTCCGTTTGCAGATACTACAGAAAGAGTGTTTCAAACATGCTCTATGAAAGGGAATGTTCAGTTCTGTGACGTGAATGCAAACATCACAAAGAAGTTCCTGAGAATGCTTCTCTCTAGATTTTATATGTAATCCCGTTTCCAACGAAATCCTCAAAGCTATCCAAATATCCACTTTCAGATTCCACAAAAAGAGTGTTTCAAAACTGCTCTGTAAAAAGAAAGGTTCATCTCTGTTAGTTGAATACACACATCACAAACAAGTTTCTGAGAATGCTTCTGTCTAGTTTTTTGGGAAGATATTTCCTTTTTCATCATAGGCCTCAAAGCGCTCCAAATGCCCACTTCCAGGTAGTGCAGAAAGAGTGTCTCAAACCTGGTATATAACAGGGAACATTCTACTCTGTGACTTGAATGAAAACATCACAAAGCAGTTTCTGAGAATGCTTCCGTCTAGATTTTATATGAAGATATTCCCGTTTCCAACGAAACCTTCAAAGCTATCCGAATATCCACCTGCAGATTCTACAAAAAGAGTGTTTCCAAAATGCCATATCAAAACAAAGGTTCAACTCTGTTAGTTGAGAACACACATCGCAAATAAGTTTCTGAGAATGCTTCTGTCTAGTTTTTACTTGAAGATATATCCTTTCTCACCATAGGCCTGAAAGCGCTTGAAACGTCAGCTTGCAGATACTACAGAAAGAGTGTTTCAAACATGCTCTATGAAAGGGAATGTTCAGTCCTGTGACTTGAAGGCAAACATCACAAAGAAGTTCCTGAGAATGCTTCTCTCTAGGTTTTATATGTAATCCCGTTTCCAACGAAATCCTCAAAGCTATCCAAATATCCACTTTCAGATTCCACAAAAAGAGTGTTTCAAAACTGCTCTGTAAAAAGAAAGGTTCATCTCTGTTAGTTGAATACACACATCACAAACAAGTTTCTGAGAATGCTTCTGTCTAGTTTTTATGGGAAGATATTTCCTTTTTCAACATAGGCCTCAAAGCGCTCCAAATGTCCACTTCCAGGTAGTGCAGAAAGAGTGTTTCAAACCTGCTCTATAAAAGGGAACATTCAACTCTGTGACTTGAATGCAAACATCACAAAGCACTTTCTGAGAATGCTTCCGTCTAGATTTTATATGAAGATATTCCCGTTTCCAACGAAACCTTCAAAGCTATCCGAATATCCACCTGCAGATTCTACAAAAAGAGTGTTTCCAAAATGCCGTATCAAAACAAAGGTTCAACTCTGTTAATTGAGAACACACATGGCAAATAAGTTTCTGAGTATGCTTCTGTCTAGTTTTTACTTGAAGATATTTCCTTTCTCACCATAGGCCTGAAAGCGCTTGAAACGTCAGCTTGCAGATACTACAGAAAGACTGTTTCAAACCTGCTCTATGAAAGGGAATGTTCAGTTCTGTGACTTGAATGCAAACATCACAAAGAAGTTCCTGAGAATGCTTCTCTCTAGGTTTTATATGTAATCCCGTTTCCAACGAAATCCTCAAAGCTATCCAAATATCCACTTTCAGATTCCACAAAAAGAGTGTTTCAAAACTGCTCTGTAAAAAGAAAGGTTCATCTCTGTTAGTTGAATACACACATCACAAACAAGTTTCTGAGAATGCTTCTGTCTAGTTTTTATGGGAAGATATTTCCTTTTTCAACATAGACGTCAATGCGCTCCAAATGTCCACTTCCAGGTAGTGCAGAAAGAGTGTTTCAAACCTGCTCTATAAAAGGGAATATTCAACTCTGTGACTTGAATGCAAACATCACAAAGCACTTTCTGAGAATGCTTCCGTCTAGATTTTATATGAAGATATTCCCGTTTCCAAGGAAATCTTCCTAGCTATCTAAATATCAACTTGCAGATTCTACTAAAGGAATGTTTCCAAAATGCTGTATCCACACAAAGGTTCAACTCTGTTAATTGAGGACATACAGCACAAAGAAGTTTCTGAGAATGCTTCTGTCTAGATTTTATATGAAGATATCCCGTGTCTAACGAAATCCTCAAAGGTATCAAAATATCCACTTGCAGATTCTACAAAAAGAGTGCTTCAAAACTGCTCTGTCAAAATGAAGGTTCAACTCTGTTACTTGAGTACACACATCACAAGGAAGTTTCTGAGAATGCTTCTGTCTGGTTTTTAGGAGAAGATATTTCCTTTTTCAACATAGGCCTCAAAGCGCTGCAAATGTCCACTTCCAAATATTAGAAAAAGAGTGTTTCAAACCTGCTGTATGAAGGGAAGTGTTCAACTCTATGAGTTGAATGCAAACATCACAGAGAAGTTTCTGAGAATGCTTCTGTCTTGATTTCATATGAAGATATTCCCGTTTCCAACGAAACCTTCAAAGCTATCCAAATATCCACTTGCAGATTCTACAAAAAGAGTGTTTCCAAAATGTTGTATCAAAAGAAAGGTTCAACTCTGTTAGTTGAGGACACACATCGCAAATAAGTTTCTGAGAATGCTTCTGTCTAGTTTTTATTTGAAGATATTTCCTTTCTCACCACAGGCCTGAAAGCGCTTAAAACGTCCGCTTGCAGATACTACAGAAAGAGTGTTTCAAACCTGCTCTATGAAAGGGAATGTTCAGTTCTGTGACTTGAAAGCAAACATCACAAAGAAGTTCCTGAGAATGCTTCTCCCTAGATTTTATATGTAATCCCGTTTCCAACGAAATCCGCAAAGCTATCCAAATATCCACTTTCAGATTCCACAAAAAGAGTGTTTCAAAACTGCTCTGTAAAAAGAAAGGTTCATCTCTGTTAGTTGAATACACACATCACAAACAAGTTTCTGAGAATGCTTCTGTCTAGTTTTTATGGGAAGATATTTCCTTTTTCAACATAGGCCTCAAAGCGCTCCAAATGTCCACTTCCAGGTAGTGCAGAAAGAGTGTTTCAAACCTGCTCTATAAAAGGGAATATTCAACTCTGTGACTTGAATGCGAACATCACAAAGCTCTTTCTGAGAATGCTTCTGTCTTGATTTCATATGAAGATATTCCCGTTTCCAACGAAACCTTCAAAGCTTTCCAAATATCCACTTGCAGATTCTACAAAAAGAGTGTTTCCAAAATGCTGTATCAAAAGAAAGGTTCAACTCTGTTAGTTGAGGACACACATCGCAAATAAGTTTCTGAGAATGCTTCTGTCTGGTTTTTAGGAGAAGATATCTCCTTTTTCACCATAGGCTTCAAAGCGCTGCCAATGTCCACTTCCAAATATTACAAAAAGAGTATTTCAAACCAGCTCTATGAAAGGAAGTGTTCAACTCTGTGAGTTGAATGCAAACATCACAGAGAAGTTTCTGAGAATGCTTCTCCCTAGATTTTATATGTAATCCCGTTTCCAACGAAATCCGCAAAGCTATCCAAATATCCACTTTCAGATTCCACAAAAAGAGTGTTTCAAAACTGCTCTGTAAAAAGAAAGGTTCATCTCTGTTAGTTGAATACACACATCACAAACAAGTTTCTGAGAATGCTTCTGTCTAGTTTTTATGGGAAGATATTACCTTTTTCATCATAGGCCTCAAAGCGCTGCAAATGTCCACTTCCAAATATTACAAAAAGAGTGTTTCAAACCTGCTGTATGAAGGGAAGTGTTCAACTCTATGAGTTGAATGCAAACATCACAGAGAAGTTTCTGAGAATGCTTCTGTCTTGATTTTATATGAAGATATTCCCGTTTCCAACGAAATCTTCAAAGCTATCCAAATATCCACTTGCAGATTCCACAAAAAGAGTGTTTCCAAAATGTTGTATCAAAAGAAAGGTTCAACTCTGTTAGTTGAGGACACACATCGCAAATAAGTTTCTGAGAATGCTTCTGTCTAGTTTTTATTTGAAGATATTTCCTTTCTCACCATAGGCCTGAAAGCGTTTGAAATGTCCGTTTGCAGATACTACAGAAAGAGTGTTTCAAACATGCTCTATGAAAGGGAATGTTCAGTTCTGTGACGTGAATGCAAACATCACAAAGAAGTTCCTGAGAATGCTTCTCTCTAGATTTTATATGTAATCCCGTTTCCAACGAAATCCTCAAAGCTATCCAAATATCCACTTTCAGATTCCACAAAAAGAGTGTTTCAAAACTGCTCTGTAAAAAGAAAGGTTCATCTCTGTTAGTTGAATACACACATCACAAACAAGTTTCTGAGAATGCTTCTGTCTAGTTTTTATGGGAAGATATTTCCTTTTTCATCATAGGCCTCAAAGCGCTGCAAATGTCCACTTCCAGGTAGTGCAGAAAGAGTGTCTCAAACCTGGTATATAACAGGGAACATTCTACTCTGTGACTTGAATGAAAACATCACAAAGCAGTTTCTGAGAATGCTTCCGTCTAGATTTTATATGAAGATATTCCCGTTTCCAAGGAACTCTTCCTAGCTATCTAAATATCAACTTGCAGATTCTACTAAAGGAATGTTTCCAAAATGCTGTATCCACACAAAGGTTCAACTCTGTTAATTGAGGACATACAGCACAAAGAAGTTTCTGAGAATGCTTCCGTCAAGGTTTTATATGAAGATATTCCCGTTTCCAACGAAACCTTCAAAGCTATCCGAATATCCACCTGCAGATTCTACAAAAAGAGTGTTTCCAAAATGCCGTATCAAAACAAAGGTTCAACTCTGTTAGTTGAGAACACACATGGCAAATAAGTTTCTGAGAATGCTTCTGTCTAGTTTTTACTTGAAGATATTTCCTTTCTCACCATAGGCCTGAAAGCGCTTGAAACGTCAGCTTGCAGATACTACAGAAAGAGTGTTTCAAACCTGCTCTATGAAAGGGAATGTTCAGTCCTGTGACTTGAAGGCAAACATCACAAAGAAGTTCCTGAGAATGCTTCTCTCTAGGTTTTATATGTAATCCCGTTTCCAACGAAATCCTCAAAGCTATCCAAATATCCACTTTCAGATTCCACAAAAAGAGTGTTTCAAAACTGCTCTGTAAAAAGAAAGGTTCATCTCTGTTAGTTGAATACACACATCACAAACAAGTTTCTGAGAATGCTTCTGTCCAGTTTTTATGGGAACATATTTCCTGTTTCAACATAGGCCTCAAAGCGCTCCAAATGTCCACTTCCAGGTAGTGCAGAAAGAGTGTTTCAAACCTGCTCTATAAAAGGGAATATTCAACTCTGTGACTTGAATGCAAACATCACAAAGCACTTTCTGAGAATGCTTCCGTCTAGATTTTATATGAAGATATTCCCGTTTCCAAGGAAATCTTCCTAGCTATCTAAATATCAACTTGCAGATTCTACTAAAGGAATGTTTCCAAAATGCTGTATCCACACAAAGGTTCAACTCTGTTAATTGAGGACATACAGCACAAAGAAGTTTCTGAGAATGCTTCTGTCTAGATGTTATATGAAGATATCCCGTGTCCAACGAAATCCTCAAAGGTATCAAAATATCCCCTTGCAGATTCTACAAAAAGAGTGCTTAAAAACTGCTCTGTCAAAAGGAAGGTTCAACTCTGTTACTTGAGTACACACATCACAAGGAAGTTTCTGAGAATGCTTCTGTCTGGTTTTTAGGAGAAGATATTTCCTTTTTCAACATAGGCCTCAAAGCGCTGCAAATGTCCACTTCCAAATATTAGAAAAAGAGTGTTTCAAACCTGCTGTATGAAGGGAAGTGTTCAACTCTATGAGTTGAATGCAAACATCACAGAGAAGTTTCTGAGAATGCTTCTGTCTTGATTTCATATGAAGATATTCCCGTTTCCAACGAAACCTTCAAAGCTATCCAAATATCCACTTGCAGATTCTACAAAAAGAGTGTTTCCAAAATGTTGTATCAAAAGAAAGGTTCAACTCTGTTAGTTGAGGACACACATCGCAAATAAGTTTCTGAGAATGCTTCTGTCTAGTTTTTCTTGAAGATATTTCCTTTCTCACCATAGGCATGAAAGCGCTTGAAACGTCAGCTTGCAGATACTACAGAAAGACTGTTTCAAACCTGCTCTATGAAAGCGAATGTTCAGTTCTGTGACTTGAATGCAAACATCACAAAGAAGTTCCTGAGAATGCTTCTCCCTAGATTTTATATGTAATCCCGTTTCCAACGAAATTTTCAAAGCTGTCCAAATATCCACTTTCAGATTCCACAAAAAGAGTGTTTCAAAACTGCTCTGTAAAAAGAAAGGTTCATCTCTGTTAGTTGAATATACACATCACAAATAAGTTTCTGAGAATGCTTCTGTCTAGTTTTTATGGGAAGATATTTCCTTTTTCATCATAGGCCTCAAAGCGCTGCAAATGTCCACTTCCAAATATTACAAAAAGAGTGTTTCAAACCTGCTGTATGAAGGGAAGTGTTCAACTCTATGAGTTGAATGCAAACATCACAGAGAAGTTTCTGAGAATGCTTCTGTCTTGATTTTATATGAAGATATTCCCGTTTCCAACGAAACCTTCAAAGCTATCCAAATATCCACTTGCAGATTCTACAAAAAGAGTGTTTCCAAAATGTTGTATCAAAAGAAAGGTTCAACTCTGTTAGTTGAGGACACACATCGCAAATAAGTTTCTGAGAATGCTTCTGTCTAGTTTTTATTTGAAGATATTTCCTTTCTCACCATAGGCCTGAAAGCGTTTGAAATGTCCGTTTGCAGATACTACAGAAAGAGTGTTTCAAACATGCTCTATGAAAGGGAATGTTCAGTTCTGTGACGTGAATGCAAACATCACAAAGAAGTTCCTGAGAATGCTTCTCTCTAGATTTTATATGTAATCCAGTTTCCAACGAAATCCTCAAAGCTATCCAAATATCCACTTTCAGATTCCACAAAAAGAGTGTTTCAAAACTGCTCTGTAAAAAGAAAGGTTCATCTCTGTTAGTTGAATACACACATCACAAACAAGTTTCTGAGAATGCTTCTGTCTAGTTTTTATGGGAAGATATTTCCTTTTTCAACATAGGCCTCAAAGCGCTCCAAACGTCCACTTCCAGGTAGTGCAGAAAGAGTGTCTCAAACCTGGTATATAACAGGGAACATTCTACTCTGTGACTTGAATGAAAACATCACAAAGCAGTTTCTGAGAATGCTTCCGTCTACATTTTATATGAAGATATTCCCGTTTCCAAGGAAATCTTCCTAGCTATCTAAATATCAACTTGCAGATTCTACTAAAGGAATGTTTCCAAAATGCTGTATCCACACAAAGGTTCAACTCTGTTTATTGAGGACATACAGCACAAAGAAGTTTCTGAGAATTCTTCTGTCTAGATTTTATATGAAGATATCCCGTTTCCAAAGAAATCCTCAAAGGTATCCAAATATCTACTTCCAGATTCTACAAAAAGACTGTTTCAAAACTGCTCTGTCAAAAGTAAGGTTCAACTCTGTTACTTGAGTACACACATCACAAGGAAGTTTCTGAGAATGCTTCTCTCTAGGTTTTATATGTAATCCCGTTTCCAACGAAATCCTCAAAGCTATCCAAATATCCACTTTCAGATTCCAGAAAAAGAGTGTTTCAAAACTGCTCTTTAAAAAGAAAGGTTCATCTCTGTTAGTTGAATACACACATCACAAACAAGTTTCTGAGAATGCTTCTGTCTAGTTTTTATGGGAAGATATTTCCTTTTTCTACATAGGCCTCAAAGCGCTCCAAATGTCCACTTCCAGGTAGTGCAGAAAGAGTGTTTCAAACCTGCTCTATAAAAGGGAATATTCAACTCTGTGACTTGAATGCAAACATCACAAAGCACTTTCTGAGAATGCTTCCGTCTAGATTTTATATGAAGATATTCCCGTTTCCAAGGAAATCTTCCTAGCTATCTAAATATCAACTTGCAGATTCTACTAAAGGAATGTTTCCAAAATGCTGTATCCACACAAAGGTTCAACTCTGTTAATTGAGGACATACAGCACAAAGAAGTTTCTGAGAATGCTTCTGTCTAGATTTTATATGAAGATATCCCGTGTCCAACGAAATCCTCAAAGGTATCAAAATATCCACTTGCAGATTCTACAAAAAGAGTGCTTCAAAACTGCTCTGTCAAAAGGAAGGTTCAACTCTGTTACTTGAGTACACACATCACAAGGAAGTTTCTGAGAATGCTTCTGTCTGGTTTTTAGGAGAAGATATTTCCTTTTTCAACATAGGCCTCAAAGCGCTGCAAATGTCCACTTCCAAATATTAGAAAAAGAGTGTTTCAAACCTGCTGTATGAAGGGAAGTGTTCAACTCTATGAGTTGAATGCAAACATCACAGAGAAGTTTCTGAGAATGCTTCTGTCTTGATTTTATATGAAGATATTCCCGTTTCCAACGAAACCTACAAAGCTATCCAAATATCCACTTGCAGATTCTACAAAAAGAGTGTTTCCAAAATGCTGTATCCAAACAAAGGTTCAACTCTTTTAGTTGAGAACACACATCGCAAGTAAGTTTCTGAGAATGCTTCTGTCTAGTTTTTATTTGAAGATATTTCCTTTTTCACCACAGGCCTGAAAGCGCTTCAAACGTCCGCTTGCAGATACTACAGAAAGAGTGTTTCAAACCTGCTCTATGAAAGGGAATGTTCAGTTCTGTGACTTGAATGCAAACATCACAAAGAAGTTCCTGAGAATGCTTCTCCCTAGATTTTATATGTAATCCCGTTTCCAACAAAATCCTCAAAGCTATCCAAATATCCACTTTCAGATTCCACAAAAAGAGTGTTTCAAAACTGCTCTGTAAAAAGAAAGGTTCATCTCTGTTAGTTGAATACACACATCACAAACAAGTTTCTGAGAATGCTTCTGTCTAGTTTTTATGGGAAGATATTTCCTTTTTCATCATAGGCCTCAAAGCGCTGCAAATGTCCACTTCCAAATATTACAAAAAGAGTGTTTCAAACCTGCTGTATGAAGGGAAGTGTTCAACTCTATGAGTTGAATGCAAACATCACAGAGAAGTTTCTGAGAATGCTTCTGTCTTGATTTTATATGAAGATATTCCCGTTTCCAACGAAACCTTCAAAGCTATTCAAATATCCACTTGCAGATTCTACAAAAAGAGTGTTTCCAAAATGTTGTATCAAAAGAAAGGTTCAACTCTGTTAGTTGAGGACACACATCGCAAATAAGTTTCTGAGAATGCTTCTGTCTAGTTTTTATTTGAAGATATTTCCTTTCTCACCATAGGCCTGAAAGCGTTTGAAATGTCCGTTTGCAGATACTACAGAAAGAGTGTTTCAAACATGCTCTATGAAAGGGAATGTTCAGTTCTGTGACGTGAATGCAAACATCACAAAGAAGTTCCTGAGAATGCTTCTCTCTAGATTTTATATGTAATCCCGTTTCCAACGAAATCCTCAAAGCTATCCAAATATCCACTTTCAGATTCCACAAAAAGAGTGTTTCAAAACTGCTCTGTAAAAAGAAAGGTTCATCTCTGTTAGTTGAATACACACATCACAAACAAGTTTCTGAGAATGCTTCTGTCTAGTTTTTATGGGAAGATATTTCCTTTTTCATCATAGGCCTCAAAGCGCTGCAAATGTCCACTTCCAGGTAGTGCAGAAAGAGTGTCTGAAACCTGGTATATAACAGGGAAGATTCTACTCTGTGACTTGAATGAAAACATCACAAAGCAGTTTCTGAGAATGCTTTCGTCTAGATTTTATATGAAGATATTCCCGTTTCCAACGAAACCTTCAAAGCTATCCGAATATCCACCTGCAGATTCTACAAAAAGAGTGTTTCCAAAATGCCGTATCAAAACAAAGGTTCAACTCTGTTAGTTGAGAACACACATGGCAAATAAGTTTCTGAGAATGCTTCTGTCTAGTTTTTACTTGAAGATATTTCCTTTCTCACCATAGGCCTGAAAGCGCTTGAAACGTCAGCTTGCAGATACTACAGAAAGAGTGTTTCAAACCTGCTCTATGAAAGGGAATGTTCAGTCCTGTGACTTGAAGGCAAACATCACAAAGAAGTTCCTGAGAATGCTTCTCTCTAGGTTTTATATGTAATCCCGTTTCCAACGAAATCCTCAAAGCTATCCAAATATCCACTTTCAGATTCCACAAAAAGAGTGTTTCAAAACTGCTCTGTAAAAAGAAAGGTTCATCTCTGTTAGTTGAATACACACATCACAAACAAGTTTCTGAGAATGCTTCTGTCTAGTTTTTATGGGAAGATATTTCCTTTTTCAACATAGGCCTCAAAGCGCTCCAAATGTCCACTTCCAGGTAGTGCAGAAAGAGTGTTTCAAACCTGCTCTATAAAAGGGAATATTCAACTCTGTGACTTGAATGCAAACATCACAAAGCACTTTCTGAGAATGCTTCCGTCTAGATTTTATATGAAGATATTCCCGTTTCCAAGGAAATCTTCCTAGCTATCTAAATATCAACTTGCAGATTCTACTAAAGGAATGTTTCCAAAATGCTGTATCCACACAAAGGTTCAACTCTGTTAATTGAGGTCATACAGCACAAAGAAGTTTCTGAGAATGCTTCTGTCTAGATTTTATATGAAGATATCCCGTGTCCAACGAAATCCTCAAAGGTATCAAAATATCCACTTGCAGATTCTACAAAAAGAGTGCTTCAAAACTGCTCTGTCAAAAGGAAGGTTCAACTCTGTTACTTGAGTACACACATCACAAGGAAGTTTCTGAGAATGCTTCTGTCTGGTTTTTAGGAGAAGATATTTCCTTTTTCAACATAGGCCTCAAAGCGCTGCAAATGTCCACTTCCAAATATTACAAAAAGAGTGTTTCAAACCTGCTGTATGAAGGGAAGTGTTCAACTCTATGAGTTGAATGCAAACATCACAGAGAAGTTTCTGAGAATGCTTCTGTCTTGATTTTATATGAAGATATTCCCGTTTCCAACGAAACCTTCAAAGCTATCCAAATATCCACTTGCAGATTCTACAAAAAGAGTGTTTCCAAAATGCTGTATCCAAACAAAGGTTCAACTCTTTTAGTTGAGAACACACATCGCAAATAAGTTTCTGAGAATGCTTCTGTCTAGTTTTTATTTGAAGATATTTCCTTTCTCACCACAGGCCTGAAAGCGCTTAAAACGTCCGCTTGCAGATACTACAGAAAGAGTGTTTCAAACATGCTCTATGAAAGGGAATGTTCAGTTCTGTGACTTGAATGCAAACATCACAAAGAAGTTCCTGAGAATGCTTCTCTCTAGATTTTATATGTAATCCCGTTTCCAACGAAATCCTCAAAGCTATCCAAATATCCACTTTCAGATTCCACAAAAAGAGTGTTTCAAAACTGCTCTGTAAAAAGAAAGGTTCATCTCTGTTAGTTGAATACACACATCACAAACAAGTTTCTGAGAATGCTTCTGTCTGGTTTTTAGGAGAAGATATTTCCTTTTTCAACATAGGCCTCAAAGCGCTGCAAATGTCCACTTCCAAATATTACAAAAAGAGTGTTTCAAACCTGCTGTATGAAGGGAAGTGTTCAACTCTATGAGTTGAATGCAAACATCACAGAGAAGTTTCTGAGAATGCTTCCGTCTAGATTTTATATGAAGTTATTCCCGTTTCCAAGGAAATCTTCCTAGCTATCTAAATATCAACTTGCAGATTCTACTAAAGGAATGTTTCCAAAATGCTGTATCCACACAAAGGTTCAACTCTGTTAATTGAGGACATACAGCACAAAGAAGTTTCTGAGAATGCTTCTGTCTACTTTTTATTTGAAGATATTTCCTTTTTCACCACAGGCCTGAAAGCGCTTGAAACGTCCGCTTGTAGATACTACAGAAAGAGTGTTTCAAACCTGCTCTATGAAAGGGAATGTTCAGTTCTGTGACTTGAATGCAAACATCACAAAAAACTTCCTGAGAATGCTTCTGTCTAGATTTTATATGAAGATATCCCGTGTCCAACGAAATCCTCAAAGGTATCAAAATATCCACTTGCAGATTCTACAAAAAGAGTGCTTCAAAACTGCTCTGTCAAAAGGAAGGTTCAACTCTGTTACTTGAGTACACACATCAGAAGGAAGTTTCTGAGAATGCTTCTGTCTGGTTTTTAGGAGAAGATATTTCCTTTTTCAACATAGGCCTCAAAGCGCTGCAAATGTCCACTTCCAAATATTAGAAAAAGAGTGTTTCAAACCTGCTGTATGAAGGGAAGTGTTCAACTCTATGAGTTGAATGCAAACATCACAGAGAAGTTTCTGAGAATGCTTCTGTCTTGATTTCATATGAAGATATTCCCGTTTCCAACGAAACCTTCAAAGCTATCCAAATATCCACTTGCAGATTCTACAAAAAGAGTGTTTCCAAAATGTTGTATCAAAAGAAAGGTTCAACTCTGTTAGTTGAGGACACACATCGCAAATAAGTTTCTGAGAATGCTTCTGTCTAGTTTTTATTTGAAGATATTTCTTTTCTCACCACAGGCCTGAAAGCGCTTAAAACGTCCGCTTGCAGATACTACAGAAAGAGTGTTTCAAACCTGCTCTATGAAAGGGAATGTTCAGTTCTGTGACTTGAATGCAAACATCACAAAGAAGTTCCTGAGAATGCTCTCCCTAGATTTTATATGTAATCCCGTTTCCAACGAAATCCGCAAAGCTATCCAAATATCCACTTTCAGATTCCACAAAAAGAGTGTTTCAAAACTGCTCTGTAAAAAGAAAGGTTCATCTCTGTTAGTTGAATACACACGTCACAAACAAGTTTCTGAGAATGCTTTCTGTCTAGTTTTTATGGGAAGATATTACCTTTTTCATCATAGGCCTCAAAGCGCTGCAAATGTCCACTTCCAAATATTACAAAAAGAGTGTTTCAAACCTGCTGTATGAAGGGAAGTGTTCAACTCTATGAGTTGAATGCAAACATCACAGAGAAGTTTCTGAGAATGCTTCTGTCTTGATTTTATATGAAGATATTCCCGTTTCCAACGAAACCTTCAAAGCTATCCAAATATCCACTTGCAGATTCTACAAAAAGAGTGGTTCCAAAATGTTGTATCAAAAGAAAGGTTCAACTCTGTTAGTTGAGGACACACATCGCAAATAAGTTTCTGAGAATGCTTCTGTCTAGTTTTTATTTGAAGATATTTCCTTTCTCAACATAGGCCTGAAAGCGTTTGAAATGTCCGTTTGCAGATACTACAGAAAGAGTGTTTCAAACATGCTCTATGAAAGGGAATGTTCAGTTCTGTGACGTGAATGCAAACATCACAAAGAAGTTCCTGAGAATGCTTCTCTCTAGATTTTATATGTAATCCCGTTTCCAACGAAATCCTCAAAGCTATCCAAATATCCACTTTCAGATTCCACAAAAAGAGTGTTTCAAAACTGCTCTGTAAAAAGAAAGGTTCATCTCTGTTAGTTGAATACACACATCACAAACAAGTTTCTGAGAATGCTTCTGTCTAGTTTTTATGGGAAGATATTTCCTTTTTCAACATAGGCCTCAAAGCGCTCCAAACGTCCACTTCCAGGTAGTGCAGAAAGAGTGTCTCAAACCTGGTATATAACAGGGAACATTCTACTCTGTGACTTGAATGAAAACATCACAAAGCAGTTTCTGAGAATGCTTCCGTCTAGATTTTATATGAAGATATTCCCGTTTCCAACGAAACCTTCAAAGCTATCCGAATATCCACCTGCAGATTCTACAAAAAGAGTGTTTCCAAAATGCCATATCAAAACAAAGGTTCAACTCTGTTAGTTGAGAACACACATCGCAAATAAGTTTCTGAGAATGCTTCTGTCTAGTTTTTACTTGAAGAAATTTCCTTTCTCACCATAGGCCTGAAAGCGCTTGAAACGTCAGCTTGCAGATACTACAGAAAGAATGTTTCAAACCTGCTCTATGAAAGGGAATGTTCAGTTCTGTGACTTGAATGCAAACATCGCAAAGAAGTTCCTGAGAATGCTTCTCTCTAGGTTTTATATGTAATCCCGTTTCCAACGAAATCCGCAAAGCTATCCAAATATCCACTTTCAGATTCCACAAAAAGAGTGTTTCAAAACTGCTCTGTAAAAAGAAAGGTTCATCTCTGTTAGTTGAATACACACATCACAAACAAGTTTCTGAGAATGCTTCTGTCTAGTTTTTATGGGAAGATATTACCTTTTTCATCATAGGCCTCAAAGCGCTGCAAATGTCCACTTCCAAATATTACAAAAAGAGTGTTTCAAACCTGCTGTATGAAGGGAAGTGTTCAACTCTATGAGTTGAATGCAAACATCACAGAGAAGTTTCTGAGAATGCTTCTGTCTTGATTTTATATGAAGATATTCCCGTTTCCAACGAAACCTTCAAAGCTATTCAAATATCCACTTGCAGATTCTACAAAAAGAGTGTTTCCAAAATGTTGTATCAAAAGAAAGGTTCAACTCTGTTAGTTGAGGACACACATCGCAAATAAGTTTCTGAGAATGCTTCTGTCTAGTTTTTACTTGAAGATATTTCCTTTCTCACCATAGGCCTGAAAGCGTTTGAAATGTCCGTTTGCAGATACTACAGAAAGAGTGTTTCAAACATGCTCTATGAAAGGGAATGTTCAGTTCTGTGACGTGAATGCAAACATCACAAAGAAGTTCCTGAGAATGCTTCTCTCTAGATTTTATATGTAATCCCGTTTCCAACGAAATCCTCAAAGCTATCCAAATATCCACTTTCAGATTCCACAAAAAGAGTGTTTCAAAACTGCTCTGTAAAAAGAAAGGTTCATCTCTGTTAGTTGAATACACACATCACAAACAAGTTTCTGAGAATGCTTCTGTCTAGTTTTTATGGGAAGATATTTCCTTTTTCATCATAGGCCTCAAAGCGCTGCAAATGTCCACTTCCAGGTAGTGCAGAAAGAGTGCCTGAAACCTGGTATATAACAGGGAAGATTCTACTCTGTGACTTGAATGAAAACATCACAAAGCAGTTTCTGAGAATGCTTCCGTCAATATTTTATATGAAGATATTCCCGTTTCCAACGAAATCTTCAAAGCTATCCGAATATCCACCTGCAGATTCTACAAAAAGAGTGTTTCCAAAATGCCGTATCAAAACAAAGGTTCAACTCTGTTAGTTGAGAACACACATGGCAAATAAGTTTCTGAGAATGCTTCTGTCTAGTTTTTACTTGAAGATATTTCCTTTCTCACCATAGGCCTGAAAGCGCTTGAAACGTCAGCTTGCAGATACTACAGAAAGAGTGTTTCAAACCTGCTCTATGAAAGGGAATGTTCAGTCCTGTGACTTGAAGGCAAACATCACAAAGAAGTTCCTGAGAATGCTTCTCTCTAGGTTTTATATGTAATCCCGTTTCCAACGAAATCCTCAAAGCTATCCAAATATCCACTTTCAGATTCCACAAAAAGAGTGTTTCAAAACTGCTCTGTAAAAAGAAAGGTTCATCTCTGTTAGTTGAATACACACATCACAAACAAGTTTCTGAGAATGCTCTGTCTAGTTTTTATGGGAAGATATTTCGTTTTTCAACATAGGCCTCAAAGCGCTCCAAATGTCCACTTCCAGGTAGTGCAGAAAGAGTGTTTCAAACCTGCTCTATAAAAGGGAATATTCAACTCTGTGACTTGAATGCAAACATCACAAAGCACTTCCTGAGAATGCTTCCGTCTAGATTTTATATGAAGATATTCCCGTTTCCAAGGAAATCTTCCTAGCTATCTAAATATCAACTTGCAGATTCTACTAAAGGAATGTTTCCAAAATGCTGTATCCACACAAAGGTTCAACTCTGTTAATTGAGGACATACAGCACAAAGAAGTTTCTGAGAATGCTTCTGTCTAGATTTTATATGAAGATATCCCGTGTCCAAAGAAATCCTCAAAGGTATCAAAATATCCACTTGCAGATTCTACAAAAAGAGTGCTTCAAAACTGCTCTGTCAAAAGGAAGGTTCAACTCTGTTACTTGAGTACACACATCACAAGGAAGTTTCTGAGAATGCTTCTGTCTGGTTTTTAGGAGAAGATATTTCCTTTTTCAACATAGGCCTCAAAGCGCTGCAAATGTCCACTTCCAAATATTAGAAAAAGAGTGTTTCAAACCTGCTGTATGAAGGGAAGTGTTCAACTCTATGAGTTGAATGCAAACATCACAGAGAAGTTTCTGAGAATGCTTCTGTCTTGATTTCATATGAAGATATTCCCGTTTCCAACGAAACCTTCAAAGCTATCCAAATATCCACTTGCAGATTCTACAAAAAGAGTGTTTCCAAAATGTTGTATCAAAAGAAAGGTTCAACTCTGTTAGTTGAGGACACACATCGCAAATAAGTTTCTGAGAATGCTTCTGTCTAGTTTTTATTTGAAGATATTTCCTTTCTCACCACAGGCCTGAAAGCGCTTAAAACGTCCGCTTGCAGATACTACAGAAAGAGTGTTTCAAACCTGCTCTATGAAAGGGAATGTTCAGTTTTGTGACTTGAATGCAAACATCACAAAGAAGTTCCTGAGAATGCTTCTCCCTAGATTTTATATGTAATCCCGTTTCCAACGAAATCCGCAAAGCTATCCAAATATCCACTTTCAGATTCCACAAAAAGAGTGTTTCAAAACTGCTCTGTAAAAAGAAAGGTTCATCTCTGTTAGTTGAATACACACATCACAAACAAGTTTCTGAGAATGCTTCTGTCTAGTTTTTATGGGAAGATATTTCCTTTTTCAACATAGGCCTCAAAGCGCTCCAAACGTCCACTTCCAGGTAGTGCAGAAAGAGTGTCTCAAACCTGGTATATAACAGGGAACATTGTACTCTGTGACTTGAATGAAAACATCACAAAGCAGTTTCTGAGAATGCTTCCGTCTAGATTTTATATGAAGATATTCCCGTTTCCAAGGAAATCTTCCTAGCTATCTAAAGATCAACTTGCAGATTCTACTAAAGGAGTGTTTCCAAAATGCTGTATCCACACAAAGGTTCAACTCTGTTAATTGAGGACATACAGCACAAAGAAGTTTCTGAGAATGCTTCTGTCTAGTTTTTACTTGAAGATATTTCCTTTCTCACCATAGGCCTGAAAGCGCTTGAAACGTCAGCTTGCAGATACTACAGAAAGAGTGTTTCAAACCTGCTCTATGAAAGGGAATGTTCAGTCCTGTGACTTGAAGGCAAACATCACAAAGAAGTTCCTGAGAATGCTTCTCTCTAGGTTTTATATGTAATCCCGTTTCCAACGAAATCCTCAAAGCTATCCAAATATCCACTTTCAGATTCCACAAAAAGAGTGTTTCAAAACTGCTCTGTAAAAAGAAAGGTTCATGCTCTGTTAGTTGAATACACACATCACAAACAAGTTTCTGAGAATGCTTCTGTCTAGTTTTTATGGGAAGATATTTCCTTTTTCAACATAGGCCTCAAAGCGCTCCAAACGTCCAATTCCAGGTAGTGCAGAAAGAGTGTCTCAAACCTGGTATATAACAGGGAACATTCTACTCTGTGACTTGAATGAAAACATCACAAAGCAGTTTCTGAGAATGCTTCCGTCTAGATTTTATATGAAGATATTCCCGTTTCCAACGAAACCTTCAAAGCTATCCGAATATCCACCTGCAGATTCTACAAAAAGAGTGTTTCCAAAATGCCATATCAAAACAAAGGTTCAACTCTGTTAGTTGAGAACACACATCGCAAATAAGTTTCTGAGAATGCTTCTGTCTAGTTTTTACTTGAAGATATTTCCTTTGTCACCATAGGCCTGAAAGCGCTTGAAACGTCAGCTTGCAGATACTACAGAAAGAGTGTTTCAAACCTGCTCTATGAAAGGGAATGTTCAGTCCTGTGACTTGAAGGCAAACATCACAAAGAAGTTCCTGAGAATGCTTCTCTCTAGGTTTTATATGTAATCCCGTTTCCAACGAAATCCTCAGAGCTATCCAAATATCCACTTTCAGATTCCACAAAAAGAGTGTTTCAAAACTGCTCTGTAAAAAGAAAGGTTCATCTCTGTTAGTTGAATACACACATCACAAACAAGTTTCTGAGAATGCTTCTGTCTAGTTTTTATGGGAAGATATTTCCTTTTTCAACATAGGTCTCAAAGCGCTCCAAATGTCCACTTCCAGGTAGTGCAGAAAGAGTGTTTCAAACCTGCTCTATAAAAGGGAACATTCTACTCTGTGACTTGAATGAAGACATCACAAAGCACTTTCTGAGAATGCTTCCGTCTAGATTTTATATGAAGATATTCCCGTTTCCAAGGAAATCTTCCTAGCTATCTAAATATCAACTTGCAGATTCTACTAAAGGAATGTTTCCAAAATGCTGTATCCACACAAAGGTTCAACTCTGTTAATTGAGGACATACAGCACAAAGAAGTTTCTGAGAATGCTTCTGTCTAGATTTTATATGAAGATATCCCGTGTCCAACGAAATCCTCAAAGGTATCAAAATATCCGCTTGCAGATTCTACAAAAAGAGTGCTTCAAAACTGCTCTGTCAAAAGGAAGGTTCAACTCTGTTACTTGAGTACACACATCACAAGGAAGTTTCTGAGAATGCTTCTGTCTGGTTTTTAGGAGAAGATATTTCCTTTTTCAACTTAGGCCTCAAAGCGCTGCAAATGTCCACTTCCAAATATTAGAAAAAGAGTGTTTCAAACCTGCTGTATGAAAGGAAGTGTTCAACTCTATGAGTTGAATGCAAACATCACAGGGAAGTTTCTGAGAATGCTTCTGTCTTGATTTCATATGAAGATATTCCCGTTTCCAACGAAACCTTCAAAGCTATCCAAATATCCACTTGCAGATTCTACAAAAAGAGTGTTTCCAAAATGTTGTATCAAAAGAAAGGTTCAACTCTGTTAGTTGAGGACACACATCGCAAATAAGTTTCTGAGAATGCTTCTGTCTAGTTTTTATTTGAAGATATTTCCTTTCTCACCACAGGCCTGAAAGCGCTTAAAACGTCCGCTTGCAGATACTACAGAAAGAGTGTTTCAAACCTGCTCTATGAAAGGGAACGTTCAGTTCTGTGACTTGAATGCAAACATCACAAAGAAGTTCCTGAGAATGCTTCTCCCTAGATTTTATATGTAATCCCGTTTCCAACGAAATCCGCAAAGCTATCCAAATATCCACTTTCAGATTCCACAAAAAGAGTGTTTCAAAACTGCTCTGTAAAAAGAAAGGTTCATCTCTGTTAGTTGAATACACACATCACAAACAAGTTTCTGAGAATGCTTCTGTCTAGTTTTTATGGGAAGATATTACCTTTTTCATCATAGGCCTCAAAGCGCTGCAAATGTCCACTTCCAAATATTACAAAAAGAGTGTTTCAAACCTGCTGCATGAAGGGAAGTGTTCAACTCTATGAGTTGAATGCAAACATCACAGAGAAGTTTCTGAGAATGCGTTCTGTCTTGATTTTATATGAAGATATTCCCGTTTCCAACGAAACCTTCAAAGCTATCCAAATATCCACTTGCAGATTCTACAAAAAGAGTGTTTCCAAAATGTTGTATCAAAAGAAAGGTTCAACTCTGTTACTTGAGGACACACATCGCAAATAAGTTTCTGAGAATGCTGCTGTCTAGTTTTTATTTGAAGATATTTCCTTTCTCACCATAGGCCTGAAAGCATTTGAAATGTCCGTTTGCAGATACTACAGAAAGAGTGTTTCAAACATGCTCTATGAAAGGGAATGTTCAGTTCTGTGACGTGAATGCAAACATCACAAAGAAGTTCCTGAGAATGCTTCTCTCTAGATTTTATATGTAATCCCGTTTCCAACGAAATCCTCAAAGCTATCCAAATATCCACTTTCAGATTCCACAAAAAGAGTGTTTCAAAACTGCTCTGTAAAAAGAAAGGTTCATCTCTGTTAGTTGAATACACACATCACAAACAAGTTTCTGAGAATGCTTCTGTCTAGTTTTTATGGGAAGATATTTCCTTTTTCATCATAGGCCTCAAAGCGCTCCAAATGTCCACTTCCAGGTAGTGCAGAAAGAGTGTCTCAAACCTGGTATATAACAGGGAACATTCTACTCTGTGACTTGAATGAAAACATCACAAAGCAGTTTCTGAGAATGCTTCCGTCTAGATTTTATATGAAGATATTCCCGTTTCCAACGAAACCTTCAAAGCTATCCGAATATCCACCTGCAGATTCTACAAAAAGAGTGTTTCCAAAATGCCATATCAAAACAAAGGTTCAACTCTGTTAGTTGAGAACACACATCGCAAATAAGTTTCTGAGAATGCTTCTGTCTAGTTTTTACTTGAAGATATTTCCTTTCTCACCATAGGCCTGAAAGCGCTTGAAACGTCAGCTTGCAGATACTACAGAGTGTTTCAAACCTGCTCTATGAAAGGGAATGTTCAGTTCTGTGACTTGAATGCAAACATCACAAAGAAGTTCCTGAGAATGCTTCTCTCTAGGTTTTATATGTAATCCCGTTTCCAACAAAATCCTCAAAGCTATCCAAATATCCACTTTCAGAATCCACAAAAAGAGTGTTTCAAAACTGCTCTGTAAAAAGAAAGGTTCATCTCTGTTAGTTGAATACACACATCACAAACAAATTTCTGAGAATGCTTCTGTCTAGTTTTTATGGGAAGATATTTCCTTTTTCAACATAGGCCTCAAAGCGCTCCAAATGTCCACTTCCAGGTAGTGCAGAAAGAGTGTTTCAAACCTGCTCTATAAAAGGGAATATTCAACTCTGTGACTTGAATGCAAACATCACAAAGCACTTTCTGAGAATGCTTCCGTCTAGATTTTATATGAAGATATTCCCGTTTGCAAGGAAATCTTCCTAGCTATCTAAATATGAACTTGCAGATTCTACTAAAGGAATGTTTCCAAAATGCCGTATCGAAACAAAGGTTCAACTCTGTTAATTGAGGACACACAGCACAAAGAAGTTTCTGAGAATGCTTCTGTCTAGATTTTATATGAATATATCCCGTGTCCAACGAAATCCTCAAAGGTATCAAAATATCCACTTGCAGATTCTACAAAAAGAGTGCTTCAAAACTGCTCTGGCAAATGAAGGTTCAACTCTGTTACTTGAGTACACACATCAGAAGGAAGTTTCTGAGAATGCTTCTGTCTGGTTTTTAGGAGAAGATATTTCCTTTTTCAACATAGGCCTCAAAGCGCTGCAAATGTCCACTTCCAAATATTACAAAAAGAGTGTTTCAAACCTGCTGTATGAAGGGAAGTGTTCAACTCTATGAGTTGAATGCAAACATCACAGAGAAGTTTCTGAGAATGCTTCTGTCTTGATTTCATATGAAGATATTCCCGTTTCCAACGAAACCTTCAAAGCTATCCAAATATCCACTTGCAGATTCTACAAAAAGAGTGTTTCCAAAATGTTGTATCAAAAGAAAGGTTCAACTCTGTTAGTTGAGGACACACATCGCAAATAAGTTTCTGAGAATGCTTCTGTCTAGTTTTTATTTGAAGATATTTCTTTTCTCACCACAGGCCTGAAAGCGCTTAAAACGTCCGCTTGCAGATACTACAGAAAGAGTGTTTCAAACCTGCTCTATGAAAGGGAATGTTCAGTTCTGTGACTTGAATGCAAACATCACAAAGAAGTTCCTGATAATGCTTCTCCCTAGATTTTATATGTAATCCCGTTTCCAACGAAATCCGCAAAGCTATCCAAATATCCACTTTCAGATTCCACAAAAAGAGTGTTTCAAAACTGCTCTGTAAAAAGAAAGGTTCATGCTCTGTTAGTTGAATACACACATCACAAACAAGTTTCCTGAGAATGCTTTCTGTCTAGTTTTTATGGGAAGATATTACCTTTTTCATCATAGGCCTCAAAGCGCTGCAAATGTCCACTTCCAAATATTACAAAAAGAGTGTTTCAAACCTGCTGTATGAAGGGAAGTGTTCAACTCTATGAGTTGAATGCAAACATCACAGAGAAGTTTCTGAGAATGCTTCTGTCTTGATTTTATATGAAGATATTCCCGTTTCCAACGAAACCTTCAAAGCTATTCAAATATCCACTTGCAGATTCTACAAAAAGAGTGTTTCCAAAATGTTGTATCAAAAGAAAGGTTCAACTCTGTTAGTTGAGGACACACATCGCAAATAAGTTTCTGAGAATGCTTCTGTCTAGTTTTTATTTGAAGATATTTCCTTTCTCACCATAGGCCTGAAAGCGTTTGAAATGTCCGTTTGCAGATACTACAGAAAGAGTGTTTCAAACATGCTCTATGAAAGGGAATGTTCAGTTCTGTGACGTGAATGCAAACATCACAAAGAAGTTCCTGAGAATGCTTCTCTCTAGATTTTATATGTAATCCCGTTTCCAACGAAATCCTCAAAGCTATCCAAATATCCACTTTCAGATTCCACAAAAAGAGTGTTTCAAAACTGCTCTGTAAAAAGAAAGGTTCATCTCTGTTAGTTGAATACACACATCACAAACAAGTTTCTGAGAATGCTTCTGTCTAGTTTTTATGGGAAGATATTTCCTTTTTCAACATAGGCCTCAAAGCGCTCCAAATGTCCACTTCCAGGTAGTGCACAGAGTGTTTCAAACCTGCTCTATAAAAGGGAACATACTACTCTGTGACTTGAATGAAGACATCACAAAGCAGTTTCTGAGAATGCTTCTGTCTTGATTTCATATGAAGATATTCGCGTTTCCAACGAAACCTTCAAAGCTATCCAAATATCCACTTGCAGATTCTACAAAAAGAGTGTTTCCAAAATGTTGTATTAAAAGAAAAGTTCAACTCTGTTAGTTGAGGACACACATCGCAAATAAGTTTCTGAGAATGCTTCTGTCTAGTTTTTATTTGAAGATATTTCCTTTCTCACCACAGGCCTGAAACCGCTTAAAACGTCCGCTTGCAGATACTACAGAAAGAGTGTTTCAAACCTGCTCTATGAAAGGGAATGTTCAGTTCTGTGACTTGAATGCAAACATCACAAAGAAGTTCCTGAGAATGCTTCTCCCTAGATTTTATATGTAATCCCGTTTCCAACGAAATCCGCAAAGCTATCCAAATATCCACTTTCAGATTCCACAAAAAGAGTGTTTCAAAACTGCTCTGTAAAAAGAAAGGTTCATCTCTGTTAGTTGAATACACACATCACAAACAAGTTTCTGAGAATGCTTCTGTCTAGTTTTTATGGGAAGATATTTCCTTTTTCATCATAGGCCTCAAAGCGCTGCAAATGTCCACTTCCAAATATTACAAAAAGAGTGTTTCAAACCTGCTGTATGAAGGGAAGTGTTCAACTCTATGAGTTGAATGCAAACATCACAGAGAAGTTTCTGAGAATGCTTCCGTCTAGATTTTATATGAAGATATTCCCGTTTCCAACGAAACCTTCAAAGCTATCCGAATATCCACCTGCAGATTCTACAAAAAGAGTGTTTCCAAAATGCCATATCAAAACAAAGGTTCAACTCTGTTAGTTGAGAACACACATCGCAAATAAGTTTCTGAGAATGCTTCTGTCTAGTTTTTACTTGAAGATATTTCCTTTCTCACCATAGGCCTGAAAGCGCTTGAAACGTCAGCTTGCAGATACTACAGAAAGAGTGTTTCAAACCTGCTCTATGAAAGGGAATGTTCAGTTCTGTGACTTGAATGCAAACATCACAAAGAAGTTCCTGAGAATGCTTCTCTCTAGGTTTTATATGTAATCCCGTTTCCAACGAAATCCTCAAAGCTATCCAAATATCCACTTTCAGATTCCACAAAAAGAGTGTTTCAAAACTGCTCTGTAAAAAGAAAGGTTCATCTCTGTTAGTTGAATACACACATCACAAACAAGTTTCTGAGAATGCTTCTGTCTAGTTTTTATGGGAAGATATTTCCTTTTTCAACATAGGCCTCAAAGCGCTCCAAATGTCCACTTCCAGGTAGTGCAGAAAGAGTGTTTCAAACCTGCTCTATAAAAGGGAACATTCAACTCTGTGACTTGAATGCAAACATCACAAAGCACTTTCTGAGAATGCTTCCGTCTAGATTTTATATGAAGATATTCCCGTTTCCAAGGAACTCTTCCTAGCTATCTAAATATCAACTTGCAGATTCTACTAAAGGAATGTTTCCAAAATGCTGTATCCACACAAAGGTTCAACTCTGTTAATTGAGGACATACAGCACAAAGAAGTTTCTGAGAATGCTTCTGTCTAGATTTTATATGAAGATATCCCGTGTCCAACGAAATCCTCAAAGGTATCAAAATATCCACTTGCAGATTCTACAAAAAGAGTGCTTCAAAACTGCTCTGTCAAAAGGAAGGTTCAACTCTGTTACTTGAGTACACACATCACAAGGAAGTTTCTGAGAATGCTTCTGTCTGGTTTTTAGGAGAAGATATTTCCTTTTTCAACATAGGCCTCAAAGCGCTGCAAATGTCCACTTCCAAATGTTACAAAAAGAGTGTTTCAAACCTGCTGTATGAAGGGAAGTGTTCAACTCTATGAGTTGAATGCAAACATCACAGAGAAGTTTCTGAGAATGCTTCTGTCTTGATTTTATATGAAGATATTCCCGTTTCCAACGAAACCTTCAAAGCTATTCAAATATCCACTTGCAGATTCTACAAAAAGAGTGTTTCCAAAATGTTGTATCAAAAGAAAGGTTCAACTCTGTTAGTTGAGGACACACATCGCAAATAAGTTTCTGAGAATGCTTCTGTCTAGTTTTTATTTGAAGATATTTCCTTTCTCACCATAGGCCTGAAAGCGTTTGAAATGTCCGTTTGTAGATACTACAGAAAGAGTGTTTCAAACATGCTCTATGAAAGGGAATGTTCAGTTCTGTGACGTGAATGCAAACATCACAAAGAAGTTCCTGAGAATGCTTCTCTCTAGGTTTTATATGTAATCCCGTTTCCAACGAAATCCTCAAAGCTATCCAAATATCCACTTTCAGATTCCACAAAAGGAGTGTTTCAAAACTGCTCTGTAAAAAGAAAGGTTCATCTCTGTTAGTTGAATACACACATCACAAACAAGTTTCTGAGAATGCTTCTGTCTAGTTTTTATGGGAAGATATTTCCTTTTTCAACATAGGCCTCAAAGCGCTCCAAACGTCCACTTCCAGGTAGTGCAGAAAGAGTGTCTCAAACCTGGTATATAACAGGGAACATTCTACTCTGTGACTTGAATGAAAACATCACAAAGCAGTTTCTGAGAATGCTTCCGTCTAGATTTTATATGAAGATATTCCCGTTTCCAACGAAATCTTCCTAGCTATCTAAATATCAACTTGCAGATTCTACTAAAGGAATGTTTCCAAAATGCTGTATCGAAACAAAGGTTCAACTCTGTTAATTGAGGACATACATCACAAAGAAGTTTCTGAGAATGCTTCGGTCTAGTTTTCATTTGAAGATATTTCCTTTCTCAACCATAGGCGGGAAAGCGCTTGAAATGTCCGCTTGCAGATACTACAGAAAGAGTGTTTCAAACCTGCTCTATGAAAGGGAATGTTCAGTTCTGTGACTTGAAGGCAAACATCACAAAGAAGTTCCTGAGAATGCTTCTCTCTAGATTTTATATGTAATCCCGTTTCCAACGAAATCCTCAAAGCTATCGAAATATCCACTTTCAGATACCACAATAAGAGTGTTTCAAAACTGCTCTGTAAAAAGAAAGGTTCATCTCTGTTAGTTGAATACACACATCACAAACAAGTTTCTGAGAATGCTTCTGTCTAGTTTTTATGGGAAGATATTTCCTTTTTCATCATAGGCCTCAAAGCGCTCCAAATGTCCACTTCCAGATAGTGCAGAAAGAGTGTCTCAAACCTGGTATATAAAAGGGAACATTCTACTCTGTGACTTCAATGAAAACATCACAAAGCAGTTTCTGAGAATGCTTCCGTCTAGATTTTATATGAAGATATTCCCGTTTCCAACGAAACCTTCAAAGCTATCCGAATATGCACCTGCAGATTCTACAAAAAGAGTGTTTCCAAAATGCCGTATGAAAACAAAGGTTCAATTCTGTTAGTTGAGAACACACATGGCAAATAAGTTTCTGAGAATGCTTCTGTCTAGTTTTTACTTGAAGATATTTCCTTCCGCACCATAGGCCTGAAAGCGCTTGAAACGTCCGCTTGCAGATACTACAGAAAGAGTGTTTCAAACATGCTCTATGAAAGGGAATGTTCAGTTCTGTGACTGGAATGCAAACATCACAAAGAAGTTCCTGAGAATGCTTCTCTCTAGATTTTATATGTAATCCCGTTTCCAACGAAATCCTCAAAGCTATCCAAATATCCACTTTCAGATTCCACAAAAAGAGTGTTTCAAAACTGCTCTGTAAAAAGAAAGGTTCATCTCTGTTAGTTGAATACACACATCACAAACAAATTTCTGAGAATGCTTCTGTCTAGTTTTTATGGGAAGATATTTCCTTTTTCAACATAGGCCTCAAAGCGCTCCAAATGTCCACTTCCAGGTAGTGCAGAAAGAGTGTTTCAAACCTGCTCTATAAAAGGGAATATTCAACTCTGTGACTTGAATGCAATCATCACAAAGCACTTTCTGAGAATGCTTCCGTCTAGATTTTATATGAAGATATTCCCGTTTCCAAGGAAATCTTCCTAGCTATCTAAATATCAACTTGCAGATTCTACTAAAGGAATGTTTCCAAAATGCTGTATCCACACAAAGGTTCAACTCTGTTAATTGATGACATACAGCACAAAGAAGTTTCTGAGAATGCTTCTGTCTAGATTTTATATGAAGATATCCCGTTTCCAAAGAAATCCTCAAAGGTATCCAAATATCTACTTCCAGATTCTACAAAAAGACTGTTTCAAAACGGCTCTGTCAAAAGTAAGGTTCAACTCTGTTACTTGAGTACACACATCACAAGGAAGTTTCTGAGAATGCTTCTGTCTGGTTTTTAGGAGAAGATATTTCCTTTTTCAACATAGGCCTCAAAGCGCTGTAAATGTCCACTTCCAAATATTACAAAAAGAGTGTTTCAAACCTGCTCTATGAAGGGAAGTGTTCACCTCTATGAGTTGAATGCAAACATCACAGAGAAGTTTCTGAGAATGCTTCTGTCTTGATTTTATATGAAGATATTCCCGTTTCCAACGAAACCTTCAAAGCTATCCAAATATCCACTTGCAGATTCTACAAAAAGAGTGTTTCCAAAATGTTGTATCAAAACAAAGGTTCAACTCTGTTAGTTGAGGACACACATCGCAAATAAGTTTCTGAGAATGCTTCTGTCTAGTTTTTATTTGAAGATATTTCCTTTCTTACCATAGGCCTGAAAGCGCTTGAAATGTCCGTTTGCAGATACTACAGAAAGAGTGTTTCAAACATGCTCTATGAAAGGGAATGTTCAGTTCTGTGACGTGAATGGAAACATCACAAAGAAGTTCCTGAGAATGCTTCTCTCTAGGTTTTATATGTAATCCCGTTTCCAACGAAATCCTCAAAGCCATCCAAATATCCACTTTCAGATTCCACAAAAAGAGTGTTTCAAAACTGCTCTGTAAAAAGAAAGGTTCATCTCTGTTAGTTGAATACACACATCACAAACAAGTTTCTGAGAATGCTTCTGTCTAGTTTTTATGGGAAGATATTTCCTTTTTCAACATAGGCCTCAAAGTGCTCCAAACGTCCACTTCCAGGTAGTGCAGAAAGAGTGTCTCAAACCTGGTATATAACAGGGAACATTCTACTCTGTGACTTGAATGAAAACATCACAAAGCAGTTTCTGAGAATGCTTCCGTCTAGATTTTATATGAAGATATTCCCGTTTCCAAGGAAATCTTCCTAGCTATCTAAATATCAACTTGCAGATTCTACTAAAGGAATGTTTCCAAAATGCTGTATCCACACAAAGGTTCAACTCTGTTAATTGAGGACATACAACACAAAGAAGTTTCTGAGAATGCTTCTGTCTAGATTTTATATGAAGATATCCCGTGTCCAACGAAATCCTCAAAGGTATCAAAATATCCACTTGCAGATTCTACAAAAAGAGTGCTTCAAAACTGCTCTGTCAAAAGGAAGGTTCAACTCTGTTACTTGAGTACACACATCACAAGGAAGTTTCTGAGAATGCTTCTGTCTGGTTTTTAGGAGAAGATATTTCCTTTTTCAACATAGGCCTCAAAGCGCTGCAAATGTCCACTTCCAAATATTAGAAAAAGAGTGTTTCAAACCTGCTGTATGAAGGGAAGTGTTCAACTCTATGAGTTGAATGCAAACATCACAGAGAAGTTTCTGAGAATGCTTCTGTCTTGATTTCATATGAAGATATTCCCGTTTCCAACGAAACCTTCAAAGCTATCCAAAATATCCACTTGCAGATTCTACAAAAAGAGTGTTTCCAAAATGTTGTATCAAAAGAAAGGTTCAACTCTGTTAGTTGAGGACACACATCGCAAATAAGTTTCTGAGAATGCTTCTGTCTGGTTTTTAGGAGAAGATATCTCCTTTTTCACCATAGGCTTCAAAGCGCTGCCAATATCCACTTCCAAATATTACAAAAAGAGTATTTCAAACCAGCTCTATGAAAGGAAGTGTTCAACTCTATGAGTTGAATGCAAACATCACAGAGAAGTTTCTGAGAATGCTTCTCCCTAGATTTTATATGTAATCCCGTTTCCAACGAAATCCGCAAAGCTATCCAAATATCCACTTTCAGATTCCACAAAAAGAGTGTTTGAAAACTGCTCTGTAAAAAGAAAGGTTCATCTCTGTTAGTTGAATACACACATCACAAACAAGTTTCTGAGAATGCTTCTGTCTAGTTTTTATGGGAAGATATTACCTTTTTCATCATAGGCCTCAAAGCGCTGCAAATGTCCACTTCCAAATATTACAAAAAGAGTGTTTCAAACCTGCTGTATGAAGGGAAGTGTTCAACTCTATGAGTTGAATGCAAACATCACAGAGAAGTTTCTGAGAATGCTTCTGTCTTGATTTTATATGAAGATATTCCCGTTTCCAACGAAATCTTCAAAGCTATCCAAATATCCACTTGCAGATTCCACAAAAAGAGTGTTTCCAAAATGTTGTATCAAATGAAAGGTTCAACTCTGTTAGTTGAGGACACACATCGCAAATAAGTTTCTGAGAATGCTTTCTGTCTAGTTTTTATTTGAAGATATTTCCTTTCTCACCATAGGCCTGAAAGCGTTTGAAATGTCCGTTTGCAGATACTACAGAAAGAGTGTTTCAAACATGCTCTATGAAAGGGAATGTTCAGTTCTGTGACGTGAATGCAAACATCACAAAGAAGTTCCTGAGAATGCTTCTCTCTAGATTTTATATGTAATCCCGTTTCCAACGAAATCCTCAAAGCTATCCAAATATCCACTTTCAGATTCCACAAAAAGAGTGTTTCAAAACTGCTCTGTAAAAAGAAAGGTTCATCTCTGTTAGTTGAATACACACATCACAAACAAGTTTCTGAGAATGCTTCTGTCTAGTTTTTATGGGAAGATATTTCCTTTTTCATCATAGGCCTCAAAGCGCTGCAAATGTCCACTTCCAGGTAGTGCAGAAAGAGTGTCTCAAACCTGGTATATAACAGGGAACATTCTAGTCTGTGACTTGAATGAAAACATCACAAAGCAGTTTCTGAGAATGCTTCCGTCTAGATTTTATATGAAGATATTCCCGTTTCCAACGAAACCTTCAAAGCTATCCGAATATCCACCTGCAGATTCTACAAAAAGAGTGTTTCCAAAATGCCATATCAAAACAAAGGTTCAACTCTGTTAGTTGAGAACACACATCGCAAATAAGTTTCTGAGAATGCTTCTGTCTAGTTTTTACTTGAAGATATTTCCTTTGTCACCATAGGCCTGAAAGCGCTTGAAACGTCAGCTTGCAGATACTACAGAAAGAGTGTTTCAAACCTGCTCTATGAAAGGGAATGTTCAGTTCTGTGACTTGAATGCAAACATCACAAAGAAGTTCCTGAGAATGCTTCTCTCTAGGTTTTATATGTAATCCCGTTTCCAACGAAATCCTCAAAGCTATCCAAATATCCACTTTCAGATTCCACAAAAAGAGTGTTTCAAAACTGCTCTGTAAAAAGAAAGGTTCATCTCTGTTAGTTGAATACACACATCACAAACAAGTTTCTGAGAATGCTTCTGTCTAGTTTTTATGGGAAGATATTTCCTTTTTCAACATAGGCCTCAAAGCGCTCCAAACGTCCACTTCCAGGTAGTGCAGAAAGAGTGTCTCAAACCTGGTATATAACAGGGAACATTCTACTCTGTGACTTGAATGAAAACATCACAAAGCAGTTTCTGAGAATGCTTCCGTCTAGATTTTATATGAAGATATTCCCGTTTCCAACGAAACCTTCAAAGCTATCCGAATATCCACCTGCAGATTCTACAAAAAGAGTGTTTCCAAAATGCCATATCAAAACAAAGGTTCAACTCTGTTAGTTGAGAACACACATGGCAAATAAGTTTCTGAGAATGCTTCTGTCTAGTTTTTACTTGAAGATATTTCCTTTCTCACCATAGGCCTGAAAGCGCTTGAAACGTCAGCTTGCAGATACTACAGAAAGAGTGTTTCAAACCTGCTCTATGAAAGGGAATGTTCAGTCCTGTGACTTGAAGGCAAACATCACAAAGAAGTTCCTGAGAATGCTTCTCTCTAGGTTTTATATGTAATCCCGTTTCCAACGAAATCCTCAAAGCTATCCAAATATCCACTTTCAGATTCCACAAAAAGAGTGTTTCAAAACTGCTCTGTAAAAAGAAAGGTTCATCTCTGTTAGTTGAATACACACATCACAAACAAGTTTCTGAGAATGCTTCTGTCTAGTTTTTATGGGAAGATATTTCCTTTTTCAACATAGGCCTCAAAGCGCTCCAAATGTCCACTTCCAGGTAGTGCAGAAAGAGTGTTTCACACCTGCTCTATAAAAGGGAATATTCAACTCTGTGACTTGAATGCAAACATCACAAAGCACTTTCTGAGAATGCTTCCGTCTAGATTTTATATGAAGATATTCCCGTTTCCAAAGAAACCTTCAAAGCTATCCGAATATCCACCTGCAGATTCTACAAAAAGAGTGTTTCCAAAATGCCGTATCAAAACAAAGGTTCAACTGTGTTAGTTGAGAACACACATGGCAAATAAGTTTCTGAGAATGCTTCTGTCTAGATTTTATATGAAGATATCCCGTGTCCAACGAAATCCTCAAAGGTATCAAAATATCCACTTGCAGATTCTACAAAAAGAGTGCTTCAAAACTGCTCCGTCAAAATGAAGGTTCAACTCTGTTACTTGAGTACACACATCACAAGAAAGATTCTGAGAATGCTTCTGTCTGGTTTTTAGGAGAAGATATTTCCTTTTTCAACATAGGCCTCAAAGCGCTGCAAATGTCCACTTCCAAATATTACAAAAAGAGTGTTTCAAACCTGCTGTATGAAGGGAAGTGTTCAACTCTATGAGTTGAATGCAAACATCACAGAGAAGTTTCTGAGAATGCTTCTGTCTTGATTTTATATGAAGATATTCCCGTTTCCAACGAAACCTTCAAAGCTATCCAAATATCCACTTGCAGATTCTTCAAAAAGAGTGTTTCCAAAATGTTGTATCAAAAGAAAGGTTCAACTCTGTTAGTTGAGGACACACATCGCAAATAAGTTTCTGAGAATGCTTCTGTCTAGTTTTTATTTGAAGATATTTCCTTTCTCACCATAGGCCTGAAAGCGTTTGAAATGTCCGTTTGCAGATACTACAGAAAGAGTGTTTCAAACATGCTCTATGAAAGGGAATGTTCAGTTCTGTGACGTGAATGCAAACATCACAAAGAAGTTCCTGAGAATGCTTCTCTCTAGATTTTATATGTAATCCCGTTTCCAACGAAATCCTCAAAGCTATCCAAATATCCACTTTCAGATTCCACAAAAAGAGTGTTTCAAAACTGCTCTGTAAAAAGAAAGGTTCATCTCTGTTAGTTGAACACACACCTCACAAACAAGTTTCTGAGAATGCTTCTGTCTAGTTTTTATGGGAAGATATTTCCTTTTTCATCATAGGCCTCAAAGCGCTGCAAATGTCCACTTCCAGGTAGTGCAGAAAGAGTGTCTGAAACCTGGTATATAACAGGGAAGATTCTACTCTGTGACTTGAATGAAAACATCACAAAGCAGTTTCTGAGAATGCTTCCGTCTAGATTTTATATGAAGATATTCCCGTTTCAAAGGAAATCTTCCTAGCTATCTAAATATCAACTTGCAGATTCTACTAAAGGAAAGTTTCCAAAATGCTGTATCCACACAAAGGTTCAACTCTGTTAATTGAGGACATACAGCACAAAGTAGTTTCTGAGAATGCTTCTGTCTTGATTTTATATGAAGATATCCCGTTTCCAACGAAATCGTCAAAGGTATCCAAATATCTACTTGCAGATTCTACAAAAAGAGTGTTTCAGAATGGCTCTGTCAAAAGGAAGGTTCAACTCTGTTACTTGAGTACACACATCACAAGGAAGTTTCTGAGAATACTTCTCTCTAGGTTTTATATGTAATCCCGTTTCCAACGAAAATCCTCAAAGCTATCCAAATATCCACTTTCAGATTCCACAAAAAGAGTGTTTCAAAACTGCTCTGTAAAAAGAAAGGTTCATCTCTGTTAGTTGAATACACACATCACAAGCAAGTTTCTGAGAATGCTTCTGTCTAGTTTTTATGGGAAGATATTACCTTTTTCATCATAGGCCTCAAAGCGCTGCAAATGTCCACTTCCAAATATTACAAAAAGAGTGTTTCAAACCTGCTGTATGAAGGGAAGTGTTCAACTCTATGAGTTGAATGCAAACATCACAGAGAAGTTTCTGAGAATGCTTCTGTCTTGATTTTATATGAAGATATTCCCGTTTCCAAAGCAAACCTTCAAAGCTATCCAAATATCCACCTGCAGATCCTACAAAAAGAGTGTTTCCAAAATGCTGTATCAAAACAAAGGTTCAACTCTGTTAGCTGAGAACACACATCGCAAATAAGTTTCTGAGAATGCTTCTGTCTAGTTTTTACTTGAAGATATTTCCTTTCTCACCATAGGCCTGAAAGCGTTTGAAATGTCCGTTTGCAGATACTACAGAAAGAGTGTTTCAAACATGCTCTATGAAAGGGAATGTTCAGTTCTGTGACGTGAATGCAAACATCACAAAGAAGTTCCTGAGAATGCTTCTCTCTAGATTTTATATGTAATCCCGTTTCCAACGAAATCCTCAAAGCTATCCAAATATCCACTTTCAGATTCCACAAAAAGAGTGTTTCAAAACTGCTCTGTAAAAAGAAAGGTTCATCTCTGTTAGTTGAATACACACATCACAAACAAGTTTCTGAGAATGCTTCTGTCTAGTTTTTATGGGAAGATATTTCCTTTTTCATCATAGGCCTCAAAGCGCTCCAAATGTCCACTTCCAGGTAGTGCAGAAAGAGTGACTCAAACCTGGTATATAACAGGGAACATTCTACTCTGTGACTTGAATGAAAACATCACAAAGCAGTTTCTGAGAATGCTTCCGTCTAGATTTTATATGAAGATATTCCCGTTTCCAACGAAACCTTTAAAGCTATCCGAATATCCACCTGCAGATTCTACAAAAAGAGTGTTTCCAAAATGTCGTATCAAAACAAAGGTTCAAGTCTGTTAGTTGAGAACACACATGGCAAATAAGTTTCTGAGAATGCTTCTGTCTAGTTTTTACTTCAAGATATTTCCTTTCTCACCATAGGCCTGAAAGCGCTTGAAACGTCAGCTTGCAGATACTACAGAAAGAGTGTTTCAAACCTGCTCTATGAAAGGGAATGTTCAGTTCTGTGACGTGAATGCAAACATCACAAAGAAGTTCCTGAGAATGCTTCTCCCTAGATTTTATATGTAATCCCGTTTCCAACGAAATCCTCAAAGCTATCCAAATATCCACTTTCAGATTCCACAAAAAGAGTGTTTCAAAACTGCTCTGTAAAGAGAAAGGTTCATCTCTGTTAGTTGAATACACACATCACAAACAAGTTTCTGAGAATGCTTCTGTCTAGTTTTTATGGGAAGATATTTCCTTTTTCAACATAGGCCTCAAAGCGCTCCAAACGTCCACTTCCAGGTAGTGCAGAAAGAGTGTCTCAAACCTGGTATATAACAGGGAACATTCTACTCTGTGACTTGAATGAAAACATCACAAAGCAGTTTCTGAGAATGCTTCCGTCTAGATTTTATATGAAGATATTCCCGATTCCAACGAAACCTTCAAAGCTATCCGAATATCCACCTGCAGATTCTACAAAAAGAGTGTTTCCAAAATACCGCATCAAAACAAAGGTTCAACTCTGTTAGTTGAGAACACACATAGCAAATAAGTTTCTGAGAATGCTTCTGTCTAGTTTTTATTTGAAGATATTTCCTTTCTCACCATAGGCCTGAAAGCGTTTGAAATGTCTGTTTGCAGATACTACAGAAAGAGTGTTTCAAACATGCTCTATGAAAGGGAATGTTCAGTTCTGTGACGTGAATGCAAACATCACAAAGAAGTTCCTGAGAATGCTTCTCCCTAGATTTTATATGTAATCCCGTTTCCAACGAAATCCTCAAAGGTATCCAAATATCCACTTTCAGATTCCACAAAAAGAGTGTTTCAAAACTGCTCTGTAAAAAGAAAGGTTCATCTCTGTTAGTTGAATACACACATCACAAACAAGTTTCTGAGAATGCTTCTGTCTAGTTTTTATGAGAAGATATTTCCTTTTTCAACATAGGCCTCAAAGCCCTCCAAATGTCCACTTCCAGGTAGTGCAGAAAGAGTGTTTCAAACCTGCTCTATAAAAGGGAATATTCAACTCTGTGACTTGAATGCAAACATCACAAAGCACTTTCTGAGAATGCTTCCGTCTAGATTTTATATGAAGATATTCCCGTTTCCAAGGAAATCTTCCTAGCTATCTAAATATCAACTTGCAGATTCTACTAAAGGAATGTTTCCAAAATGCTGTATCCACACAAAGGTTCAACTCTGTTAATTGAGGACATACAGCACAAAGAAGTTTCTGAGAATGCTTCTGTCTAGATTTTATATGAAGATATCCCGTGTCTAACGAAATCCTCAAAGGTATCAAAATATCCACTTGCAGATTCTACAAAAAGAGTGCTTCAAAACTGCTCTGTCAAAATGAAGGTTCAACTCTGTTACTTGAGTACACACATCACAAGGAAGTTTCTGAGAATGCTTCTGTCTGGTTTTTAGGAGAAGATATTTCCTTTTTCAACATAGGCCTCAAAGCGCTGCAAATGTCCACTTCCAAATATTAGAAAAAGAGTGTTTCAAACCTGCTGTATGAAGGGAAGTGTTCAACTCTATGAGTTGAATGCAAACATCACAGAGAAGTTTCTGAGAATGCTTTTGTCTTGATTTTATATGAGGATATTCCCGTTTCCAACGAAACCATCAAAGCTATCCAAATATCCACCTGCAGATCCTACAAAAAGAGTGTTTCCAAAATGCTGTATCAAAACAAAGGTTCAACTCTGTTAGTTGAGAACACACATCGCAAATAAGTTTCTGAGAATGCTTCTGTCTAGTTTTTATTTGAAGATATTTCCTTTCTCACCACAGGCCTGAAAGCGCTTAAAACGTCCGCTTGCAGATACTACAGAAAGAGTGTTTCAAACATGCTCTATGAAAGGGAATGTTCAGTTCTGTGACTTGAATGCAAACATCACAAAGAAGTTCCTGAGAATGCTTCTCTCTAGATTTTATATGTAATCCCGTTTCCAACGAAATCCTCAAAGCTATCCAAGTATCCACTTTCAGATTCCACAAAAAGAGTGTTTCAAAACTGCTCTGTAAAAAGAAAGGTTCATCTCTGTTAGTTGAATACACACATCACAAACAAGTTTCTGAGAATGCTTCTGTCTAGTTTTTATGGGAAGATATTTCCTTTTTCAACATAGGCCTCAAAGCGCTCCAAATGTCCACTTCCAGGTAGTGCAGAAAGAGTGTTTCAAACCTGCTCTATGAAAGGGAATGTTCAGCACTGTGACTTGAATGCAAACATCACAAAGAACTTTCTGAGAATGCTTCGTCTAGATTTTATATGAAGATATTCCCGTTTCCAACGAAACCTTCAAAGCTATCCGAATATCCACCTGCAGATTCTACAAAAAGAGTGTTTCCAAAATGCCGTATCAAAACAAAGGTTCAACTCTGTTAGTTGAGAACACACATGGCAAATAAGTTTCTGAGAATGCTTCTGTCTAGTTTTTATTTGAAGATATTTCCTTTCTTACCATAGGACTGAAAGCCCTTGAAATGTCCGTTTGCAGATACTACAGAAAGAGTTTTTCAAACATGCTCTATGAAAGGGAATGTTCAGTTCTGTGACGTGAATGCAAACATCACAAAGAAGTTCCTGAGAATGCTTCTCTCTAGGTTTTATATGTAATCCCGTTTCCAACGAAATCCTCAAAGCTATCCAAATATCCACTTTCAGTTTCCACAAAAAGAGTGTTTCAAAACTGCTCTGTAAAAAGAAAGGTTCATCTCTGTTAGTTGAATACACACATCACAAACAAGTTTCTGAGAATGCTTCTGTCTAGTTTTTATGGGAAGATATTTCCTTTTTCAACATAGGCCTCAAAGCGCTCCAAATGTCCACTTCCAGGTAGTGCAGAAAGAGTGTTTCAAACCTGCTCTATAAAAGGGAATATTCAACTCTGTGACTTGAATGCAAACATCACAAAGCACTTTCTGAGAACGCTTCTGTCTTGATTTCATATGAAGATATTCCCGTTTCCAACGAAACCTTCAAAGCTATCCAAATATCCACTTGCAGATTCTACAAAAAGAGTGTTTCCAAAATGTTGTATCAAAAGAAAGGTTCAACTCTGTTAGTTGAGGACACACATCGCAAATAAGTGTCTGAGAATGCTTCTGTCTAGATTTTATATGAAGATATCCCGTGTCCAACGAAATCCTCAAAGGTATCAAAATATCCACTTGCAGATTCTACAAAAAGAGTGCTTCAAAACTGCTCTGTCAAAAGGAAGGTTCAACTCTGTTACTTGAGTACACACATCACAAGGAAGTTTCTGAGAATGCTTCTGTCTGGTTTTTAGGAGAAGATATTTCCTTTTTCAACATAGGCCTCAAAGCGCTGCAAATGTCCACTTCCAAATATTAGAAAAAGAGTGTTTCAAACCTGCTGTACGAAGGGAAGTGTTCAACTCTATGAGTTGAATGCAAACATCACAGAGAAGTTTCTGAGAATGCTTCTGTGTTGATTTTATATGAAGATATTCCCGTTTCCAAAGAAACCTTCAAAGCTATCCAAATATCCACTTGCAGATTCTACAAAAAGAGTGTTTCCAAAATGCTGTATCCAAACAAAGGTTCAACTCTTTTAGTTGAGAACACACATCGCAAATAAGTTTCTGAGAATGCTTCTGTCTAGTTTTTATTTGAAGATATTTCCTTTCTCACCACAGGCCTGAAAGCGCTTAAAACGTCCGCTTGCAGATACTACAGAAAGAGTGTTTCAAACCTGCTCTATGAAAGGGAATGTTCAGTTCTGTGACTTGAATGCAAATATCACAAAGAAGTTCCTGAGAATGCTTCTCCCTAGATTTTATATGTAATCCCGTTTCCAACGAAATCCGCAAAGCTATCCAAATATCCACTTTCAGATTCCACAAAAAGAGTGTTTCAAAACTGCTCTGTAAAAAGAAAGGTTCATCTCTGTTAGTTGAATACACACATCACAAACAAGTTTCTGAGAATGCTTCTGTCTAGTTTTTATGGGAAGATATTTCCTTTTTCATCATAGGCCTCAAAGCGCTGCAAATGTCCACTTCCAAATATTACAAAAAGAGTGTTTCAAACCTGCTGTATGAAGGGAAGTGTTCAACTCTATGAGTTGAATGCAAACATCACAGAGAAGTTTCTGAGAATGCTTCCGTCTAGATTTTATATGAAGATATTCCCGTTTCCAAGGAAATCTTCCTAGCTATCTAAATATCAACTTGCAGATTCTACTAAAGGAAAGTTTCCAAAATGCCGTATCGAAACAAAGGTTCAACTCTGTTAATTGAGGACATACAGCACAAAGAAGTGTCTGAGAATGCTTCTGTCTAGTTTTTATTTGAAGATATTTCCTTTCTCACCATAGGCCTGAAGCGTTTGAAATGTCCGTTTGCAGATACTACAGAAAGAGTGTTTCAAACATGCTCTATGAAAGGGAATGTTCAGTTCTGTGACGTGAATGCAAACATCACAAAGAAGTTCCTGAGAATGCTTCTCTCTAGATTTTATATTTAATCCCGTTTCCAACGAAATCCTCAAAGCTATCCAAATATCCACTTTCAGATTCCACAAAAAGAGTGTTTCAAAACTGCTCTGTAAAAAGAAAGGTTCATCTCTGTTAGTTGAATACACACATCAAAAACAAGTTTCTGAGAATGCTTCTGTCTAGTTTTTATGGGAAGATATTTCCTTTTTCATCATAGGCCTCAAAGCGCTGCAAATGTCCACTTCCAGGTAGTGCAGAAAGAGTGTCTCAAACCTGGTATATAACAGGGAACATTCTACTGTGTGACTTGAATGAAAACATCACAAAGCAGTTTCTGAGAATGCTTCCGTCTAGATTTTATATGAAGATATTCCCGTTTCCAACAAAACCTTCAAAGCTATCCGAATATCCACCTGCAGATTCTACAAAAAGAGTGTTTCCAAAATGCCATATCAAAACAAAGGTTCAACTCTGTTAGTTGAGAACACACATCGCAAATAAGTTTCTGAGAATGCTTCTGTCTAGTTTTTACTTGAAGATATTTCCTTTCTCACCATAGGCCTGAAAGCGCTTGAAACGTCAGCTTGCAGATACTACAGAAAGAGTGTTTCAAACCTGCTCTATGAAAGGGAATGTTCAGTTCTGTGACTTGAATGCAAACATCACAAAGAAGTTCCTGAGAATGCTTCTCTCTAGGTTTTACATGTAATCCCGTTTCCAAAGAAATCCTCAAAGCTATCCAAATATCCACTTTCAGATTCCACAAAAAGAGTGTTTCAAAACTGCTCTGTAAAAAGAAAGGTTCATCTCTGTTAGTTGAATACCCACATCACAAACAAGTTTCTGAGAATGCTTCTGTCTAGTTTTTATGGGAAGATATTTCCTTTTTCAACATAGGCCTCAAAGCGCTCCAAATGTCCACTTCCAGGTAGTGCAGAAAGAGTGTTTCAAACCTGCTCTATAAAAGGGAACATTCAACTCTGTGACTTGAATGCAAACATCACAAAGCACTTTCTGAGAATGCTTCCGTCTAGATTTTATATGAAGATATTCCCGTTTCCAAGGAAATCTTCCTAGCTATCTAAATATCAACTTGCAGATTCTACTAAAGGAATGTTTCCAAAATGCTGTATCCACACAAAGGTTCAACTCTGTTAATTGAGGACATACAGCACAAAGAAGTTTCTGAGAATGCTTCTGTCTAGATTTTATATGAAGATATCCCGTGTCCAACGAAATCCTCAAAGGTATCAAAATATCCACTTGCAGATTCTACAAAAAGAGTGCTTCAAAACTGCTCTGTCAAAAGGAAGGTTCAACTCTGTTACTTGAGTACACACATCACAAGGAAGTTTCTGAGAATGCTTCTGTCTGGTTTTTAGGAGAAGATATTTCCTTTTTCAACATAGGCCTCAAAGCGCTGCAAATGTCCACTTCCAAATATTAGAAAAAGAGTGTTTCAAACCTGCTGTATGAAGGGAAGTGTTCAACTCTATGAGTTGAATGCAAACATCACAGAGAAGTTTCTGAGAATGCTTCTCTCTTGATTTTATATGAAGATATTCCCGTTTCCAACGAAACCTTCAAAGCTATCCAAATATCCACTTGCAGATTCTACAAAAAGAGTGTTTCCAAAGTGCTGTATCCAAACAAAGGTTCAACTCTTTTAGTTGAGAACACACATCGCAAATAAGTTTCTGAGAATGCTTCTGTCTGGTTTGTAGGAGAAGATATTTCCTTTTTCACCATAGGCCTCAAAGTGCTGCCAATGTCCACTTCCAAATATTACAAAAAGAGTGTTTCAAACCTGCTCTATGAAAGGAAGCGTTCAACACTATGAATTGAATGCAAACATCACAGAGAAGTTTCTGAGAATGCTTCTGTCTTGATTTTATGTGAAGATATTCCCGTTTCCAACGAAACCTTCAAAGCTATCCAAGTATCCACCAGCAGATTCTACAAAAAGAGTGTTTCCAAAATGTTGTATCAAAACAAAGGTTCAACTCTGTTAGTTGAGGACACACATCGCAAATAAGTTTCTGAGAATGCTTCTGTCTAGTTTTTATGGGAAGATATTTCCTTTTTCATCATAGGCCTCAAAGCGCTGCAAATGTCCACTTCCAAATATTACAAAAAGAGTGTTTCAAACCTGCTGTATGAAGGGAAGTGTTCAACTCTATGAGTTGAATGCAAACATCACAGAGAAGTTTCTGAGAATGCTTCTGTCTTGATTTTATATGAAGATATTCCCGTTTCCAACGAAACCTTCAAAGCTATTCAAATATCCACTTGCAGATTCTACAAAAAGAGTGGTTCCAAAATGTTGTATCAAAAGAAAGGTTCAACTCTGATAGTTGAGGACACACATCGCAAATAAGTTTCTGAGAATGCTTCTGTCTAGTTTTTATTTGAAGATATTTCCTTTCTCACCATAGGCCTGAAAGCGTTTGAAATGTCCGTTTGCAGATACTACAGAAAGAGTGTTTCAAACATGCTCTATGAAAGGGAATGTTCAGTTCTGTGACGTGAATGCAAACATCACAAAGAAGTTCCTGAGAATGCTTCTCTCTAGATTTTATATGTAATCCCGTTTCCAACGAAATCCTCAAAGCTATCCAAATATCCACTTTCAGATTCCACAAAAAGAGTGTTTCAAAACTGCTCTGTAAAAAGAAAGGTTCATCTCTGTTAGTTGAATACACACATCACAAACAAGTTTCTGAGAATGCTTCTGTCTAGTTTTTATGGGAAGATATTTCCTTTTTCATCATAGGCCTCAAAGCGCTGCAAATGTCCACTTCCAGGTAGTGCAGAAAGAGTGTCTGAAACCTGGTATATAACAGGGAAGATTCTACTGTGTGACTTGAATGAAAACATCACAAAGCAGTTTCTGAGAATGCTTCTGTCTTGATTTTATATAAAGATATTCCCGTTTCCAACGAAACCTTCAAAGCTATCCAAATATCCACCTGCAGATCCTACAAAAAGAGTGTTTCCAACATGCTGTATCAAAACAAAGGTTCAACTCTGTTAGCTGAGAACACACATCGCAAATAAGTTTCTGAGAATGCTTCTGTCTAGTTTTTATTTGAAGATATTTCCTTTTTCACCACAGGCCTGAAAGCGCTTGAAACGTCCGCTTGCAGATACTACAGAAAGAGTGTTTCAAACCTGCTCTATGAAAGGGAATGTTCAGTTCTGTGACTTGAATGCAAACACCACAAAGAAGTTCCTGAGAATGCTTCTCTCTAGATTTTATATGTAATCCCGTTTCCAACGAAATCCTCAAAGCTATCCAAATATCCACTTACACATTCCACAAAAAGAGTGTTTCAAAACTGCTCTGTAAAAAGAAAGGTTCATCGCTGTTAGTTGAATACACATATCACAAACAAGTTTCTGAGAATGCTTCTGTCTAGTTTTTATGGGAAGATATTTCCTTTTTCAACATAGGCCTCAAAGCGCTCCAAATGTCCACTTCCAGGTAGTGCAGAAAGAGTGTCTCAAACCTGCTCTATAAAAGGGAACATTCTACTCTGTGACTTGAATGAAAACATCACAAAGCAGTTTCTGAGAATGCTTCCGTCTAGATTTTATATGAAGATATTCCCGTTTCCAACGAAACCTTCAAAGCTATCCGAATATCCACCTGCAGATTCTACAAAAAGAGTGTTTCCAAAATGCCGTATCAAAACAAAGGTTCAACTCTGTTAGTTGAGAACTACACATGGCAAATAAGTTTCTGAGAATGCTTCTGTCTAGATTTTATATGAAGATATCCCGTGTCCAACGAAATCCTCAAAGGTATCAAAATATCCACTTGCAGATTCTACAAAAAGAGTGCTTCAAAACTGCTCTGTCAAAAGGAAGGTTCAACTCTGTTACTTGAGTACACACATCACAAGGAAGTTTCTGAGAATGCTTCTGTCTGGTTTTTAGGAGAAGATATTTCCTTTTTCAACATAGGCCTCAAAGCGCTGCAAATGTCCACTTCCAAATATTACAAAAAGAGTGTTTCAAACCTGCTGTATGAAGGGAAGTGTTCAACTCTATGAGTTGAATGCAAACATCACAGAGAAGTTTCTGAGAATGCTTCTGTCTAGATTTTATATGAAGATATCCCGTGTCCAACGAAATCCTCAAAGGTATCAAAATATCCACTTGCAGATTCTAGAAAAAGAGTGCTTCAAAACTGCTCTGTCAAAATTGAAGGTTCAACTCTGTTACTTGAGTACACACATCACAAGAAAGATTCTGAGAATGCTTCTGTCTGGTTTTTAGGAGAAGATATCTCCTTTTTAACCATAGGCTTCAAAGCGCTGCCGATGTCCACTTCCAAATATTACAAAAAGAGAATTTCAAACCAGCTCTATGAAAGGAAGTGTTCAACTGTATGAGTTGAATGCAAACATCACAGAGAAGTTTCTGAGAAGGCTTCTGTGTTGATTTTATATGAAGATATTCCCCTTTCCAACGAAACCTTCAAAGCTATCCAAATATCCACCTGCAGATCCTACAAAAAGAGTGTTTCCAAAATGCTGTATCAAAACAAAGGTTCAACTCTGTTAGTTGAGAACACACATCGCAAATAAGTTTCTGAGAATGCCTCTGTCTAGTTTTTATGGGAAGATATTTCCTTTTTCATCATAGGCCTCAAAGCGCTGCAAATGTCCACTTCCAAATATTACAAAAAGAGTGTTTCAAACCTGCTGTATGAAGGGAAGTGTTCAACTCTATGAGTTGAATGCAAACATCACAGAGAAGTTTCTGAGAATGCTTCTGTCTTGATTTTATATGAAGATATTCCCATTTCCAACGAAACCTTCAAAGCTATTCAAATATCCACTTGCAGATTCTACAAAAAGAGTGTTTCCAAAATGTTGTATCAAAAGAAAGGTTCAACTCTGTTAGTTGAGGACACACATCGCAAATAAGTTTCTGAGAATGCTTCTGTCTAGTTTTTACTTGAAGATATTTCCTTTCTCACCATAGGCCTGAAAGCGTTTGAAATGTCCGTTTGCAGATACTACAGAAAGAGTGTTTCAAACATGCTCTATGAAAGGGAATGTTCAGTTCTGTGACGTGAATGCAAACATCACAAAGAAGTTCCTGAGAATGCTTCTCTCTAGATTTTATATGTAATCCCGTTTCCAACGAAATCCTCAAAGCTATCCAAATATCCACTTTCAGATTCCACAAAAAGAGTGTTTCAAAACTGCTCTGTAAAAAGAAAGGTTCATCTCTGTTAGTTGAATACACACATCACAAACAAGTTTCTGAGAATGCTTCTGTCTAGTTTTTATGGGAAGATATTTCGTTTTTCATCATAGGCCTCAAAGCGCTCCAAATGTCCACTTCCAGGTAGTGCAGAAAGAGTGTTTCAAACCTGCTCTATAAAAGGGAATATTCAACTCTGTGACTTGAATGCAAACATCACAAAGCACTTTCTGAGAATGCTTCCGTCTAGATTTTATATGAAGATATTCCCGTTTCCAAGGAAATCTTCCTAGCTATCTAAATATCAACTTGCAGATTCTACTAAAGGAATGTTTCCAAAATGCTGTATCCACACAAAGGTTCAACTCTGTTAATTGAGGACATACAGCACAAAGAAGTTTCTGAGAATGCTTCTGTCTAGATTTTATATGAAGATATCCCGTGTCCAACGAAATCCTCAAAGGTATCAAAATATCCACTTGCAGATTCTACAAAAAGAGTGCTTCAAAACTGCTCTGTCAAAAGGAAGGTTCAACTCTGTTACTTGAGTACACACATCACAAGGAAGTTTCTGAGAATGCTTCTGTCTGGTTTTTAGGAGAAGATATTTCCTTTTTCAACATAGGCCTCAAAGCGCTGCAAATGTCCACTTCCAAATATTAGAAAAAGAGTGTTTCAAACCTGCTGTATGAAGGGAAGTGTTCAACTCTATGAGTTGAATGCAAACATCACAGAGAAGTTTCTGAGAATGCTTCTGTCTTGATTTCATATGAAGATATTCCCGTTTCCAACGAAACCTTCAAAGCTATCCAAATATCCACTTGCAGATTCTACAGAAAGAGTGTTTCCAAAATGTTGTATCAAAAGAAAGGTTCAACTCTGTTAGTTGAGGACACACATCGCAAATAAGTTTCTGAGAATGCTTCTGTCTAGTTTTTACTTGAAGATATTTCCTTTCTCACCATAGGCCTGAAAGCGCTTGAAACGTCCGCTTGCAGATACTACAGAAGGAGTGTTTCAAACATACTCTATGAAAGGGAATGTTCAGTTCTGTGACTTGAATGCAAACATCACAAAGAAGTTCCTGAGAATGCTTCTCTCTAGATTTTATATGTAATCCCGTTTCCAACGAAATCCTCAAAGCTATCCAAATATCCACTTTCAGATTCCACAAAAAGAGTGTTTCAAAACTGCTCTGTAAAAAGAAAGGTTCATCTCTGTTATTTGAATACACACATCACAAACAAGTTTCTTAGAATGCTTCTGTCTAGTTTTTATGGGAAGATATTACCTTTTTCATCATAGGCCTCAAAGCGCTGCAAATGTCCACTTCCAAATATTACAAAAAGAGTGTTTCAAACCTGCTGTATGAAGGGAAGTGTTCAACTCTATGAGTTGAATGCAAACATCACAGAGAAGTTTCTGAGAATGCTTCTGTCTTGATTTTATATGAAGATATTCCCGTTTCCAACGAAACCTTCAAAGCTATCCAAATATCCACTTGCAGATTCTACAAAAAGAGTGTTTCCAAAATGTTGTATCAAAAGAAAGGTTCAACTCTGTTAGTTGAGGACACACATCGCAAATAAGTTTCTGAGAATGCTTCTGTCTAGTTTTTATTTGAAGATATTTCCTTTCTCACCATAGGCCTGAAAGCGTTTGAAATGTCCGTTTGCAGATACTACAGAAAGAGTGTTTCAAACATGCTCTATGAAAGGGCATGTTCAGTTCCGTGACGTGAATGCAAACATCACAAAGAAGTTCCTGAGAATGCTTCTGTCTAGATTTTATATGAAGATATCCCGTGTCTAACGAAATCCTCAAAGGTATCAAAATATCCACTTGCAGATTCTACAAAAAGAGTGCTTCAAAACTGCTCTGTCAAAATGAAGGTTCAACCCTGTTACTTGAGTACACACATCACAAGAAAGATTCTGAGAATGCTTCTGTCTGGTTTTTATGAGAAGATATCTCCTTTTTCACCATAGGCTTAAAAGCGCTGCCAATGTCCACTTCCAAATATTACAAAAAGAGTATTTCAAACCAGCTCTATGAAAGGAAGTGTTCAACTCTATGAGTTGAATGCAAACAGAACAGAGAATTTTCTGAGAATGCTTCCGTCTAGATTTTATATGAAGATATTCCCGTTTCCAACGAAACCTTCAAAGCTATCCAAATATCCACCTGCAGATCCTACAAAAAGAGTGTTTCCAAAATGCTGTATCAAAACAAAGGTTCAACTCTGTTAGCTGAGAACACACATCGCAAATAAGTTTCTGAGAATGCTTCTGTCTAGTTTTTATTTGAAGATATTTCCTTTCTCACCATAGGCCTGAAAGCGTTTGAAATGTCCGTTTGCAGATACTACAGAAAGAGTGTTTCAAACATGCTCTATGAAAGGGAATGTTCAGTTCTGTGACGTGAATGCAAACATCACAAAGAAGTTCCTGAGAATGCTTCCTCTCCCTAGGTTTTTATATGTAATCCCGTTTCCAACGAAATCCTCAAAGCTATCCAAATATCCACTTTCAGATTCCACAAAAAGAGTGTTTCAAAACTGCTCTGTAAAAAGAAAGGTTCATCTCTGTTAGTTGAATACACACATCACAAACAAGTTTCTGAGAATGCTTCTGTCTAGTTTTTTATGGGAAGATATTTCCTTTTTCATCATAGGCCTCAAAGCGCTGCAAATGTCCACTTCCAGGTAGTGCAGAAAGAGTGTCTCAAACCTGGTATATAACAGGGAACATTCTACTCTGTGACTTGAATGAAAACATCACAAAGCAGTTTCTGAGAATGCTTCCGTCTAGATTTTATATGAAGATATTCCCGTTTTCAAGGAAATCTTCCTAGCTATCTAAATATCAACTTGCAGATTCTACTAAAGGAATGTTTCCAAAATGCTGTATCCACACAAAGGTTCAACTCTGTTAATTGAGGACATACAGCACAAAGAAGTTTCTGAGAATGCTTCTGTCTAGTTTTTATTTGAAGATATTTCCTTTTTCACCACAGGCCTGAAGGCGCTTGAAACGTCCGCTTGCAGATACCACAGAAAGAGTGTTTCAAACCTGCTCTATGAAAGGGAATGTTCAGTTCTGTGACTTGAATGCAAACATCACAAAGAAGTTCCTGAGAATGCTTCTCTCTAGATTTTATATGTAATCCCGTTTGCAACGAATTCCTCAAAGCTATCCAAATATCCACTTTCAGATTCCACAAAAAGAGTGTTTCAAAACTACTCTGTAAAAAGAAAGGTTCATCTCTGTTAGTTGAATACACACATCACAAACAAGTTTCTGAGAATGCTTCTGTCTAGTTTTTATGGGAAGATATTTCCTTTTTCAACATAGGCCTCAAAGCCCTCCAAATGTCCACTTCCAGGTAGTGCAGAAAGAGTGTTTCAAACCTGCTCTATAAAAGGGAATATTCAACTCTGTGACTTGAATGCAAACATCACAAAGCACTTTCTGAGAATGCTTCCGTCTAGATTTTATATGAAGATATTCCCGTTTCCAAGGAAATCTTCCTAGCTATCTAAATATCAACTTGCAGATTCTACTAAAGGAATGTTTCCAAAATGCTGTATCCACACAAAGGTTCAACTCTGTTAATTGAGGACATACAGCACAAAGAAGTTTCTGAGAATGCTTCTGTCTAGATTTTATATGAAGATATCCCGTGTCCAACGAAATCCTCAAAGGTATCAAAATATCCACTTGCAGATTCTACAAAAAGAGTGCTTCAAAACTGCTCTGTCAAAAGGAAGGTTCAACTCTGTTACTTGAGTACACACATCACAAGGAAGTTTCTGAGAATGCTTCTGTCTGGTTTTTAGGAGAAGATATTTCCTTTTTCAACATAGGCCTCAAAGCGCTGCAAATGTCCACTTCCAAATATTACAAAAAGAGTGTTTCAAACCTGCTGTATGAAGGGAAGTGTTCAACTCTATGAGTTGAATGCAAACATCACAGAGAAGTTTCTGAGAATGCTTCTGTCTTGATTTTATATGAAGATATTCCCGTTTCCAACGAAACCTTCAAAGCTATCCAAATATCCACCTGCAGATCCTACAAAAAGAGTGTTTCCAAAATGCTGTATCAAAACAATGGTTCAACTCTGTTAGTTGAGAACACACATCGCAAATAAGTTTCTGAGAATGCTTCTGTCTAGTTTTTATTTGAAGATATTTCCTTTTTCACCACAGGCCTGAAAGCGCTTGAAACTTCCCCTTGCAGATACTACAGAAACAGTGTTTCAAACCTGCTCTATGAAAGGGAATGTTCAGTTCTGTGACTTGAATGTCAACATCACAAAGAAGTTCCTGAGAATGCTTCTGTCTAGATTTTATATGAAGATATCCCGTGTCCAACGAAATCCTCAAAGGTATCAAAATATCCACTTGCAGATTCTACAAAAAGAGTGCTTCAAAACTGCTCTGTCAAAAGGAAGGTTCAACTCTGTTACTTGAGTACACACATCACAAGGAAATTTCTGAGAATGCTTCTGTCTGGTTTTTAGGAGAAGATATTTCCTTTTTCAACATAGGCCTCAAAGCGCTGCAAATGTCCACTTCCAAATATTAGAAAAAGAGTGTTTCAAACCTGCTGTATGAAGGGAAGTGTTCAACTCTATGAGTTGAATGCAAACATCACAGAGAAGTTTCTGAGAATGCTTCTGTCTTGATTTTATATGAAGATATTCCCGTTTCCAACGAAACCTTCAAAGCTATCCAAATATCCACTTGCAGATTCTTCAAAAAGAGTGTTTCCAAAATGTTGTATCAAAACAAAGGTTCAACTCTGTTAGTTGAGGACACACATCGCAAATAAGTTTCTGAGAATGCTTCTGTCTAGTTTTTATTTGAAGATATTTCCTTTCTCACCACAGGCCTGAAAGCGCTTAAAACGTCCGCTTGCAGATACTACAGAAAGAGTGTTTCAAACCTGCTCTATGAAAGGGAATGTTCAGTTCTGTGACTTGAATGCAAACATCACAAAGAAGTTCCTGAGAGTGCTTCTCCCTAGATTTTATATGTAATCCCGTTTCCAACGAAATCCGCAAAGCTATCCAAATATCCACTTTCAGATTCCACAAAAAGAGTGTTTCAAAACTGCTCTGTAAAAAGAAAGGTTCATCTCTGTTAGTTGAATACACACATCACAAACAAGTTTCTGAGAATGCTTCTGTCTAGTTTTTATGGGAAGATATTACCTTTTTCATCATAGGCCTCAAAGCGCTGCAAATGTCCACTTCCAAATATTACAAAAAGAGTGTTTCAAACCTGCTGTATGAAGGGAAGTGTTCAACTCTATGAGTTGAATGCAAACATCACAGAGAAGTTTCTGAGAATGCTTCTGTCTTGATTTTATATGAAGATATTCCCGTTTCCAACGAAACCTTCAAAGCTATTCAAATATCCACTTGCTGATTCTACAAAAAGAGTGTTTCCAAAATGTTGTATCAAAAGAAAGGTTCAACTCTGTTAGTTGAGGACACACATCGCAAATAAGTTTCTGAGAATGCTTCTGTCTAGTTTTTATTTGAAGATATTCCCGTTTCCAACGAAACCTTCAAAGCTATTCAAATATCCACTTGCAGATTCTACAAAAAGAGTGTTTCCAAAATGTTGTATCAAAAGAAAGGTTCAACTCTGTTAGTTGAGGACACACATCGCAAATAAGTTTCTGAGAATGCTTCTGTCTAGTTTTTATTTGAAGATATTTCCTTTCTCACCATAGGCCTGAAAGCGTTTGAAATGTCCGTTTGCAGATACTACAGAAAGAGTGTTTCAAACATGCTCTATGAAAGGGAATGTTCAGTTCTGTGACGTGAATGCAAACATCACAAAGAAGTTCCTGAGAATGCTTCTCCCTAGATTTTATATGTAATCCCGTTTCCAACGAAATCCTCAAAGCTATCCAAATATCCACTTTCAGATTCCACAAAAAGAGTGTTTCAAAACTGCTCTGTAAAAAGAAAGGTTCATCTCTGTTAGTTGAATATACACATCACAAACAAGTTTCTGAGAATGATTCTGTCTAGTTTTTATGGGAAGATATTTCCTTTTTCATCATAGGCCTCAAAGCGCTCCAAATGTCCACTTCCAGGTAGTGCAGAAAGAGTGTCTCAAACCTGGTATATAACAGGGAACATTCTACTCTGTGACTTGAATGAAAACATCACAAAGCAGTTTCTGAGAATGCTTCCGTCTAGATTTTATATGAAGATATTCCCGTTTCCAACGAAACCTTCAAAGCTATCCGAATATCCACCTGCAGATTCTATAAAAAGAGTGTTTCCAAAATGCCGTATCAAAACAAAGGTTCAACTCTGTTAGTTGAGAACACACATCGCAAATAAGTTTCTGAGAATGCTTCTGTCTAGTTTTTACTTGAAGATATTTCCTTTCTCACCATAGGCCTGAAAGCGCTTGAAACGTCAGCTTGCAGATACTACAGAAAGAGTGTTTCAAACCTGCTCTATGAAAGGGAATGTTCAGTTCTCTGACTTGAATGCAAACATCACAAAGAAGTTCCTGAGAATGCTTCTCTCTAGGTTTTATATGTAATCCCGTTTCCAACGAAATCCTCAAAGCTATCCAAATATCCACTTTCAGATTCCACAGAAAGAGTGTTTCAAAACTGCTCTGTAAAAAGAAAGGTTCATCTCTGTTAGTTGAATACACACATCACAAACAAGTTTCTGAGAATGCTTCTGTCTAGTTTTTATGGGAAGATATTTCCTTTTTCAACATAGGCCTCAAAGCGCTCCAAATGTCCACTTCCAGGTAGTGCAGAAAGAATGTTTCAAACCTGCTCTATAAAAGGGAACATTCTACTCTGTGACTTGAATGAAAACATCACAAAGCAGTTTCTGAGAATGCTTCCGTTTAGATTTTATATGAAGATATTCCCGTTTCCAAGGAAATCTTCCTAGCTATCTAAATATCAACTTGCAGATTCTACTAAAGGAATGTTTCCAAAATGCTGTATCCAGACAAAGGTTCAACTCTGTTAATTGAGGACATACAGCACAAAGAAGTTTCTGAGAATGCTTCTGTCTAGATTTTATATGAAGATATCCCGTGTCCAACGAAATCCTCAAAGGTATCAAAATATCCACTTGCAGATTCTACAAAAAGAGTGCTTCAAAACTGCTCTGTCAAAAGGAAGGTTCAACTCTGTTACTTGAGTACACACATCACAAGGAAGTTTCTGAGAATGCTTCTGTCTGGTTTTTAGGAGAAGATATTTCCTTTTTCAACATAGGCCTCAAAGCGCTGCAAATGTCCACTTCCAAATATTACAAAAAGAGTGTTTCAAACCTGCTGTATGAAGGGAAGTGTTCAACTCTATGAGTTGAATGCAAACATCACAGAGAAGTTTCTGAGAATGCTTCCGTCTAGATTTTATATGAAGATATTCCCGTTTCCAACGAAACCTTCAAAGCTATCCGAATATCCACCTGCAGATTCTACAAAAAGAGTGTTTCCAAAATGCCGTATCAAAACAAAGTTTCAACTCTGTTAGTTGAGAACACACATGGCAAATAAGTTTCTGAGAATGCTTCTGTCTAGTTTTTATTTGAAGATATTTCCTTTCTCACCACAGGCCTGAAAGCGCTTAAAACGTCCGCTTGCAGATACTACGGAAAGAGTGTTTCAAACCTGATCTATGAAAGGGAATGTTCAGTTCTGTGACTTGAATGCAAACATCACAAAGAAGTTCCTGAGAATGCTTCTGTCTATATTTTATATGAAGATATCCCGTTTCCAAAGAAATCCTCAAAGATATCCAAATATCTACTTCCAGATTCTACAAAAAGACTGTTTCAAAACGGCTCTGTCAAAAGGAAGGTTCAACTCTGTTACTTGAGTACACACATCACAAGGAAGTTTCTGAGAATGCTTCTGTCTGGTTTTTAGGAGAAGATATTTCCTTTTTCAACATAGGCCTCAAAGAGCTGCAAATGTCCACTTCCAAATATTACAAAAAGAGTGTTTCAAATCTGCTCTATGAAGGGAAGTGTTCAACTCTATGAGTTGAATGCAAACATCACAGAGAAGTTTCTGAGAATGCTTCTGTCTTGATTTTATATGAAGATATTCCCGTTTCCAACGAAACCTTCAAAGCTATCCAAATATCCACTTGCAGATTCTACAAAAAGAGTGTTTCCAAAATGTTGTATCAAAACAAAGGTTCAACTCTGTTAGTTGAGGACACACATCGCAAATAAGTTTCTGAGAATGCTTCTGTCTAGTTTTTATTTGAAGATATTTCCTTTCTTACCATAGGCCTGAAAGCGCTTGAAATGTCCGTTTGCAGATACTACAGAAAGAGTGTTTCAAACATGCTCTATGAAAGGGAATGTTCAGTTCTGTGACGTGAATGCAAACATCACATAGAAGTTCCTGAGAATGCTTCTGTCTAGATTTTATATGAAGATATCCCGTTTCCAAAGAAATCCTCAAAGGTATCCAAATATCTACTTCCAGATTCTACAAAAAGACTGTTTCAAAACGGCTCTGTCAAAAGTAAGGTTCAACTCTCTTACTTGAGTACACACATCACAAGGAAGTTTCTGAGAATGCTTCTGTCTAGTTTTTATGGGAAGATATTTCCTTTTTCATCATAGGCCTCAAAGCGCTGCAAATGTCCACTTCTAAATATTACAAAAAGAGTGTTTCAAACCTGTTGTATGAAGGGAAGTGTTCAACTCTATGAGTTGAATGCAAACATCACAGAGAAGTTTCTGAGAATGCTTCTGTGTTGATTTTATATGAAGATATTCCCGTTTCCAACGAAACCTTCAAAGCTATCCAAATATCCACTTGCAGATTCTACAAAAAGAGTGGTTCCAAAATGTTGTATCAAAAGAAAGGTTCAACTCTGTTAGTTGAGGACACACATCGCAAATGAGTTTCTGAGAATGCTTCTGTCTAGTTTTTATTTGAAGATATTTCCTTTCTCACCATAGGCCTGAAAGCGTTTGAAATGTCCGTTTGCAGATACTACAGAAAGAGTGTTTCAAACATGCTCTATGAAAGGGAATGTTCAGTTCTGTGATTTGAATGCAAACATCACAAAGAAGTTCCTGAGAATGCTTCTCCCTAGATTTTATATGTAATCCCGTTTCCAACGAAATCCGCAAAGCTATCCAAATATCCACTTTCAGATTCCACAAAAAGAGTGTTTCAAAACTGCTCTGTAAAAAGAAAGGTTCATCTCTGTTAGTTGAATACACACATCACAAACAAGTTTCTGAGAATGCTTCTGTCTAGTTTTTATGGGAAGATATTTCCTTTTTCATCATAGGCCTCAAAGCGCAGCAAATGTCCACTTCCAGGTAGTGCAGAAAGAGTGTCTCAAACCTGGTATATAACAGGGAACATTCTACTCTGTGACTTGAATGAAAACATCACAAAGCAGTTTCTGAGAATGCTTCCGTCTAGATTTTATATGAAGATATTCCCGTTTCCAACGAAACCTTCAAAGCTATCCGAATATCCACCTGCAGATTCTACAAAAAGAGTGTTTCCAAAATGCCATATCAAAACAAAGGTTCAACTCTGTTAGTTGAGAACACACATCGCAAATAAGTTTCTGAGAATGCTTTCTGTCTAGTTTTTACTTGAAGATATTTCCTTTCTCACCATAGGCCTGAAAGCGCTTGAAACGTCAGCTTGCAGATACTACAGAAAGAGTGTTTCAAACCTGCTCTATGAAAGGGAATGTTCAGTTCTGTGACTTGAATGCAAACATCACAAAGAAGTTCCTGAGAATGCTTCTCCCTAGATTTTATATGTAATCCCGTTTCCAACGAAATCCTCAAAGCTATCCAAATATCCACTTTCAGATTCCACAAAAAGAGTGTTTCAAAACTGCTCTGTAAAAAGAAAGGTTAATCTCTGTTAGTTGAATGCACACATCACAAACAAGTTTCTGAGAATGCTTCTGTCTAGTTTTTATGGGAAGATATTTCCTTTTTCAACATACGCATCAAAGCGCTCCAAATGTCCACTTCCAGGTAGGGCACAGAGTGTTTCAAACCTGCTCTATGAAAGGAAGTGTTCAACTCTATGACTTGAATGCAAGCATCACAGAGAAGTTTCTGAGAATGCTTCCGTCTAGATTTTATAGGAAGATATTCCCGTTTCCAACGAAACCTTCAAAGCTATCCGAATATCCACCTGCAGATTCTACAAAAAGAGTGTTTCCAAAATGCCATATCAAAACAAAGGTTCAACTCTGTTAGTTGAGAACACACATCGCAAATAAGTTTCTGAGAATGCTTCTGTCTAGTTTTTACTTGAAGATATTTCCTTTGTCACCATAGGCCTGAAAGCGCTTGAAACGTCAGCTTGCAGATACTACAGAAAGAGTGTTTCAAACCTGCTCTATGAAAGGGAATGTTCAGTCCTGTGACTTGAAGGCAAACATCACAAAGAAGTTCCTGAGAATGCTTCTGTCTAGATTTTATATGAAGATATCCCGTTTCCAAAGAAATCCTCAAAGGTATCCTAATATCTACTTCCAGATTCTACAAAAAGACTGTTTCAAAACGGCTCTGTCAAAAGTAAGGTTCAACTCTGTTACTTGAGTACACACATCACAAGGAAGTTTCTGAGAATGCTTCTGTCTTGTTTTTAGGAGAAGATATTTCCTTTTTCAACATAGGCCTCAAAGCGCTGCAAATGTCCACTTCCAAATATTACAAAAAGAGTGTTTCAAACCTGCTCTATGAAGGGAAGTGTTCAACTCTATGAGTTGAATGCAAACATCACAGAGAAGTTTCTGAGAATGTTTCCGTCTAGATTTTATATGAAGATATTCCCGTTTCCAAGGAAATCTTCCTAGCTATCTAAATATCAACTTGCAGATTCTACTAAAGGAATGTTTCCAAAATGCTGTATCCACACAAAGTTTCAACTCTGTTAATTGAGGACATACAGCACAAAGAAGTTTCTGAGAATGCTTCTGTCTAGATTTTATATGAAGATATCCCGTGTCTAACGAAATCCTCAAAGGTATCAAAATATCCACTTGCAGATTCTACAAAAAGAGTGCTTCAAAACTGCTCTGTCAAAATGAAGGTTCAACTCTGTTACTTGAGTACACACATCACAAGAAAGATTCTGAGAATGCTTCTGTCTGGTTTTTAGGAGAAGATATCTCCTTTTTCACCATAGGCTTCAAAGCGCTGCCAATGTCCACTTCCAAATATTACAAAAAGAGTATTTCAAACCAGCTCTATGAAAGGAAGTGTTCAACTCTATGAGTTGAATGCAAACATCACAGAGAAGTTTCTGAGAATGCTTCTGTCTTGATTTTATATGAAGATATTCCCGTTTCCAAAGAAACCTTCAAAGCTATCCAAATATCCACCTGCAGATCCTACAAAAAGAGTGTTTCCAAAATGCTGTATCAAAACAAAGGTTCAACTCTGTTAGCTGAGAACACACATCGCAAATAAGTTTCTGAGAATGCTTCTGTCTAGTTTTTATTTGAAGATATTTCCTTTTTCACCACAGGCCTGAAAGCGCTTGAAACGTCCACTTGCAGATACTACAGAAAGAGTGTTTCAAACCTGCTCTATGAAAGGGAATGTTCAGTTCTGTGACTTGAATGCAAACATCACAAAGAAGTTCCTGAGAATGCTTCTCTCTAGATTTTATATGTAATCCCGTTTCCAACGAAATCCTCAAAGCTATCCAAATATCCACTTTCAGATTCCACAAAAAGAGTGTTTCAAAACTGCTCTGTAAAAAGAAAGGTTCATCTCTGTTAGTTGAATACACACATCACAAACAAGTTTCTGAGAATGCTTCTGTCTAGTTTTTATGGGAAGATATTTCCTTTTTCAACATAGGCCTCAAAGCGCTCCAAACGTCCACTTCCAGGTAGTGCAGAAAGAGTGTCTCAAACCTGGTATATAACAGGGAACATTCTACTCTGTGACTTGAATGAAAACATCACAAAGCAGTTTCTGAGAATGCTTCCGTCTAGATTTTATATGAAGATATTCCCGTTTCCAACGAAACCTTCAAAGCTATCCGAATATCCACCTGCAGATTCTACAAAAAGAGTGTTTCCAAAATGCCGTATCCACACAAAGGTTCAACTCTGTTAGTTGAGAACACACATGGCAAATAAGTTTCTGAGAATGCTTGTGTCTAGTTTTTGCTTGAAGATATTTCCTTTCTCACCATAGGCCTGAAAGCGCTTGAAACGTCAGCTTGCAGATACTACAGAAAGAGTGTTTCAAACCTGCTCTATGAATGGGAATGTTCAGTTCTGTGACTTGAATGCAAACATCACAAAGAAGTTCCTGAGAATGCTTCTCTCTAGATTTTATATGTAATCTCGTTTCCAACGAAATCCTCAAAGCTATCCAAATATCCACTTTCAGATTCCATAAAAAGAGTGTTTCAAAACTGCTCTGTAAAAAGAAAGGTTCATCTCTGTTAGTTGAATACACACATCACAAACAAGTTTCTGAGAATGCTTCTGTCTAGTTTTTATGGGAAGATATTTCCTTTTTCATCATAGGCCTCAAAGCGCTCCAAATGTCCACTTCCAGGTAGTGCAGAAAGAGTGTCTCAAACCTGGTATATAACAGGGAACATTCTACTCTGTGACTTGAATGAAAACATCACAAAGCAGTTTCTGGGAATGCTTCTGTCTTGATTTTATATGAAGATATTCCCGTTTCCAACGAAACCTTCAAAGCTATTCAAATATCCACTTGCAGATTTTACAAAAAGAGTGTTTCCAAAATGTTGCATCAAAAGAAAGGTTCAACTCTGTTAGTTGAGGACACAAATCGCAAATAAGTTTCTGAGAATGCTTCTGTCTAGTGTTTACTTGAAGATATTTCCTTTCTCACCATAGGCCTGAAAGCGTTTGAAATGTCCGTTTGCAGATACTACAGAAAGAGTGTTTCAAACATGCTCTATGAAAGGGAATGTTCAGTTCTGTGACGTGAATGCAAACATCACAAAGGAGTTCCTGAGAATGCTTCTCTCTAGGTTTTATATGTAATCCCGTTTCCAACGAAATCCGCAAAGCTATCCAAATATCCACTTTCAGATTCCACAAAAAGAGTGTTTCAAAACTGCACTGTAAAAAGAAAGGTTCATCTCTGTTAGTTGAATACACACATCACAAACAAGTTTCTGAGAATGCTTCTGTCTAGTTTTTATGGGAAGATATTACCTTTTTCATCATAGGCCTCAAAGCGCTGCAAATGTCCACTTCCAAATATTACAAAAAGAGTGTTTCAAACCTGCTGTATGAAGGGAAGTGTTCAACTCTATGAGTTGAATGCAAACATCACAGAGAAGTTTCTGAGAATGCTTCTGTCTTGATTTTATATGAAGATATTCCCGTTTCCAACGAAACCTTCAAAGCTATTCAAATATCCACTTGCAGATTCTACAAAAAGAGTGTTTCCAAAATGTTGTATCAAAAGAAAGGTTCAACTCTGTTAGTTGAGGACACACATCGCAAATAAGTTTCTGAGAATGCTTCTGTCTAGTTTTTACTTGAAGATATTTCCTTTCTCACCATAGGCCTGAAAGCGTTTGAAATGTCCGTTTGCAGATACTACAGAAAGAGTGTTTCAAACATGCTCTATGAAAGGGAATGTTCAGTTCTGTGACGTGAATGCAAACATCACAAAGAAGTTCCTGAGAATGCTTCTCTCTAGATTTTATATGTAATCCCGTTTCCAACGAAATCCTCAAAGCTATCCAAATATCCACTTTCAGATTCCACAAAAAGAGTGTTTCAAAACTGCTCTGTAAAAAGAAAGGTTCATCTCTGTTAGTTGAATACACACATCACAAACAAGTTTCTGAGAATGCTTCTGTCTAGTTTTTATGGGAAGATATTTCCTTTTTCAACATAGGCCTCAAAGCGCTCCAAACGTCCACTTCCAGGTAGTGCAGAAAGAGTGTCTCAAACCTGGTATATAACAGGGAACATTCTACTCTGTGACTTGAATGAAAACATCACAAAGCAGTTTCTGAGAATGCTTCCGTCTAGATTTTATATGAAGATATTCCCGTTTCCAACGAAACCTTCAAAGCTATCCGAATATCCACCTGCAGATTCTACAAAAAGAGTGTTTGCAAAATGCCGTATCAAAACAAAGGTTCAACTCTGTTAGTTGAGAACACACATGGCAAATAAGTTTCTGAGAATGCTTCTGTCTAGTTTTTACTTGAAGATATTTCCTTTCTCACCATAGGCCTGAAAGCGCTTGAAACGTCAGCTTGCAGATACTACAGAAAGAGTGTTTCAAACCTGCTCTATGAAAGGGAATGTTCAGTCCTGTGACTTGAAGGCAAACATCACAAAGAAGTTCCTGAGAATGCTTCTGTCTAGATTTTATATGAAGATATCCCGTGTCCAACGAAATCCTCAAAGGTATCAAAATATCCCCTTGCAGATTCTACAAAAAGAGTGCTTCAAAACTGCTCTGTCAAAATGAAGGTTCAACTCTGTTACTTGAGTACACACATCACAAGAAAGATTCTGAGAATGCTTCTGTCTAGTTTTTATGGGAAGATATTTCCTTTTTCATCATAGGCCTCAAAGCGCTCCAAATGTCCACTTCCAGATACTGCAGAAAGAGTGTCTCAAACCTGGTATATAAAAGGGAACATTCTACTCTGTGACTTGAATGAAAACATCACAAAGCAGTTTCTGAGAATGCTTCCGTCTAGATTTTATATGAAGATATTCCCGTTTCCAAGGAAATCTTCCTAGCTATCTAAATATCAACTTGCAGATTCTACTAAAGGAATGTTTCCAAAATGCTGTATCCACACAAAGGTTCAACTCTGTTAATTGAGGACATACAGCACAAAGAAGTTTCTGAGAATGCTTCTGTCTAGATTTTATATGAAGATATCCCGTGTCCAACGAAATCCTCAAAGGTATCAAAATATCCACTTGCAGATTCTACAAAAAGAGTGCTTCAAAACTGCTCTGTCAAAAGGAAGGTTCAACTCTGTTACTTGAGTACACACATCACAAGGAAGTTTCTGAGAATGCTTCTGTCTGGTTTTTAGGAGAAGATATTTCCTTTTTCAACATAGGCCTCAAAGCGCTGCAAATGTCCACTTCCAAATATTACAAAAAGAGTGTTTCAAACCTGCTGTATGAAGGGAAGTGTTCAACTCTATGAGTTGAATGCAAACATCACAGAGAAGTTTCTGAGAATGCTTCTGTCTTGATTTTATATGAAGATATTCCCGTTTCCAACGAAACCTTCAAAGCTATGCAAATATCCACTTGCAGATTCTACAAAAAGAGTGTTTCCAAAATGTTGTATCAAAAGAAAGGTTCAACTCTGTTAGTTGAGGACACACATCGCAAATAAGTTTCTGAGAATGCTTCTGTCTAGTTTTTATTTGAAGATATTTCCTTTCTCACCATAGGCCTGAAAGCGTTTGAAATGTCCGTTTGCAGATACTACAGAAAGAGTGTTTCAAACATGCTCTATGAAAGGGAATGTTCAGTTCTGTGACGTGAATGCAAACATCACAAAGAAGTTCCTGAGAATGCTTCTCTCTAGATTTTATATGTAATCCCGTTTCCAACGAAATCCTCAAAGCTATCCAAATATCCACTTTCAGATTCCACAAAAAGAGTGTTTCAAAACTGCTCTGTAAAAAGAAAGGTTCATCTCTTGTTAGTTGAATACACACATCACAAACAAGTTTCTGAGAATGCTTCTGTCTAGTTTTTATGGGAAGATATTTCCTTTTTCATCATAGGCCTCAAAGCGCTCCAAATGTCCACTTCCAGATAGTGCAGAAAGAGTGTCTCAAACCTGGTATATAAAAGGGAACATTCTACTCTGTGACTTGAATGAAAACATCACAAAGCAGTTTCTGAGAATGCTTCCGTCTAGATTTAATATGAAGATATTCCCGTTTCCAACGAAACCTTCAAAGCTATCCGAATATCCAACTGCAGATTCTACAAAAAGAGTGTTTCCAAAATGCCGTATCAAAACAAAGGTTCAACTCTGTTAGTTGAGAACACACATGGCAAATAAGTTTCTGAGAATGCTTCTGTCTAGTTTTTACTTGAAGATATTTCCTTTCTCACCATAGGCCTGAAAGCGCTTGAAACGTCCGCTTGCAGATACTACAGAAAGAGTGTTTCAAACATGCTCTATGAAAGGGAATGTTCAGTTCTGTGACTTGAATGCAAACATCACAAAGAAGTTCCTGAGAATGCTTCTCTCTAGATTTTATATGTAATCCCGTTTCCAACGAAATCCTCAAAGCTATCCAAATATCCACTTTCAGATTCCACAAAAAGAGTGTTTCAAAACTGCTCTGTAAAAAGAAAGGTTCATCTCTGTTAGTTGAATACACACATCACAAACAAGTTTCTGAGAATGCTTCTGTCTAGTTTTTATGGGAAGATATTTCCTTTTTCATCATAGGCCTCAAAGCGCTCCAAATGTCCACTTCCAGGTAGTGCAGAAAGAGTGTCTCAAACCTGGTATATAACAGGGAACATTCTACTCTGTGACTTGAATGAAAACATCACGAAGCAGTTTCTGAGAATGCTTCCGTCTAGATTTTATATGAAGATATTCCCGTTTCCAACGAAACCTTCAAAGCTATCCGAATATCCACCTGCAGATTCTACAAAAAGAGTGTTTCCATAATGCCATATCAAAACAAAGGTTCAACTCTGTTAGTTGAGAACACACATCGCAAATAAGTTTCTGAGAATGCTTCTGTCTAGATTTTATATGAAGATATCCCGTGTCCAACGAAATCCTCAAAGGTATCAAAATATCCACTTGCAGATTCTACAAAAAGAGTGCTTCAAAACTGCTCTGTCAAAAGGAAGGTTCAACTCTGTTACTTGAGTACACACATCACAAGGAAGTTTCTGAGAATGCTTCCTGTCTGGTTTTTAGGAGAAGATATTTCCTTTTTCAACATAGGCCTCAAAGCGCTGCAAATGTCCACTTCCAAATATTAGAAAAAGAGTGTTTCAAACCTGCTGTATGAAGGGAAGTGTTCAACTCTATGAGTTGAATGCAAACATCACAGAGAAGTTTCTGAGAATGCTTCCGTCTAGATTTTATATGAAGATATTCCCGTTTCCAACGAAACCTTCAAAGCTATCCGAATATCCACCTGCAGATTCTACAAAAAGAGTGTTTCCAAAATGCCGTATCAAAACATAGGTTCAACTCTGTTAGTTGAGAACACACATGGCAAATAAGTTTCTGGGAATGCTTCTGTCTAGTTTTTACTTGAAGATATTTCCTTTCTCACCATAGGCCTGAAAGCGCTTGAAACGTCCGCTTGCAGATACTACAGAAAGAGTGTTTCAAACATGCTCTATGAAAGGGAATGTTCAGTTCTGTGACTTGAATGCAAACATCACAAAGAAGTTTTTTGAATGCTTCTCCCTAGATTTTATATGTAATCCCGTTTCCAACGAAATCCGCAAAGCTATCCAAATATCCACTTTCAGATTCCACAAAAAGAGTGTTTCAAAACTGCTCTGTAAAAAGAAAGGTTCATCTCTGTTAGTTGAATACACACATCACAAACAAGTTTCTGAGAATGCTTCTGTCTAGTTTTTATGGGAAGATATTTCCTTTTTCATCATAGGCCTCAAAGCGCTGCAAATGTCCACTTCCAAATATTACAAAAAGAGTGTTTCAAACCTGCTGTATGAAGGGAAGTGTTCAACTCTATGAGTTGAATGCAAACATCACAGAGAAGTTTCTGAGAATGCTTCTGTCTTGATTTTATATGAAGATATTCCCGTTTCCAACGAAACCTTCAAAGCTATTCAAATATCCACTTGCAGATTCTACAAAAAGAGTGTTTCCAAAATGTTGTATCAAAAGAAAGGTTCAACTCTGTTAGTTGAGGACACACATCGCAAATAAGTTTCTGAGAATGCTTCTGTCTAGTTTTTATTTGAAGATATTTCCTTTCTCACCATAGGCCTGAAAGCGTTTGAAATGTCCGTTTGCAGATACTACAGAAAGAGTGTTTCAAACATGCTCTATGAAAGGGAATGTTCAGTTCTGTGACGTGAATGCAAACATCACAAAGAAGTTCCTGAGAATGCTTCTCTCTAGATTTTATATGTAATCCCGTTTCCAACGAAATCCTCAAAGCTATCCAAATATCCACTTTCAGATTCCACAAAAAGAGTGTTTCAAAACTGCTCTGTAAAAAGAAAGGTTCAACTCTGTTAGTTGAATACACACATCACAAACAAGTTTCTGAGAATGCTTCTATCTAGTTTCTATGGGAAGATATTTCCTTTTTCAACATGGGCCTCAAAGCGCTCCAAATGTCCACTTCCAGGTAGTGCACTGAGTGTTTCAAACCTGCTCTATAAAAGGGAACATTCTACTCTGTGACTTGAATGAAGACATCACAAAGCAGTTTCTGAGAATGCTTCCGTCTAGATTTTATGTGAAGATATTCCCGTTTCCAAGGAAATCTTCCTAGCTATATATATATCAACTAGCAGATTCTACTAAAGGAGTGTTTCCAAAATGCTGTATCCACACAAAGGTTCAACTCTGTTAATTGAGGACATACAGCACAAAGAAGTTTCTGAGAATGCTTCTGTCTAGATTTTATATGAAGATATCCCGTTTCCAAAGAAATCCTCAAAGGTGTCCAAATATCTACTTCCAGATTCTACAAAAAGACTGTTTCAAAACGGCTCTGTCAAAGGTAAGGTTCAACTCTGTTACTTGAGTACACACATCACAAGGAAGTTTCTGAGAATGCTTCTGTCTGGTTTTTAGGAGAAGATATTTCCTTTTTCAACATAGGCCTCAAAGCGCTGCAAATGTCCACTTCCAAATATTACAAAAAGAGTGTTTCAAACCTGCTCTATGAAGGGAAGTGTTCAACTCTATGAGTTGAATGCAAACATCACAGAGAAGTTTCTGAGAATGCTTCTGTCTTGATTTTATATGAAGATATTCCCGTTTCCAACGAAACCTTCAAAGCTATCCAAATATCCACTTGCAGATTCTACAAAAAGAGTGTTTCCAAAATGTTGTATCAAAACAAAGGTTCAACTCTGTTAGTTGAGGACACACATCGCAAATAAGTTTCTGAGAATGCTTCTGTCTAGTTTTTATTTGAAGATATTTCCTTAATTACCATAGGACTGAAAGCGCTTGAAATGTCCGTTTGCAGATACTACAGAAAGAGTGTTTCAAACATGCTCTATGAAAGGGAATGTTCAGTTCTGTGACGTGAATGCAAACATCACAAAGAAGTTCCTGAGAATGCTTCTCTCTAGATTTTATATGTAATCCCGTTTCCAACGAAATCCTCAAAGCTATCCAAATATCCACTTTCAGATTCCACAAAAAGAGTGTTTCAAAACTGCTCTGTAAAAAGAAAGGTTCATCTCTGTTAGTTGAATACACACATCACAAACAAGTTTCTGAGAATGCTTCTGTCTAGTTTTTATGGGAAGATATTTCCTTTTTCATCATAGGCCTCAATGCGCTCCAAATGTCCACTTCCAGATAGTGCAGAAAGAGTGTCTCAAACCTGGTATATAAAAGGGAACATTCTACTCTGTGACTTCAATGAAAACATCACAAAGCAGTTTCTGAGAATGCTTCCGTCTAGATTTTCTATGAAGATATTCCCGTTTCCAACGAAACCTTCAAAGCTATCCGAATATCCACCTGCAGATTCTACAAAAAGAGTGTTTCCAAAATGCCGTATCAAAACAAAGGTTCAACTCTGTTAGTTGAGAACACACATGGCAAATAAGTTTCTGAGAATGCTTCTGTCTAGTTTTTACTTGAAGATATTTCCTTTCTCACCATAGGCCTGAAAGCGCTTGAAACGTCCGCTTGCAGATACTACAGAAAGAGTGTTTCAAACATGCTCTATGAAAGGGAATGTTCAGTTCTGTGACTTGAATGCAAACATCACAAAGAAGTTCCTGAGAATGCTTCTCTCTAGATTTTATATGTAATCCCGTTTCCAACGAAATCCTCGAAGCTATCCAAATATCCACTTTCAGATTCCACAAAAAGAGTGTTTCAAAACTGCTCTGTAAATAGAAAGGTTCATCTCTGTTAGTTGAATACACACATCACAAACAAGTTTCTGAGAATGCTTCTGTCTAGTTTTTATGGGAAGATATTTCCTTTTTCAACATAGGCCACAAAGCGCTCCAAATGTCCACTTCCAGATAGTGCAGAAAGTGTGTCTCAAACCTGGTATATAAAAGGGAACATTCTACTCTGTGACTTGAATGAAAACATCACAAAGCAGTTTTCTGAGAGTGCTTCCGTCTAGATTTTATATGAAGATATTCCCGTTTCCAAGGAAATCTTCCTAGCTATCTAAATATCAACTTGCAGATTCTACTAAAGGAATGTTTCCAAAATGCTGTATCCACACAAAGGTTCAACTCTGTTAATTGAGGACAGACAGCACAAAGAAGTTTCTGAGAATGCTTCTGTCTAGATTTTATATGAAGATATCCCGTGTCCAACGAAATCCTCAAAGGTATCAAAATATCCACTTGCAGATTCCACAAAAAGACTGCTTCAAAACTGCTCTGTCAAAAGGAAGGTTCAACTCTGTTACTTGAGTACACACATCACAAGGAAGTTTCTGAGAATGCTTCTGTCTGGTTTTTAGGAGAAGATATTTCCTTTTTCAACATAGGCCTCAAAGCGCTGCAAATGTCCACTTCCAAATATTACAAAAAGAGTGTTTCAAACCTGCTGTATGAAGGGAAGTGTTCAACTCTATGAGTTGAATGCAAACATCACAGAGAAGTTTCTGAGAATGCTTCTGTCTTGATTTTATATGAAGATATTCCCGTTTCCAACGAAACCTTCAAAGCTATCCAAATATCCACTTGCAGATTCTACAAAAAGAGTGTTTCCAAAATGTTGTATCAAAAGAAAGGTTCAACTCTGTTAGTTGAGGACACACATCGCAAATAAGTTTCTGAGAATGCTTCTGTCTAGTTTTTATTTGAAGATATTTCCTTTCTCACCATAGGCCGGAAAGCGTTTGAAATGTCCGTTTGCAGATACTACAGAAAGAGTGTTTCAAACATGCTCTATGAAAGCGAATGTTCAGTTCTGTGACGTGAATGCAAACATCACAAAGAAGTTCCTGAGAATGCTTCTCTCTAGGTTTTATATGTAATCCCGTTTCCAACGAAATCCTCAAAGCTATCCAAATATCCACTTTCAGATTCCACAAAAAGAGTGTTTCAAAACTGCTCTGTAAAAAGAAAGGTTCATCTCTGTTAGTTGAATACACACATCACAAACAAGTTTCTGAGAATGCATCTGTCTAGTTTTTATGGGAAGATATTTCCTTTTTCATCATAGGCCTCAAAGCGCTGCAAATGTCCACTTCCAGGTAGTGCAGAAAGAGTGTCTGAAACCTGGTATATAACAGGGAAGATTCTACTCTGTGACTTGAATGAAAACATCACAAAGCAGTTTCTGAGAATGCTTCCGTCTAGATTTTATGTGAAGATATTCCCGTTTCCAAGGAAATCTTCCTAGCTATCTAAATATCAACTTGCAGATTCTACTAAAGGAATGTTTCCAAAATGCTGTATCCACACAAAGGTTCAACTCTGTTAATTGAGGACATACAGCACAAAGAAGTTTCCGAGAATGCTTCTGTCTAGTTTTTACTTGAAGATATTTCCTTTCTCACCATAGGCCTGAAAGCGCTTGAAACGTCAGCTTGCAGATACTACAGAAAGAGTGTTTCAAACCTGCTCTATGAAAGGGAATGTTCAGTCCTGTGACTTGAAGGCAAACATCACAAAGAAGTTCCTGAGAATGCTTCTCTCTAGATTTTATATGTAATCCCGTTTCCAACGAAATCCTCAAAGGTATCCAAATATCCACTTTCAGATTCCACAAAAAGAGTGTTTCAAAACTGCTGTGAAAAGAAAGATTCATCTCTGTTAGTTGAATACACACATCACAAACAAGTTTCTGAGAATGCTTCTGTCTAGTTTTTATGGGAAGATATTTCCTTTTTCAGCATAGGCCTCAAAGCGCTCCAAATGTCCACTTCCATGTAGTGCACAGAGTGTTTCAAACCTGTTCTATAAAAGGGAACATTCTACTCTGTGACATGAATGAAAATATCTCAAAGCAGTTTCTGAGAATGCTTCCCTCTAGATTTTATATGAAGATATTCCCGTTTCCAAGGAAATCTTCCTAGCTATCTAAATATCAACTTGCAGATTCTACTAAAGGAATGTTTCCAAAATGCTGTATCCACACAAAGGTTCAACTCTGTTAATTGAGGACATACAGCACAAAGAAGTTTCTGAGAATGCTTCTGTCTAGATTTTATATGAAGATATCCCGTGTCCAACGAAATCCTCAAAGGTATCAAAATATCCACTTGCAGATTCTACAAAAAGAGTGCTTCAAAACTGCTCTGTCAAAAGGAAGGTTCAACTCTGTTACTTGAGTACACACATCACAAGGAAGTTTCTGAGAATGCTTCTGTCTGGTTTTTAGGAGAAGATATTTCCTTTTTCAACATAGGCCTCAAAGCGCTGCAAATGTCCACTTCCAAATATTAGAAAAAGAGTGTTTCAAACCTGCTGTATGAAGGGAAGTGTTCAACTCTATGAGTTGAATGCACACATCACAGAGAAGTTTCTGAGAATGCTTCTGTCTTGATTTTATATGAAGATATTCCCGTTTCCAACGAAATCTTCAAAGCTATCCAAATATCCACTTGCAGATTCTACAAAAAGAGTGCTTCCAAAATGTTGTATCAAAAGAAAGGTTCAACTCTGTTAGTTGAGGACACACATCGCAAATAAGTTTCTGAGAATGCTTCTGTCTAGTTTTTATTTGAAGATATTTCCTTTCTTACCATAGGCTTGAAAGCGCTTGAAATGTCCGTTTGCAGATACTACAGAAAGAGTGTTTCAAACATGCTCTATGAAAGGGAATGTTAAGTTCTGTGACGTGAATGCAAACATCACAAAGAAGTTCCTGAGAATGCTTCTCTCTAGATTTTATATGTAATCCCGTTTCCAACGAAATCCTCAAAGCTATCCAAATATCCACTTTCAGATTCCACAAAAAGAGTGTTTCAAAACTGCTCTGTAAAAAGAAAGGTTCATCTCTGTTAGTTGAATACACACATCACAAACAAGTTTCTGAGAATGCTTCTGTCTAGTTTTTATGGGAAGATATTACCTTTTTCATCATAGGCCTCAAAGCGCTGCAAATGTCCACTTCCAAATATTACAAAAAGAGTGTTTCAAACCTGCTGTATGAAGGGAAGTGTTCAACTCTATGAGTTGAATGCAAACATCACAGAGAAGTTTCTGAGAATGCTTCTGTCTTGATTTTATATGAAGATATTCCCGTTTCCAACGAAACCTTCAAAGCTATCCAAATATCCACTTGCAGATTCCACAAAAAGAGTGTTTCCAAAATGTTGTATCAAAAGAAAGGTTCAACTCTGTTAGTTGAGGACACACATCGCAAATAAGTTTCTGAGAATGCTTCTGTCTAGTTTTTACTTGAAGATATTTCCTTTCTCACCATAGGCCTGAAAGCGCTTGAAACGTCAGCTTGCAGATACTACAGAAAGAGTGTTTCAAACCTGCTCTATGAAAGGGAATGTTCAGTCCTGTGACTTGAAGGCAAACATCACAAAGAAGTTCCTGAGAATGCTTCTGTCTAGATTTTATATGAAGATATCCCGTGTCCAACGAAATCCTCAAAGGTATCAAAATATCCACTTGCAGATTCTACAAAAAGAGTGCTTCAAAACTGCTCTGTCAAAATGAATGTTCAACTCTGTTACTTGAGTACACACATCACAAGAAAGATTCTGAGAATGCTTCTGTCTAGTTTTTATGGGAAGATATTTCCTTTTTCAACATAGGCCTCAAAGCGCTCCAAATGTCCACTTCCAGGTAGTGCAGAAAGAGTGTTTCAAACCTACTCTATAAAAGGGAATATTCAACTCTGTGACTTGAATGCAAACATCACAAAGCACTTTCTGAGAATGCTTCCGTCTAGATTTTATATGAAGATATTCCCGTTTCCAAGGAAATCTTCCTAGCTATCTAAATATCAACTTGCAGATTCTACTAAAGGAATGTTTCCAAAATGCTGTATCCACACAAAGGTTCAACTCTGTTAATTGAGGACATACAGCACAAAGAAGTTTCTGAGAATGCTTCTGTCTAGATTTTATATGAAGATATCCCGTGTCCAACGAAATCCTCAAAGGTATCAAAATATCCACTTGCAGATTCTACAAAAAGAGTGCTTCAATACTGCTCTGTCAAAAGGAAGGCTCAACTCTGTTACTTGAGTACACACATCACAAGGAAGTTTCTGAGAATGCTTCCTGTCTGGTTTTTAGGAGAAGATATTTCCTTTTTCAACATAGGCCTCAAAGCGCTGCAAATGTCCACTTCCAAATATTAGAAAAAGAGTGTTTCAAACCTGCTGTATGAAGGGAAGTGTTCAACTCTATGAGTTGAATGCAAACATCACAGAGAAGTTTCTGAGAATGCTTCTGTCTTGATTTTATATGAAGATATTCCCGTTTCCAACGAAACCTTCAAAGCTATTCAAATATCCACTTGCAGATTCTACAAAAAGAGTGTTTCCAAAATGTTGTATCAAAAGAAAGGTTCAACTCTGTTAGTTGAGGACACACATCGCAAATAAGTTTCTGAGAATGCTTCTGTCTAGTTTTTATTTGAAGATATTTCCTTTCTCACCATAGGCCTGAAAGCGTTTGAAATGTCCGTTTGTAGATACTACAGAAAGAGTGTTTCAAACATGCTCTATGAAAGGGAATGTTCAGTTCTGTGACGTGAATGCAAACATCACAAAGAAGTTCCTGAGAATGCTTCTCTCTAGATTTTATATGTAATCCCGTTTCCAACGAAATCCTCAAAGCTATCCAAATATCCACTTTCAGATTCCACAAAAAGAGTGTTTCAAAACTGCTCTGTAAAAAGAAAGGTTCATCTCTGTTAGTTGAATACACACATCACAAACAAGTTTCTGAGAATGCTTCTGTCTAGTTTTTATGGGAAGATATTTCCTTTTTCATCATAGGCCTCAAAGCGCTGCAAATGTCCACTTCCAGGTAGTGCAGAAAGAGTGTCTCAAACCTGGTATATAACAGGGAACATTCTACTCTGTGACTTGAATGAAAACATCACAAAGCAGTTTCTGAGAATGCTTCCGTCTAGATTTTATATGAAGATATTCCCGTTTCCAACGAAACCTTCAAAGCTATCCGAATATCCACCTGCAGATTCTACAAAAAGAGTGTTTCCAAAATGCCATATCAAAACAAAGGTTCAACTCTGTTAGTTGAGAACACACATCGCAAATAAGTTTCTGAGAATGCTTCTGTCTAGTTTTTATTTGAAGATATTTCCTTTCTCACCACAGGCCTGAAAGCGCTTAAAACGTCCGCTTGCAGATACTACAGAAAGAGTGTTTCAAACATGCTCTATGAAAGGGAATGTTCAGTTCTGTGACTTGAATGCAAACATCACAAAGAAGTTCCTGAGAATGCTTCTCTCTAGGTTTTATATGTAATCCCGTTTCCAACGAAATCCGCAAAGCTATCCAAATATCCACTTTCAGATTCCACAAAAAGAGTGTTTCAAAACTGCTCTGTAAAAAGAAAGGTTCATCTGTGTTAGTTGAATACACACATCACAAACAAGTTTCTGAGAATGCTTCTGTCTAGTTTTTATGGGAAGATATTACCTTTTTCATCATAGGCCTCAAAGCGCTGCAAATGTCCACTTCCAAATATTACAAAAAGAGTGTTTCAAACCTGCTGTATGAAGGGAAGTGTTCAACTCTATGAGTTGAATGCAAACATCACAGAGAAGTTTCTGAGAATGCTTCTGTCTTGATTTTATATGAAGATATTCCCGTTTCCAACGAAACCTTCAAAGCTATTCAAATATCCACTTGCAGATTCTACAAAAAGAGTGTTTCCAAAATGTTGTATCAAAAGAAAGGTTCAACTCTGTTAGTTGAGGACACACATCGCAAATAAGTTTCTGAGAATGCTTCTGTCTAGTTTTTACTTGAAGATATTTCCTTTCTCACCATAGGCCTGAAAGCGTTTGAAATGTCCGTTTGCAGATACTACAGAAAGAGTGTTTCAAACATGCTCTATGAAAGGGAATGTTCAGTTCTGTGACGTGAATGCAAACATCACAAGAAGTTCCTGAGAATGCTTCTCTCTAGATTTTATATGTAATCCCGTTTCCAACGAAATCCTCAAAGCTATCCAAATATCCACTTTCAGATTCCACAAAAAGAGTGTTTCAAAACTGCTCTGTAAAAAGAAAGGTTCATCTCTGTTAGTTGAATACACACATCACAAACAAGTTTCTGAGAATGCTTCTGTCTAGTTTTTATGGGAAGATATTTCCTTTTTCAACATAGGCCTCAAAGCGCTCCAAACGTCCACTTCCAGGTAGTGCAGAAAGAGTGTCTCAAACCTGGTATATAACAGGGAACATTCTACTCTGTGACTTGAATGAAAACATCACAAAGCAGTTTCTGAGAATGCTTCCGTCTAGATTTTATATGAAGATATTCCCGTTTCCAAGGAAATCTTCCTAGCTATCTAAATATCAACTTGCAGATTCTACTAAAGGAATGTTTCCAAAATGCTGTATCCACACAAAGGTTCAACTCTGTTAATTGAGGACATACAGCACAAAGACGTTTCTGAGAATGCTTCTGTCTAGTTTTTACTTGAAGATATTTCCTTTCTCACCGTAGGCCTGAAAGCGCTTGAAACGTCAGCTTGCAGATACTACAGAAAGAGTGTTTCAAACATGCTCTATGAAAGGGAATGTTCAGTTCTGTGACGTGAATGCAAACATCACAAAGAAGTTCCTGAGAATGCTTCTCTCTAGGTTTTATATGTAATCCCGTTTCCAACGAAATCCTCAAACTATCCAAATATCCACTTTCAGATTCCACAAAAAGAGTGTTTCAAAACTGCTCTGTAAAAAGAAAGGTTCATCTCTGTTAGTTGAATACACACATCACAAACAAGTTTCTGAGAATGCTTCTGTCTAGTTTTTATGGGAAGATATTTCCTTTTTCAACATAGGCCTCAAAGCGCTCCAAATGTCCACTTCCAGGTAGTGCAGAAAGAGTGTTTCAAACCTGCTCTATAAAAGGGAATATTCAACTCTGTGACTTGAATGCAAACATCACAAAGCACTTTCTGAGAATGATTCCGTCTAGATTTTATATGAAGATATTCCCGTTTCCAAGGAAATCTTCCTAGCTATCTAAATATCAACTTGCAGATTCTACTAAAGGAATGTTTCCAAAATGCTGTATCCACACAAAGGTTCAACTCTGTTAATTGAGGACATACAGCACAAAGAAGTTTCTGAGAATGCTTCTGTCTAGTTTTTATTTGAAGATATTTCCTTTCTCACCACAGGCCTGAAAGCGCTTAAAACGTCCGCTTGCAGATACTACAGAAAGAGTGTTGCAAACCTGCTCTATGAAAGGGAATGTTCAGTTCTGTGACTTGAATGCAAACATCACAAAGAAGTTCCTGAGAGTGCTTCTCTCTAGATTTTATATGTAATCCCGTTTCCAACGAAATCCTCAAAGCTAACCAAATATCCAGTTTCAGATTCCACAAAAAGAGTGTTTCAAAACTGCTCTGTAAAAAGAAAGGTTCATCTCTGTTAGTTGAATACGCACATCACAAACAAGTTTCTGAGAATGCTTCTGTCTAGTTTTTATGGGAAGATATTTCCTTTTTCAACATAGGCCTCAAAGCGCTCCAAATGTCCACTTCCAGGTAGTGCACAGAGTGTTTCAAACCTGCTCTATGAAAGGTAGTGTTCAACTCTATGAGTTGAATGCAAACATCACAGAGAAGTTTCTGAGAATGCTTCCGTCTAGATTTTATATGAAGATATTCCCGTTTCCAAGGAAATCTTCCTAGCTATCTAAATATCAACTTGCAGATTCTACTAAAGGAATGTTTCCAAAATGCTGTATCCACACAAAGGTTCAACTCTGTTAATTGAGGACATACAACACAAAGAAGTTTCTGAGAATGCTTCTGTCTAGATTTTATATGAAGATATCCCGTGTCCAACGAAATCCTCAAAGGTATCAAAATATCCACTTGCAGATTCTACAAAAAGAGTGCTTCAAAACTGCTCTGTCAAAAGGAAGGTTCAACTCTGTTACTTGAGTACACACATCACAAGGAAGTTTCTGAGAATGCTTCTGTCTGGTTTTTAGGAGAAGATATTTCCTTTTTCAACATAGGCCTCAAAGCGCTGCAAATGTCCACTTCCAAATATTAGAAAAAGAGTGTTTCAAACCTGCTGTATGAAGGGAAGTGTTCAACTCTATGAGTTGAATGCAAACATCACAGAGAAGTTTCTGAGAATGCTTCTGTCTTGATTTCATATGAAGATACTCCCGTTTCCAACGAAACCTTCAAAGCTATCCAAATATCCACTTGCAGATTCTACAAAAAGAGTGTTTCCAAAATGTTGTATCAAAAGAAAGGTTCAACTCTGTTAGTTGAGGACACACATCGCAAATAAGTTTCTGAGAATGCTTCTGTCTAGTTTTTATTTGAAGATATTTCCTTTCTCACCACAGGCCTGAAAGCGCTTAAAACGTCCGCTTGCAGATACTACAGAAAGAGTGTTTCAAACCTGCTCTATGAAAGGGAATGTTCAGTTCTGTGACTTGAATGCAACCATCACAAAGAAGTTCCTGAGAATGCTTCTCCCTAGATTTTATATGTAATCCCGTTTCCAACGAAATCCGCAAAGCTATCCAAATATCCACTTTCAGATTCCACAAAAAGAGTGTTTCAAAACTGCTCTGTAAAAAGAAAGGTTCATCTCTGTTAGTTGAATACACACATCACAAACAAGTTTCTGAGAATGCTTCTGTCTAGTTTTTATGGGAAGATATTACCTTTTTCATCATAGGCCTCAAAGCGCTGCAAATGTCCACTTCCAAATATTACAAAAAGAGTGTTTCAAACCTGCTGTATGAAGGGAAGCGTTCAACTCTATGAGTTGAATGCAAACATCACAGAGAAGTTTCTGAGAATGCTTCTGTCTAGTTTTTATGGGAAGATATTTCCTTTTTCATCATAGGCCTCAAAGCGCTGCAAATGTCCACTTCCAGGTAGTGCAGAAAGAGTGTCTCAAACCTGGTATATAACAGGGAACATTCTACTCTGTGACTTGAATGAAAACATCACAAAGCAGTTTCTGAGAATGCTTCCGTCTAGATTTTATATGAAGATATTCCCGTTTCCAACGAAACCTTCAAAGCTATCCGAATATCCACCTGCAGATTCTACAAAAAGAGTGTTTCCAAAATGCCATATCAAAACAAAGGTTCAACTCTGTTAGTTGAGAACACACATCGCAAAGAAGTTTCTGAGAATGCTTCTGTCTAGTTTTTACTTGAAGATATTTCCTTTCTCACCATAGGCCTGAAAGCGTTTGAAATGTCCGTTTGCAGATACTACAGAAAGAGTGTTTCAAACATGCTCTATGAGAGGGAATGTTCAGTTCTGTGACGTGAATGCAAACATCACAAAGAAGTTCCTGAGAATGCTTCTCCCTAGATTTTATATGTAATCCCGTTTCCAACGAAATCCTCAAAGCTATCCAAATATCAACTTTCAGATTCCACAAAAAGAGTGTTTCAAAACTGCCCTGTAAAAAGAAAGGTTCATCTCTGTTAGTTGAATACACACATCACAAACAAGTTTCTGAGAATGCTTCTGTCTAGTTTTTATGGGAAGATATTTCCTTTTTCAACATAGGCCTCAAAGCCCTCCAAATGTCCACTTCCAGGTAGTGCAGAAAGAGTGTTTCAAACCTGCTCTATAAAAGGGAATATTCAACTCTGTGACTTGAATGCAAACATCACAAAGCACTTTCTGAGAATGCTTCCGTCTAGATTTTATATGAAGATATTCCCGTTTCCAAGGAAATCTTCCTAGCTATCTAAATATCAACTTGCAGATTCTTCTAAAGGAATGTTTCCAAAATGCTGTATCCACACAAAGGTTCAACTCTGTTAATTGAGGACATACAGCACAAAGAAGTTTCTGAGAATGCTTCTGTCTAGATTTTATATGAAGATATCCCGTGTCCAACGAAATCCTCAAAGGTATCAAAATATCCACTTGCAGATTCTACAAAAAGAGTGCTTCAAAACTGCTCTGTCAAAAGGAAGGTTCAACTCTGTTACTTGAGTACACACATCACAAGGAAGTTTCTGAGAATGCTTCTGTCTGGTTTTTAGGAGAAGATATTTCCTTTTTCAACATAGGCCTCAAAGCGCTGCAAATGTCCACTTCCAAATATTAGAAAAAGAGTGTTTCAAACCTGCTGTATGAAGGGAAGTGTTCAACTCTATGAGTTGAATGCAAACATCACAGAGAAGTTTCTGAGAATGCTGCTGTCTTGATTTTATATGAAGATATTCCCGTTTCCAACGAAACCTTCAAAGCTATCCAAATATCCACTTGCAGATTCTACAAAAAGAGTGTTTCCAAAGTGCTGTATCCAAACAAAGGTTCAACTCTTTTAGTTGAGAACACACATCGCAAATAAGTTTCTGAGAATGCTTCTATCTAGTTTTTATTTGAAGATATTTCCTTTTTCACCACAGGCCTCAAAGCGCTTCAAACGTCCGCTTGCAGATACTACAGAAAGAGTGTTTCAAACCTGCTCTATGAAAGGGAATGTTCAGTTCTGTGACTTGAATGCAAACATCACAAAGAAGTTGCTGAGACTGCTTCTCCCTAGATTTTATATGTAATCCCGTTTCCAACGAAATCCGCAAAGCTATCCAAATATCCACTTTCAGATTCCACAAAAAGAGTGTTTCAAAACTGCTCTGTAAAAAGAAAGGTTCATCTCTGTTAGTTGAATACACACATCACAAACAAGTTTCTCAGAATGCTTCTGTCTAGTTTTTATGGGAAGATATTTCCTTTTTCATCATAGGCCTCAAAGCGCTGCAAATGTCCACTTCCAAATATTACAAAAAGAGTGTTTCAAACCTGCTGTATGAAGGGAAGTGTTCAACTCTATGAGTTGAATGCAAACATCACAGAGAAGTTTCTGAGAATGCTTCTGTCTTGATTTTATATGAAGATATTCCCGTTTCCAACGAAACCTTCAAATCTATTCAAATATCCACTTGCAGATTCTACAAAAAGAGTGTTTCCAAAATGTTGTATCAAAAGAAAGGTTCAACTCTGTTAGTTGAGGACACACATCGCAAATAAGTTTCTGAGAATGCTTCTGTCTAGTTTTTATTTGAAGATATTTCCTTTCTCACCATAGGCCTGAAAGCTTTTGAAATGTCCGTTTGTAGATACTACAGAAAGAGTGTTTCAAACATGCTCTATGAAAGGGAATGTTCAGTTCTGTGACCGTGAATGCAAACATCACAAAGAAGTTCCTGAGAATGCTTCTCTCTAGGTTTTATATGTAATCCCGTTTCCAACGAAATCCTCAAAGCTATCCAAATATCCACTTTCAGATTCCACAAAAAGAGTGTTTCAAAACTGCTCTGTAAAAAGAAAGGTTCATCTCTGTTAGTTGAATACACACATCACAAACAAGTTTCCGAGAATGCTTCTGTCTAGTTTTTATGGGAAGATATTACCTTTTTCATCATAGGCCTCAAAGCGCTGCAAATGTCCACTTCCAAATATTACAAAAAGAGTGTTTCAAACCTGCTGTATGAAGGGAAGTGTTCAACTCTATGAGTTGAATGCAAACATCACAGAGAAGTTTCTGAGAATGCTTCTGTCTTGATTTTATATGAAGATATTCCCGTTTCCAACGAAACCTTCAAAGCTATTCAAATATCCACTTGCAGATTCTACAAAAAGAGTCTTTCCAAAATGTTGTATCAAAAGAAAGGTTCAACTCTGTTAGTTGAGGACACACATCGCAAATAAGTTTCTGAGAATGCTTCTGTCTAGTTTTTATTTGAAGATATTTCCTTTCTCACCATAGGCCTGAAAGCGTTTGAAATGTCCGTTTGCAGATACTACAGAAAGAGTGTTTCAAACATGCTCTATGAAAGGGAATGTTCAGTTCTGTGACGTGAATGCAAACATCACAAAGAAGTTCCTGAGAATGCTTCTCTCTAGATTTTATATTTAATCCCGTTTCCAACGAAATCCTCAAAGCTATCCAAATATCCACTTTCAGATTCCACAAAAAGAGTGTTTCAAAACTGCTCTGTAAAAAGAAAGGTTCATCTCTGTTAGTTGAATACACACATCAAAAACAAGTTTCTGAGAATGCTTCTGTCTAGTTTTTATGGGAAGATATTTCCTTTTTCATCATAGGCCTCAAAGCGCTGCAAATGTCCACTTCCAGGTAGTGCAGAAAGAGTGTCTCAAACCTGGTATATAACAGGGAACATTCTACTGTGTGACTTGAATGAAAACATCACAAAGCAGTTTCTGAGAATGCTTCCGTCTAGATTTTATATGAAGATATTCCCGTTTCCAACGAAACCTTCAAAGCTATCCGAATATCCACCTGCAGATTCTACAAAAAGAGTGTTTCCAAAATGCCATATCAAAACAAAGGTTCAACTCTGTTAGTTGAGAACACACATCGCAAATAAGTTTCTGAGAATGCTTCTGTCTAGTTTTTACTTGAAGATATTTCCTTTCTCACCATAGGCCTGAAAGCGCTTGAAACGTCAGCTTGCAGATACTACAGAAAGAGTGTTTCAAACCTGCTCTATGAAAGGGAATGTTCAGTTCTGTGACTTGAATGCAAACATCACAAAGAAGTTTCTGAGAATGCTTCTCTCTAGGTTTTATCTGTAATCCCGTTTCCAACGAAATCCTCAAAGCTATCCAAATATCCACTTTCAGATTCCACAAAAAGAGTGTTTCAAAACTGCTCTGTAAAAAGAAAGGTTCATCTCTGTTAGTTGAATACACACATCACAAACAAGTTTCTGAGAATGCTTCTGTCTAGTTTTTATGGGAAGATATTTCCTTTTTCAACATAGGCCTCAAAGCGCTCCAAACGTCCACTTCCAGGTAGTGCAGAAAGAGTGTCTCAAACCTGGTATATAACAGGGAACATTCTACTCTGTGACTTGAATGAAAACATCACAAAGCAGTTTCTGAGAATGCTTCCGTCTAGATTTTATATGAAGGTATTCCCGTTTCCAACGAAACCTTCAAAGCTATCCGAATATCCACCTGCAGATTCTACAAAAAGAGTGTTTCCAAAATGCCGTATCAAAACAAAGGTTCAACTCTGTTAGTTGAGAACACACATGGCAAATAAGTTTCTGAGAATGCTTCTGTCTAGTTTTTACTTGAAGATATTTCCTTTCTCACCATAGGCCTGAAAGCGCTTGAAACGTCAGCTTGCAGATACTACAGAAAGAGTGTTTCAAACCTGCTCTATGAAAGGGAATGTTCAGTCCTGTGACTTGAAGGCAAACATCACAAAGAAGTTCCTGAGAATGCTTCTCTCTAGGATTTTATATTTAATCCCGTTTCCAACGAAATCCTCAAAGCTATCCAAATATCCACTTTCAGATTCCACAAAAAGAGTGTTTCAAAACTGCTCTGTAAAAAGAAAGGTTCATCTCTGTTAGTTGAATACACACATCAAAAACAAGTTTCTGAGAATGCTTCTGTCTAGTTTTTATGGGAAGATATTTCCTTTTTCAGCATAGGCCTCAAAGCGCTCCAAATGTCCACTTCCAGGTAGTGCAGAAAGAGTGTTTCAAACCTGCTCTATAAAAGGGAATATTCAACTCTGTGACTTGAATGCAAACATCAAAAAGCACTTTCTGAGAATGCTTCCGTCTAGATTTTATATGAAGATATTCCCGTTTCCAAGGAAATCTTCCTAGCTATCTAAATATCAACTTGCAGATTCTACTAAAGGAATGTTTCCAAAATGCTGTATCCACACAAAGGTTCAACTCTGTTAATTGAGGACATACAGCACAAAGAAGTTTCTGAGAATGCTTCTGTCTAGATTTTATATGAAGATATCCCGTGTCCAACGAAATCCTCAAAGGTATCAAAATATCCACTTGCAGATTCTACAAAAAGAGTGCTTCAAAACTGCTCCGTCAAAAGGAAGGTTCAACTCTGTTACTTGAGTACACACATCACAAGGAAGTTTCTGAGAATGCTTCTGTCTGGTTTTTAGGAGAAGATATTTCCTTTTTCAACATAGGCCTCAAAGCGCTGCAAATGTCCACTTCCAAATATTAGAAAAAGAGTGTTTCAAACCTGCTGTATGAAGGGAAGTGTTCAACTCTATGAGTTGAATGCAAACATCACAGAGAAGTTTCTGAGAATGCTTCTGTCTTGATTTTATATGAAGATATTCCCGTTTCCAACGAAACCTTCAAAGCTATCCAAATATCCACCTGCAGATCCTACAAAAAGAGTGTTTCCAAAATGCTGTATCAAAACAAAGGTTCAACTCTGTTAGTTGAGAACACACATCGCAAATATGTTTCTGAGAATGCTTCTGTCTAGTTTTTATTTGAAGATATTTCCTTTCTCTCCATAGGCCTGAAAGCGTTTGAAATATCCGTTTGCAGATACTACAGAAAGAGTGTTTCAAACATGCTCTATGAAAGGGAATGTTCAGTTCTGTGACTTGAATGCAAACATCACAAAGAAGTTCCTGAGAATGCTTCTCTCTAGATTTTATATGTAATCCCGTTTCCAACGAAATCCTCAAAGCTAACCAAATATCCACTTTCAGATTCCACAAAAAGAGTGTTTGAAAACTGCTCTGTAAAAAGAAAGGTTCATCTCTGTTAGTTGAATACACACATCACAAACAAGTTTCTGAGAATGCTTCTGTCTAGTTTTTATGGGAAGATATTACCTTTTTCATCATAGGCCTCAAAGCGCTGCAAATGTCCACTTCCAAATATTACAAAAAGAGTGTTTCAAACCTGCTGTATGAAGGGAAGTGTTCAACTCTATGAGTTGAATGCAAACATCACAGAGAAGTTTCTGAGAATGCTTCTGTCTTGATTTTATATGAAGATATTCCCGTTTCCAACGAAACCTTCAAAGCTATCCAAATATCCACTTGCAGATTCTACAAAAAGAGTGTTTCCAAAATGCTGTATCAAAACAAAGGTTCAACTCTGTTAGCTGAGAACACACATCGCAAATAAGTTTCTGAGAATGCTTCTGTCTAGTTTTTATTTGAAGATATTTCCTTTCTCACCATAGGCCTGAAAGCGTTTGAAATGTCCGTTTGCAGATACTACAGAAAGAGTGTTTCAAACATGCTCTATGAAAGGGAATGTTCAGTTCTGTGACGTGAATGCAAACATCACAAAGAAGTTCCTGAGAATGCTTCTCTCTAGATTTTATATGTAATCCCATTTCCAACGAAATCCTCAAAGCTATCCAAATATCCACTTTCAGATTCCACAAAAAGAGTGTTTCAAAACTGCTCTGTAAAAAGAAAGGTTCATCTCTGTTAGTTGAATACACACATCACAAACAAGTTTCTGAGAATGCTTCTGTCTAGTTTTTATGGGAAGATATTTCCTTTTTCATCGTAGGCCTCAAAGCGTTCCAAATGTCCACTTCCAGGTAGTGCAGAAAGAGTGTCTCAAACCTGCTCTATAAAAGGGAACATTCTACTCTGTGACTTGAATGAAAACATCACAAGGCAGTTTCTGAGAATGCTTCCGTCTAGATTTTATATGAAGATATTCCCGTTTCCAGGGAAATCTTCCTAGCTATCTAAATATCAATTTGCAGATTCTACTAAAGGCATGTTTCGAAAATGCTGTATCGACACAAAGGTTCAACTCTGTTAATTGAGGACATACAGCACAAAGAAGTTTCTGAGAATGCTTCTGTCTGGTTTTTAGGAGAAGATATTTCCTTTTTCACCATAGGCCTCAAAGCGCTGCCAATGTCCACTTCCAAATATTACAAAAAGGGTGTTTCATACCTGCCCTATGAAAGGAAGTGTTCCACTCTATGAGTTGAATGCAAACATCACAGAGAAGTTTCTGAGAATGCTTCTGTCTAGATTTTATATGAAGATATCCCGTTTCCAAAGAAATCCTCAAAGGTATCCAAATATCTACTTCCAGATTCTACAAAAAGACTGTTTCAAAACTGCTCTGTAAAAAGAAAGGTTCATCTCTGTTAGTTGAATACACACATCACAAACAAGTTTCTGAGAATGCTTCTGTCTAGTTTTTATGGGAAGATATTTCCTTTTTCATCATAGGCCTCAAAGCGCTCCAAATGTCCACTTCCAGATAGTGCAGAAAGAGTGTCTCAAACCTGGTATATAAAAGGGAACATTCTACTCTGTGACTTCAATGAAAACATCACAAAGCAGTTTCTGAGAATGCTTCCGGCTAGATTTTATATGAAGATATTCCCGTTTCCAAGGAAATCTTCCTAGCTATCTAAATATCAACTTGCATATCCTACTAAAGGAGTGTTTCAAAAATGCTGTATCCACACAAAGGTTCAACTCTGTTAATTGAGGACATACAGCACAAAGAAGTTTCTGAGAATGCTTCTGTCTAGTTTTTACTTGAAGATATTTCCTTTCTCACCATAGGCCTGAAAGCGCTTGAAACGTCCGCTTGCAGATACTACAGAAAGAGTGTTTCAAACATGCTCTATGAAAGGGAATGTTCAGTTCTGTGACTTGAATGCAAACATCACAAAGAAGTTCCTGAGAATGCTTCTCTCTAGATTTTATATGTAATCCCGTTTCCAACGAAATCCTCAAAGCTATCCAAATATCCACTTTCAGATTCCACAAAAAGAGTGTTTCAAAACTGCTCTGTAAAAAGAAAGGTTCATCTCTGTTAGTTGAATACACACATCACAAACAAGTTTCTGAGAATGCTTCTGTCTACTTTTTATGGGAAGATATTTCCTTTTTCATCATAGGCCTCAAAGCGCTCCAAATGTCCACTTCCAGATAGTGCAGAAAGAGTGTCTCAAACCTGGTATATAAAAGGGAACATTCTACTCTGTGACTTCAATGAAAACATCACAAAGCAGTTTCTGAGAATGCTTCCGTCTAGATTTTATATGAAGATATTCCCGTTTCCAAGGAAATCTTCCTAGCTATCTAAATATCAACTTGCAGATTCTACTAAAGGAATGTTTCCAAAATGCCGTATCCACACAAAGGTTCAACTCTGTTAATTGCGGACATACAGCACAAAGAAGTTTCTGAGAATGCTTCTGTCTAGATTTTATATGAAGATATCCCGTTTCCAAAGAAATCCTCAAAGGTATCCAAATATCTACTTCCAGATTCTACAAAAAGACTGTTTCAAAACTGCTCTGTAAAAAGAAAGGTTCATCTCTGTTAGTTGAATACACACATCACAAACAAGTTTCTGAGAATGCTTCTGTCTAGTTTTTATGGGAAGATATTTCCTTTATCATCATAGGCCTCAAAGCGCTCCAAATGTCCACTTCCAGATAGTGCAGAAAGAGTGTCTCAAACCTGGTATATAAAAGGGAACATTCTACTCTGTGACTTCAATGAAAACATCACAAAGCAGTTTCTGAGAATGCTTCCGTCTAGATTTTATATGAAGATATTCCCGTTTCCAACGAAACCTTCAAAGCTATCCGAATATCCACCTGCAGATTCTACAAAAAGAGTGTTTCCAAAATGCCATATCAAAACAAAGGTTCAACTCTGTTAGTTGAGAACACACATCGCAAATAAGTTTCTGAGAATGCTTCTGTCTAGTTTTTACTTGAAGATATTTCCTTTCTCACCATAGGCCTGAAAGCGCTTGAAACGTCAGCTTGCAGATACTACAGAAAGAGTGTTTCAAACCTGCTCTATGAAAGGGAATGTTCAGTCCTGTGACTTGAAGGCAAACATCACAAAGAAGTTCCTGAGAATGCTTCTCTCTAGGTTTTATATGTAATCCCGTTTCCAACGAAATCCTCAAAGCTATCCAAATATCCACTTTCAGATTCCACAAAAAGAGTGTTTCAAAACTGCTCTGTAAAAAGAAAGGTTCATCTGTGTTAGTTGAATACACACATCACAAAGAAGTTTCTGAGAATGCTTCTGTCTACTTTTTATGGGAAGATATTTCCTTTTTCATCATAGGCCTCAAAGCGCTGCAAATGTCCACTTCCAAATATTACAAAAAGAGTGTTTCAAACCTGCTGTATGAAGGGAAGTGTTCATCTCTATGAGTTGAATGCAAACATCAAAGAGAAGCTTCTGAGAATGCTTCCGTCTAGATTTTATATGAAGATATTCCCGTTTCCAACGAAACCTTCAAAGCTATCCGAATATGCACCTGCAGATTCTACAAAAAGAGTGTTTCCAAAATGCCGTATCAAAACAAAGGTTCAATTCTGTTAGTTGAGAAAACACATGGCAAATAAGTTTCTGAGAATGCTTCTGTCTAGTTTTTACTTGAAGATATTTCCTTTCTCACCATAGGCCTGAAAGCGCTTGAAACGTCAGCTTGCAGATACTACAGAAAGAGTGTTTCAAACCTGCTCTATGAAAGGGAATGTTCAGTCCTGTGACTTGAAGGCAAACATGACAAAGAAGTTCCTGAGAATGCTTCCTGTCTGGTTTTTAGGAGAAGATATTTCCTTTTTCAACATAGGCCTCAAAGCGCTGCAAATGTCCACTTCCAAATATTAGAAAAAGAGTGTTTCAAACCTGCTGTATGAAGGGAAGTGTTCAACTCTATGAGTTGAATGCAAACATCACAGAGAAGTTTCTGAGAATGCTTCTGTCTTGATTTTATATGAAGATATTCCCGTTTCCAACGAAACCTTCAAAGCTATTCAAATATCCACTTGCAGATTCTACAAAAAGAGTGTTTCCAAAATGTTGTATCAAAAGAAAGGTTCAACTCTGTTAGTTGAGGACACACATCGCAAATAAGTTTCTGAGAATGCTTCTGTCTAGTTTTTACTTGAAGATATTTCCTTTCTCACCATAGGCCTGAAAGCGCTTGAAACGTCAGCTTGCAGATACTACAGAAAGAGTGTTTCAAACCTGCTCTATGAAAGGGAATGTTCAGTTGCTGTGACTTGAATGAAAACATCACAAAGAAGTTCCTGAGAATGCTTCTGTCTAGATTTTATATGAAGATATCCCGTGTCCAACGAAATCCTCAAAGGTATCAAAATATCCACTTGCAGATTCTACAAAAAGAGTGCTTCAAAACTGCTCCGTCAAAAGGAAGGTTCAACTCTGTTACTTGAGTACACACATCACCAGGAAGTTTCTGAGAATGCTTCTGTCTGGTTTTTAGGAGAAGATATTTCCTTTTTCAACATAGGCCTCAAAGCGCTGCAAATGTCCACTTCCAAATATTAGAAAAAGAGTGTTTCAAACCTGCTGTATGAAGGGAAGTGTTCAACTCTATGAGTTGAATGCAAACATCACAGAGAAGTTTCTGAGAATGCTTCTGTCTTGATTTTATATGAAGATATTCCCGTTTCCAACGAAACCTTCAAAGCTATCCAAATATCCACTTGCAGATTCTACAAAAAGAGTGTTTCCTAAGTGCTGTATCCAAACAAAGGTTCAACTCTTTTAGTTGAGAACACACATCGCAAATAAGTTTCTGAGAATGCTTCTGTCTAGTTTTTATTTGAAGATATTTCTTTTCTCACCACAGGCCTGAAAGCGCTTAAAACGTCCGCTTGCAGATACTACAGAAAGAGTGTTTCAAACCTGCTCTATGAAAGGGAATGTTCAGTTCTGTGACTTGAATGCAAACATCACAAAGAAGTTCCTGATAATGCTTCTCCCTAGATTTTATATGTAATCCCGTTTCCAACGAAATCCGCAAAGCTATCCAAATATCCACTTTCAGATTCCACAAAAAGAGTGTTTCAAAACTGCTCTGTAAAAAGAAAGGTTCATCTCTGTTAGTTGAATACACACATCACAAACAAGTTTCTGAGAATGCTTCTGTCTAGTTTTTATGGGAAGATATTACCTTTTTCATCATAGGCCTCAAAGCGCTGCAAATGTCCACTTCCAAATATTACAAAAAGAGTGTTTCAAACCTGCTGTATGAAGGGAAGTGTTCAACTCTATGAGTTGAATGCAAACATCACAGAGAAGTTTCTGAGAATGCTTCTGTCTTGATTTTATATGAAGATATTCCCGTTTCCAACGAAATCTTCAAAGCTATCCAAATATCCACTTGCAGATTCCACAAAAAGAGTGTTTCCAAAATGTTGTATCAAAAGAAAGGTTCAACTCTGTTAGTTGAGGACACACATCGCAAATAAGTTTCTGAGAATGCTTCTGTCTAGTTTTTATTTGAAGATATTTCCTTTCTCACCATAGGCCTGAAAGCGTTTGAAATGTCCGTTTGCAGATACTACAGAAAGAGTGTTTCAAACATGCTCTATGAAAGGGAATGTTCAGTTCTGTGACGTGAATGCAAACATCACAAAGAAGTTCCTGAGAATGCTTCTCTCTAGATTTTATATGTAATCCCGTTTCCAACGAAATCCTCAAAGCTATCCAAATATCCACTTTCAGATTCCACAAAAAGAGTGTTTCAAAACTGCTCTGCAAAAAGAAAGGTTCATCTCTGTTAGTTGAATACACACATCAAAAACAAGTTTCTGAGAATGCTTCTGTCTAGTTTTTATGGGAAGATATTTCCTTTTTCATCATAGGCCTCAAAGCGCTGCAAATGTCCACTTCCAGGTAGTGCAGAAAGAGTGTCTCAAACCTGGTATATAACAGGGAACATTCTACTCTGTGACTTGAATGAAAACATCACAAAGCAGTTTCTGAGAATGCTTCCGTCTAGATTTTATATGAAGATATTCCCGTTTCCAAGGAAATCTTCCTAGCTATCTAAATATCAACTTGCATATCCTACTAAAGGAATGTTTCCAAAATGCTGTATCCGCACAAAGGTTCAACTCTGTTAATTGAGGACATACAGCACAAAGAAGTTTCTGAGAATGCTTGTGTCTAGATTTTATATGAAGACATCCCGTGTCCAACGAAATCCTCAAAGGTATCAAAATATCCACTTGCAGATTCTACAAAAAGAGTGCTTCAAAACTGCTCTGTCAATAGGAAGGTTCAACTCTGTTACTTGAGTACACACATCACAAGGAAGTTTCTGAGAATGCTTCTCTCTAGGTTTTATATGTAATCCCGTTTCCAACGAAATCCTCAAAGCTATCCAAATATCCACTTTCAGATTCCACAGAAAGAGTGTTTCAAAACTGCTCTGTAAAAAGAAAGGTTCATCTCTGTTAGTTGAATACACACATCACAAAGAAGTTTCTGAGAATGCTTCTGTCCAGTTTTTATGGGAAGATATTTCCTTTTTCAACATAGGCCTCAAAGCGCTCCAAATGTCCACTTCCAGGTAGTGCAGAAAGAGTGTTTCAAACCTGCTCTATAAAAGGGAATATTCAACTCTGTGACTTGAATGCAAACATCACAAAGCACTTTCTGAGAATGCTTCCGTCTAGATTTTATATGAAGATATTCCCGTTTCCAAGGAAATCTTCCTAGCTATCTAAATATCAACTTGCAGATTCTACTAAAGGAATGTTTCCAAAATGCTGTATCCACACAAAGGTTCAACTCTGTTAATTGAGGACATACAGCACAAAGAAGTTTCTGAGAATGCTTCTGTCTAGATTTTATATGAAGATATCCCGTGTCCAACGAAATCCTCAAAGGTATCAAAATATCCACTTGCAGATTCTACAAAAAGAGTGCTTCAAAACTGCTCTGTCAAAAGGAAGGTTCAACTCTGTTACTTGAGTACACACATCACAAGGAAGTTTCTGAGAATGCTTCTGTCTGGTTTTTAGGAGAAGATATTTCCTTTTTCAACATAGGCCTCAAAGCGCTGCAAATGTCCACTTCCAAATATTAGAAAAAGAGTGTTTCAAACCTGCTGTATGAAGGGAAGTGTTCAACTCTATGAGTTGAATGCAAACATCACAGAGAAGTTTCTGAGAATGCTTCTGTCTTGATTTCATATGAAGATATTCCCGTTTCCAACGAAACCTTCAAAGCTATCCAAATATCCACTTGCAGATTCTACAAAAAGAGTGTTTCCAAAATGTTGTACCCAAACAAAGGTTCAACTCTGTTAGTTGAGATCATACATCGCAAATATGTTTCTGAGAATTCTTCTGTCTAGTTTTTATTTGAAGATATTTCCTTTCTCACCACAGGCCTGAAGGCGCTTAAAACGTCCGCTTGCAGATACTACAGAAAGAGTGTTTCAAACCTGATCTATGAAAGGGAATGTTCAGTTCTGTGACTTGAATGCAAACATCACAAAGAAGTTCCTGAGAATGCTTCTCCCTAGATTTTATATGTAATCCCGTTTAAAACGAAATCCTCAAATCTATCCAAATATCCACTTTCAGATTCCACAAAAAGAGTGTTTCAAAACTGCTCTGTAAAAAGAAAGGTTCATCTCTGTTAGTTGAATACACACATCACAAACAAGTTTCTGAGAATGCTTCGGTCTAGTTTTTATGGGAAGATATTTCCTTTTTCAACATAGGTCTCAAAGCGCTGCAAATGTCCACTTCCAAATATTACAAAAAGAGTGTTTCAAACCTGCTGTATGAAGGGAAGTGTTCAACTCTATGAGTTGAATGCAAACATCACAGAGAAGTTTCTGAGAATGCTTCTGTCTTGATTTTATATGAAGATATTCCCGTTTCCAACGAAACCTTCAAAGCTATCCAAATATCCACTTGCAGATTCTACAAAAAGAGTGTTTCCAAAATGTTGTATCAAAAGAAAGGTTCAACTCTGTTAGTTGAGGACACACATCGCAAATAAGTTTCTGAGAATGCTTCTGTCTAGTTTTTATTTGAAGATATTTCCTTTTTCACCACAGGCCTGAAAGCGCTTGAAACGTCAGCTTGCAGATACTACAGAAAGAGTGTTTCAAACCTGCACTATGAAAGGGAATGTTCAGTTCTGTGACTTGAATGCAAACATCACAAAGAAGTTCCTGAGAATGCTTCTCCCTAGATTTTATATGTAATCCCGTTTCCAACGAAATCCTCAAAGCTATCCAAATATCCAATTTCAGATTCCACAAAAAGAGTGTTTCAAAACTACTCTGTAAAAAGAAAAGTTCATCTCTGTTAGTTGAATAAACACATCACAAACAAGTTTCTGAGAATGCTTCTGTCTAGTTTTTATGGGAAGATATTACCTTTTTCATCATAGGCCTCAAAGCGCTGCAAATGTCCACTTCCAAATATTACAAAAAGAGTGTTTCAAACCTGCTGTATGAAGGGAAGTGTTCAACTCTATGAGTTGAATGCAAACATCACAGAGAAATTTCTGAGAATGCTTCTGTCTTGATTTTATATGAATATATTCCCGTTTCCAACGAAACCTTCAAAGCTATCCAAATATCCACTTGCAGATTCTACAAAAAGACTGGTTCCAAAATGTTGTATCAAAAGAAAGGTTCAACTCTGTTAGTTGAGGACACACATCGCAAATAAGTTTCTGAGAATGCTTCTGTCTAGTTTCTATTTGAAGATATTTCCTTTTTCACCACAGGCCTGAAAGCGCTTGAAACGTCCGGTTGCAGATACTACAGAAAGAGTGTTTCAAACCTGCTCTATGAAAGGGAATGTTCAGTTCTGTGACTTGAATGCAAACATCACAAAGAAGTTCCTGGGAATGCTTCTGTCTAGATTTTATATGAAGATATCCCATTTCCAAAGAAATCCTCAAAGGTATCCAAATATCTACTTCCAGATTCTACAAAAAGACTGTTTCAAAACGGCTCTGTCAAAAGTAAGGTTCAACTCTGTTACTTGAGTACACACATCACAAGGAAGTTTCTGAGAATGCTTCTGTCTGGTTTTTAGGAGAAGATATTTCCTTTTTCAACATAGGCCTCAAAGCGCTGCAAATGTCCACTTCCAAATATTAGAAAAAGAGTGTTTCAAACCTGCTGTATGAAGGGAAGTGTTCAACTCTATGAGTTGAATGCAAACATCACAGAGAAGTTCTGAGAATGCTTCTGTCTTGATTTTATATGAAGATATTCCCGTTTCCAACGAAACCTTCAAAGCTATTCAAATATCCACTTGCAGATTCTACAAAAAGAGTGTTTCCAAAATGTTGTATCAAAAGAAAGGTTCAACTCTGTTAGTTGAGGACACACATCGCAAATAAGTTTCTGAGAATGCTTCTGTCTAGTTTTTATTTGAAGATATTTCCTTTCTCACCATAGGCCTGAAAGCGTTTGAAATGTCCGTTTGCAGATACTACAGAAAGAGTGTTTCAAACATGCTCTATGAAAGGGAATGTTCAGTTCTGTGACTTGAATGCAAACATCACAAAGCAGTTCCTGAGAATGCTTCTGTCTAGATTTTATATGAAGATATCCCGCGTCCAACGAAATCCTCAAAGGTATCAAAATATCCACTTGCAGATTCTACAAAAAGAGTGCTTCAAAACTGCTCTGTCAAAAGGAAGGTTCAACTCTGTTACTTGAGTACACACATCACAAGGAAGTTTCTGAGAATGCTTCTGTCTGGTTTTTAGGAGAAGATATTTCCTTTTTCAACATAGGCCTCAAAGCGCTGCAAATGTCCACTTCCAAATATTAGAAAAAGAGTGTTTCAAACCTGCTGTATGAAGGGAAGTGTTCAACTCTATGAGTTGAATGCAAACATCACAGAGAAGTTTCTGAGAATGCTTCTGTCTTGATTTTATAATGAAGATATTCTCGTTTCCTACGAAACCTTCAAAGGTATCCAAGTATCCACCTGCAAATTCTACAAAAAGAGTGTTTCCAAAATGCTGTATCAAATCAAAGGTTCAACTCTATTAGTTGAGGACACACATCGCAAATAAGTTTCTGAGAATGCTTCTGTCTAGTTTTTATTTGAAGATATTTCCTTTCTCACCCCAGGCCTGAAAGCGCTTAAAACGTCCGCTTGCAGATACTACAGAAAGAGTGTTTCAAACCTGCTCTATGAAAGGGAATGTTCAGTTCTGTGACTTGAATGCAAACATCACAAAGAAGTTCCTGAGAATGCTTCTCCCTAGATTTTATATGTAATCCCGTTTCCAACGAAATCCGCAAAGCTATCCAAATATCCACTTTCAGATTCCACAAAAAGAGTGTTTCAAAACTGCTCTGTAAAAAGAAAGGTTCATCTCTGTTAGTTGAATACACACATCACAAACAAGTTTCTGAGAATGCTTCTGTCTAGTTTTTATGGGAAGATATTACCTTTTTCATCATAGGCCTCAAAGCGCTGCAAATGTCCACTTCCAAATATTACAAAAAGAGTGTTTCAAACCTGCTGTATGAAGGGAAGTGTTCAACTCTATGAGTTGAATGCAAACATCACAGAGAAGTTTCTGAGAATGCTTCTGTCTTGATTTTATATGAAGATATTCCCGTTTCCAAAGAAACCTTCAAAGCTATCCAAATATCCACTTGCAGATTCTACAAAAAGAGTGTTTCCAAAATGTTGTATCAAAAGAAAGGTTCAACTCTGTTAGTTGAGGAAACACATCGCAAACAAGTTTCTGAGAATGCTTCTGTCTAGTTTTTATTTGAAGATATTTCCTTTCTCACCATAGGCCTGAAAGCGTTTCAAATGTCCGTTTGCAGATACTACAGAAAGAGTGTTTCAAACATGCTCTATGAAAGGGAATGTTCAGTTCTGTGACTTGAATGCAAACATCACAAAGAAGTTCCTGAGAATGCTTCTCTCTAGATTTTATATGTAATCCCGTTTCCAACGAAATCCACAAAGCTATCCAAATATCCACTTTCAGATTCCACAAAAAGAGTGTTTCAAAACTGCTCTGTAGAAAGAAAGGTTCATCTCTGTTAGTTGAATACACACATCACAAACAAGTTTCTGAGAATGCTTCTGTCTAGTTTTTATGGGAAGATATTTCCTTTTTCAACATAGGCCTCAAAGCGCTCCAAACGTCCACTTCCAGGTAGTGCAGAAAGAGTGTCTCAAAGCTGGTATATAACAGGGAACATTCTACTCTGTGACTTGAATGAAAACATCACAAAGCAGTTTCTGAGAATGCTTCTGTCTTGATTTCATATGAAGATATTCCCGTTTCCAACGAAACCTTCAAAGCTATCCAAATATCCACTTGCAGATTCTACAAAAAGAGTGTTTCCAAAATGTTGTACCCAAACAAAGGTTCAACTCTGTTAGTTGAGAACATACATCGCAAATATGTTTCTGAGAATTCTTCTGTCTAGTTTTTATTTGAAGATATTTCCTTTTTCACCACAGGCCTGAAAGCGCTTGAAACGTCCGCTTGCAGATACCACAGAACGAGTGTTTCAAACCTGCTCTATGAAAGGGAATGTTCAGTTCTGTGACTTGAATGCAAACATCACAAAGTAGTTCCTGAGAATGCTTCTGTCTAGATTTTATATGAAGATATCCCGTGTCCAACGAAATCCTCAAAGGTATCAAAATATCCACTTGCAGATTCTACAAAAAGAGTGTTTCAAAACTGCTCTGTCAAAAGGAAGGTTCATCTCTGTTAGTTGAATACACACATCACAAACAAGTTTCTGAGAATGCTTCTGTCTAGTTTTTATGGGAAGATATTTCGTTTTTCAACATAGGCCTCAAAGCGCTCCAAATGTCCACTTCCAGGTAGTGCAGAAAGAGTGTTTCAAACCTGCTCTATAAAAGGGAATATTCAACTCTGTGACTTGAATGCAAACATCACAAAGCACTTTCTGAGAATGCTTCCGTCTAGATTTTATATGAAGATATTCCCGTTTCCAAGGAAATCTTCCTAGCTATCTAAATATCAACTTGCAGATTCTACTAAAGGAATGTTTCCAAAATGCTGTATCCACACAAAGGTTCAACTCTGTTAATTGAGGACATACAGTACAAAGAAGTTTCTGAGAATGCTTCTGTCTAGATTTTATATGAAGATATCCCGTGTCCAACGAAATCCTCAAAGGTATCAAAATATCCACTTGCAGATTCTACAAAAAGAGTGCTTCAAAACTGCTCCGTCAAAAGGAAGGTTCAACTCTGTTACTTGAGTACACACATCACAAGGAAGTTTCTGAGAATGCTTCTGTCTGGTTTTTAGGAGAAGATATTTCCTTTTTCAACATAGGCCTCAAAGCGCTGCAAATGTCCACTTCCAAATATTACAAAAAGAGTGTTTCAAACCTGCTGTATGAAGGGAAGTGTTCAACTCTATGAGTTGAATGCAAACATCACAGAGAAGTTTCTGAGAATGCTTCTGTCTTGATTTTATATGAAGATATTCCCGTTTCCAACGAAACCTTCAAAGCTATCCGAATATCCACCTGCAGATTCTACAAAAAGAGTGTTTCCAAAATGCCGTATCAAAACAAAGGTTCAACTCTGTTAGTTGAGAACACACATGGCAAATAAGTTTCTGAGAATGCTTCTGTCTAGTTTTTATTTGAAGATATTTACTTTCTCAACATAGGCCTGAAAGCGTTTGAAATGTCCGTTTGCAGATACTACAGAAAGAGTGTTTCAAACATGCTCTATGAAAGGGAATGTTCAGTTCTGTGACGTGAATGCAAACATCACAAAGAAGGTTCCTGAGAATGCTTCTGTCTAGATTTTATATGAAGATATCCCGTGTCCAACGAAATCCTCAAAGGTATCAAAATATCCACTTGCAGATTCTACAAAAAGAGTGCTTCAAAACTGCTCTGTCAAAAGGAAGGTTCAACTCTGTTACTTGACTACACACATCACAAGGAAGTTTCTGAGAATGCTTCCTGTCTAGTTTTTATGGGAAGATATTTCCTTTTTCATCATAGGCCTCAAAGCGCTGCAAATGTCCACTTCCAAATATTACAAAAAGAGTGTTTCAAACCTGCTGTATGAAGGGAAGTGTTCAACTCTATGAGTTGAATGCAAACATCACAGAGAAGTTTCTGAGAATGCTTCTGTCTTGATTTTATATGAAGATATTCCCGTTTCCAACGAAACCTTCAAAGCTATCCAAATATCCACTTGCAGATTCTACAAAAAGAGTGTTTCCAAAATGTTGTACCAAAAGAAAGGTTCAACTCTGTTAGTTGAGGACACACATCGCAAATAAGTTTCTGAGAATGCTTCTGTCTAGTTTTTATTTGAAGATATTTCCTTTCTCACCATAGGCCTGAAAGCGTTTGAAATATCCGTTTGCAGATACTACAGAAAGAGTGTTTCAAACATGCTCTATGAAAGGGAATGTTCAGTTCTGTGACTTGAATGCAAACATCACAAAGAAGTTCCTGAGAATGCTTCTCTCTAGATTTTATATGTAATCCCGTTTCCAACGAAATCCTCAAAGCTATCCAAATATCCACTTTCAGATTCCACAAAAAGAGTGTTTCAAAACTGCTCTGTAAAAAGAAAGGTTCATCTCTGTTAGTTGAATACACACATCACAAACAAGTTTCTGAGAATGCTTCTGTCTAGTTTTTATGGGAAGATATTTCCTTTTTCATCATAGGCCTCAAAGCGCTGCAAATGTCCACTTCCAGGTAGTGCAGAAAGAGTGTCTCAAACCTGGTATATAACAGGGAACATTCTACTCTGTGACTTGAAGGAAAACATCACAAAGCAGTTTCTGAGAATGCTTCCGTCTAGATTTTATATGAAGATATTCCCGTTTCCAACGAAACCTTCAAAGCTATCCGAATATCCACCTGCAGATTCTACAAAAAGAGTGTTTCCAAAATGCCATATCAAAACAAAGGTTCAACTCTGTTAGTTGAGAACACACATGGCAAATAAGTTTCTGAGAATGCTTCTGTCTAGTTTTTACTTGAAGATATTTCCTTTCTCACCATAGGCCTGAAAGCGCTTGAAACGTCAGCTTGCAGATACTACAGAAAGAGTGTTTCAAACCTGCTCTATGAAAGGGAATGTTCAGTTCTGTGACTTGAATGCAAACATCACAAAGAAGTTCCTGAGAATGCTTCTCTCTAGGTTTTATATGTAATCCCGTTTCCAACGAAATCCTCAAAGCTATCCAAATATCCACTTTCAGATTCCACAAAAAGAGTGTTTCAAAACTGCTCTGTAAAAATAAAGGTTCATCTCTGTTAGTTGAATACACACATCACAAACAAGTTTCTGAGAATGCTTCTGTCTAGTTTTTATGGGAAGATATTTCCTTTTTCAACATAGGCCTCAAAGCGATCCAAATGTCCACTTCCAGGTAGTGCACAGACTGTTTCAAACCTGCTCTATGAAAGGAAGTGTTCAACTCCATGAGTTGAATGCAAACATCACAGAGAAGTTTCTGAGAATGCTTCCGTCTAGATTTTATATGAAGATATTCCCGTTTCCAAGGAAATCTTCCTAGCTATCTAAATATCAACTTGCAGATTCTTCTAAAGGAATGTTTCCAAAATGCTGTATCCACACAAAGGTTCAACTCTGTTAATTGAGGACATACAGCACAAAGAAGTTTCTGAGAATGCTTCTGTCTAGATTTTATATGAAGATATCCCGTGTCCAACGAAATCCTCAAAGGTATCAAAATATCCACTTGCAGATTCTACAAAAAGAGTGCTTCAAAACTGCTCTGTCAAAAGGAAGGTTCAACTCTGTTACTTGAGTACACACATCACAAGGAAGTTTCTGAGAATGCTTCTGTCTGGTTTTTAGGAGAAGATATTTCCTTTTTCAACATAGGCCTCAAAGCGCTGCAAATGTCCACTTCCAAATATTAGAAAAAGAGTGTTTCAAACCTGCTGTATGAAGGGAAGTGTTCAACTCTATGAGTTGAATGCAAACATCACAGAGAAGTTTCTGAGAATGCTTCTGTCTTGATTTCATATGAAGATATTCCCGTTTCCAACGAAACCTTCAAAGCTATTCAAATATCCACTTGCAGATACTACAAAAAGAGTGTTTCCAAAATGTTGTATCAAAAGAAAGGTTCAACTCTGTTAGTTGAGGACACACATCGCAAATAAGTTTCTGAGAATGCTTCTGTCTAGTTTTTATTTGAAGATATTTCCTTTCTTACCATAGGCCTGAAAGCGCTTGAAATGTCCGTTTGCAGATACTACAGAAAGAGTGTTTCAAACATGCTCTATGAAAGGGAATGTTCAGTTCTGTGACGTGAATGCAAACATCACAAGGAAGTTCCTGAGAATGCTTCTCCCTAGATTTTATATGTAATCCCGTTTCCAACGAAATCCGCAAAGCTATCCAAATATCCACTTTCAGATTCCACAAAAAGAGTGTTTCAAAACTGCTCTGTAAAAAGAAAGGTTCATCTCTGTTAGTTGAATACACCCATCACAAACAAGTTTCTGAGAATGCTTCTGTCTAGTTTTTATGGGAAGATATTACCTTTTTCATCATAGGCCTCAAAGCGCTGCAAATGTCCACTTCCAAATATTACAAAAAGAGTGTTTCAAACCTGCTGTATGAAGGGAAGTGTTCAACTCTATGAGTTGAATGCAAACATCACAGAGAAGTTTCTGAGAATGCTTCTGTCTTGATTTTATATGAAGATATTCCCGTTTCCAACGAAACCTTCAAAGCTATTCAAATATCCACTTGCTGATTCTACAAAAAGAGTGTTTCCAAAATGTTGTATCAAAAGAAAGGTTCAACTCTGTTAGTTGAGGACACACATCGCAAATAAGTTTCTGAGAATGCTTCTGTCTAGTTTTTACTTGAAGATATTTCCTTTCTCACCATAGGCCTGAAAGCGTTTGAAATGTCCGTTTGCAGATACTACAGAAAGAGTGTTTCAAACATGCTCTATGAAAGGGAATGTTCAGTTCTGTGACGTGAATGCAAACATCACAAAGAAGTTCCTGAGAATGCTTCTCTCTAGATTTTATATGTAATCCCGTTTCCAACGAAATCCTCAAAGCTATCCAAATATCCACTTTCAGATTCCACAAAAAGAGTGTTTCAAAACTGCTCTGTAAAAAGAAAGGTTCATCTCTGTTAGTTGAATACACACATCACAAACAAGTTTCTGAGAATGCTTCTGTCTAGTTTTTATGGGAAGATATTTCCTTTTTCAACATAGGCCTCAAAGCGCTCCAAACGTCCACTTCCAGGTAGTGCAGAAAGAGTGTCTCAAACCTGGTATATAACAGGGAACATTCTACTCTGTGACTTGAATGAAAACATCACAAAGCAGTTTCTGAGAATGCTTCCGTCTAGATTTTATATGAAGATATTCCCGTTTCCAACGAAACCTTCAAAGCTATCCGAATATCCACCTGCAGATTCTACAAAAAGAGTGTTTCCAAAATGCCGTATCAAAACAAAGGTTCAACTCTGTTAGTTGAGAACACACATGGCAAATAAGTTTCGGAGAATGCTTCTGTCTAGTTTTTACTTGAAGATATTTCCTTTCTCACCATAGGCCTGAAAGCGCTTGAAACGTCAGCTTGCAGATACTACAGAAAGAGTGTTTCAAACCTGCTCTATGAAAGGGAATGTTCAGTTCTGTGACTTGAATGCAAACATCACAAAGAAGTTCCTGAGAATGCTTCTGTCTAGATTTTATATGAAGATATCCCGTTTCCAAAGAAATCCTCAAAGGTATCCAAATATCTACTTCCAAATTCTACAAAAAGACTGTTTCAAAACGGCTCTGTCAAAAGTAAGGTTCAACTCTGTTACTTGAGTACACACATCACAAGGAAGCTTTTGAGAATGCTTCTGTCTAGTTTTTATGGGAAGATATTTCCTTTTTCAACATAGGCCTCAAAGCGCTCCAAACGTCCACTTCCAGGTAGTGCAGAAAGAGTGTCTCAAACCTGGTGTATAACAGGGAACATTCTACTCTGTGACTTGAATGAAAACATCACAAAGCAGTTTCTGAGAATGCTTCCGTCTAGATTTTATATGAAGATATTCCCCTTTCCAACGAAACCTTCAAAGCTATCCGAATATCCACCTGCAGATACTACAAAAAGAGTGTTTCCAAAATGCCGTATCAAAACAAAGGTTCAACTCTGTTAGTTGAGAACACACATGGCAAATATGTTTCTGAGAATGCTTCTGTCTAGTTTTTACTTGAAGATATTTCCTTTCTCACCATATGCCTGAAAACGCATGAAACGTCAGCTTGCAGATACTACAGAAAGAGTGTTTCAAACCTGCTCTATGAAAGGGAATGTTCAGTTCTGTGACTTGAATGCAAACATCACAAAGAAGTTCCTGAGAATGCTTCTCTCTAGGTTTTATATGTAATCCAGTTTCCAACGAAATCCTCAATGCTATCCAAATATCCACTTTCAGATTACACAAAAAGAGTGTTTCAAAACTGCTCTGTAAAAAGAAAGGTTCATCTCTGTTAGTTGAATACACACATCACAAACAAGTTTCTGAGAATGCTTCTGTCTAGTTTTTATGGGAAGATATTTCGTTTTTCAACATAGGCCTCAAAGCGCTCCAAATGTCCACTTCCAGGTAGTGCAGAAAGAGTGTTTCAAACCTGCTCTATAAAAGGGAATATTCAACTCTGTGACTTGAATGCAAACATCACAAAGCACTTTCTGAGAATGCTTCCGTCTAGATTTTATATGAAGATATTCCCGTTTCCAAGGAAATCTTCCTAGCTATCTAAATATCAACTTGCAGATTCTACTAAAGGAATGTTTCCAAAATGCTGTATCCACACAAAGGTTCAACTCTGTTAATTGAGGACATACAGCACAAAGAAGTTTCTGAGAATGCTTCTGTCTAGATTTTATATGAAGATATCCCGTTTCCAAAGAAATCCTCAAAGGTATCCAAATATCTACTTCCAGATTCTACAAAAAGACTGTTTCAAAACGGCTCTGTCAAAAGTAAGGTTCAACTCTGTTACTTGAGTACACACATCACAAGGAAGTTTCTGAGAATGCTTCTGTCTGGTTTTTAGGAGAAGATATTTCCTTTTTCAACATAGGCCTCAAAGCGCTGCAAATGTCCACTTCCAAATATTACAAAAAGAGTGTTTCAAACCTGCTGTATGAAGGGAAGTGTTCAACTCTATGAGTTGAATGCAAACATCACAGAGAAGTTTCTGAGAATGCTTCTGTCTTGATTTTATATGAAGATATTCCCGTTTCCAACGAAACCTTCAAAGCTATCCGAATATCCACCTGCAGATTCTACAAAAAGAGTGTTTCCAAAATGCTGTATCAAAACAAAGGTTCAACTCTGTTAGTTGAGAACACACATGGCAAATATGTTTCTGAGAATGCTTCTGTCTAGTTTTTACTTGAAGATATTTCCTTTCTCACCATAGGCCTGAAAGCGCTTGAAACGTCAGCTTGCAGATACTACAGAAAGAGTGTTTCAAACCTGCTCTATGAAAGGGAATGTTCAGTTCTGTGACTTGAATGCAAACATCACAAAGAAGTTCCTGAGAATGCTTCTCTCTAGATTTTATATGTAATCCCGTTTCCAACGAAATCCTCAAAGATATCCAAATATCCACTCTCAGATTCCACAAAAAGAGTGTTTCAAAACTGCTCTGTAAAAAGAAAGGTTCATGTCTGTTAGTTGAATACACACATCACAAACAAATTTCTGAGAATGCTTCTGTCTAGTTTTTATGGGAAGATATTTCCTTTTTCATCATAGGCCTCAAAGCGCTCCAAATGTCCACTTCCAGATAGTGCAGAAAGAGTGTCTCAAACCTGGTATATAAAAGGGAACATTCTACTCTGTGACTGGAATGAAAACATCACAAAGCACTTTCTGAGAATGCTTCCGTCTAGATTTTATATGAAGATATTCCCGTTTCCAACGAAACCTTCAAAGCTATCCGAATATGCACCTGCAGATTCCACAAAAAGAGTGTTTCCAAAATGCCGTATCACAACAAAGGTTCAATTCTGTTAGTTGAGAACACACATGGCAAATAAGTTTCTGAGAATGCTTCTGTCCAGTTTTTATTTGAAGATATTTCCTTTTTCACCACAGGCCTGAAAGCGCTTGAAACGTCCACTTGCAGATACTACAGAAAGAGTGTTTCAAACCTGCTCTATGAAAGGGAATGTTCAGTTCTGTGACTTGAATGCAAACATCACAAAGAAGTTCCTGAGAATGCTTCTCCCTAGATTTTATATGTAATCCCGTTTCCAACGAAATCCGCAAAGCTATCCAAATATCCACTTTCAGATTCCACAAAAAGAGTGTTTCAAAACTACTCTGTAAAAAGAAAGGTTCATCTCTGTTAGTTGAATACACACATCACAAACAAGTTTCTGAGAATGCTTCTGTCTAGTTTTTATGGGAAGATATTTCCTTTTTCAACATTGGCCTCAAAGCGCTCCAAACGTCCACTTCCGGGTAGTGCAGAAAGAGTGTCTCAAACCTGGTATATAACAGGGAACATTCTACTCTGTGACTTGAATGAAAACATCACAAAGCAGTTTCTGAGAATGCTTCCGTCTAGATTTTATGTGAAGATATTCCCGTTTCCAAGGAAATCTTCCTAGCTATCTAAATATCAACTTGCAGATTCTACTAAAGGAGTGTTTCCAAAATACTGTATCCACACAAAGTTTCAACTCTGTTAATTGAGGACATACAGCACAAAGAAGTTTCTGAGAATGCTTTCTGTCTAGTTTTTACTTGAAGATATTTCCTTTCTCACCATAGGCCTGAAAACGCATGAAACGTCAGATTGCAGATACTACAGAAAGAGTGTTTCAAACCTGCTCTATGAAAGGGAACGTTCAGTCCTGTGACTTGAATGCAAACATCACAAAGAAGTTCCTGAGAATGCTTCTCTCTAGGTTTTATATGAAATCCCGTTCCCAACGAAATCCTCAAAGCTGTCCAAATATCCAATTTCAGATTCCACAAAAAGAGTGTTTCAAAACTGCTCTCTAAAAAGAAAGGTTCATCTCTGTTAGTTGAATACACACATCACAAACAAGTTTCTGAGAATGCTTCTGTCTAGTTTTCATGGGAAGATATTTCCTTTTTCAACATAGGCCTCAAAGCGCTCCAAATGTCCACTTCCAGGTAGTGCAGAAAGAGTGTTTCAAACCTGCTCTATAAAAGGGAATATTCAACTCTGTGACTTGAATGCAAACATCACAAAGCACTTTCTGAGAATGCTTCTGTCTTCATTTCATATGAAGATATTCCCGTTTCCAACGAAACCTTCAAAGCTATCCAAATATCCACTTGCAGATTCTACAAAAAGAGTGTTTCCAAAATGTTGTATCAAAAGAAAGGTTCAACTCTGTTAGTTGAGGACACACATCGCAAATAAGTTTCTGAGAATGCTTCTGTCTAGATTTTATATGAAGATATCCCGTGTCCAACGAAATCCTCAAAGGTATCAAAATATCCACTTGCAGATTCTACAAAAAGAGTGCTTCAAAACTGCTCTGTCAAAAGGAAGGTTCAACTCTGTTACTTGAGTACACACATCACAAGGAAGTTTCTGAGAATGCTTCTGTCTGGTTTTTAGGAGAAGATATTTCCTTTTTCAACATAGGCCTCAAAGCGCTGCAAATGTCCACTTCCAAATATTAGAAAAAGAGTGTTTCAAACCTGCTGTATGAAGGGAAGTGTTCAACTCTATGAGTTGAATGCAAACATCACAGAGAAGTTTCTGAGAATGCTTCCGTCTAGATTTTATATGAAGATATTCCCGTTTCCAACGAAACCTTCAAAGCTATCCGAATATCCACCTGCAGATTCTGCAAAAAGAGTGTTTCCAAAATGCCGTATCAAAACAAAGGTTCAACTCTGTTAGTTGAGAACACACATGGCAAATAAGTTTCTGACAATGCTTCTGTCTAGTTTTTATTTGAAGATATTTCCTTTCTTACCATAGGCCTGAAAGCGCTTGAAATGTCCGTTTGCAGATACTACAGAAAGAGTGTTTCAAACATGCACTATGAAAGGGAATGTTCAGTTCTGTGGCGTGAATGCAAACATCACAAAGAAGTTCCTGAGAATGCTTTCTCTCTAGATTTTATATGTAATCCCGTTTCCAACGAAATCCTCAAAGCTATCCAAATATCTACTTTCAGATTCCAGAAAAAGAGTGTTTCAAAACTGCTCTGTAAAAAGAAAGGTTCATCTCTGTTAGTTGAATTCACACATCAGAAACAAGTTTCTGAGAATGGTTCTGTCTAGTTTTTATGGGAAGATATTTCCTTTTTCAACATAGGCCTCAAAGCGCTCCAAACGTCCACTTCCAGGTAGTGCAGAAAGAGTGTCTCAAACCTGGTATATAACAGGGAACATTCTACTCTGTGACTTGAATGAAAACATCACAAAGCAGTTTCTGAGAATGCTTCCTGTCTAGATTTTATATGAAGATATTCCCGTTTCCAACGAAACCTTCAAAGCTATCCGAATATCCACCTGCAGATTCTACAAAAAGAGTGTTTCCAAAATGCCGTATCAAAACAAAGGTTCAACTCTGTTAGTTGAGAACACACATGGCAAATAAGTTTCTGAGAATGCTTCTGTCTAGTTTTTACTTGAAGATATTTCCTTTCTCACCATAGGCCTGAAAGCGCTTGAAACGTCAGCTTGCAGATACTACAGAAAGAGTGTTTCAAACCTGCTCTATGAAAGGGAATGTTCAGTTCTGTGACTTGAATGCAAACATCACAAAGAAGTTCCTGAGAATGCTTCTCCCTAGATTTTATATGTAATCCCGTTTCCAACGAAATCCTCAAAGCTATCCAAATATCCACTTTCAGATTCCACAAAAAGAGTGTTTTAAAACTGCTCTGTAAAAAGAAAGGTTCATCTCTGTTAGTTGAATACACACATCACAAACAAGTTTCTGAGAATGCTTCTGTCTAGTTTTTATGGGAAGATATTTCCTTTTTCAACATAGGACTCAAAGCGCTCCAAATGTCCACCTCCAGGTAGTGCAGAAAGAGTGTTTCAAACCTGCTCTATGAAAGGGAATGTTCAGTTCTGTGACTTGAATGCAAACATCACAATGAAGTTCCTGAGAATGCT